>NC_000016.10:71229166-71532197 GCF_000001405.40 Homo sapiens | reverse complement strand
CGGGCACCTATAGTCCCAGCTACTCGGGAGGCTGAAGCAGGAGAACGGCGTGAACCCAGGAGGCAGAGCTTGCAGTGAGCCGAGATCGCGCCACTGCACTCCAGCCTGGGCGACAGAGCGAGACTCCATCTCAAAAAAAAAAAAAAAAACAACAGGACCAGCTAAGATGTGCTGCTAGTTCTTAAAACTTGAGTGCAAGAGGAAAATGATTAGAAACTAAGCTATTACTGATCTTGGCCCAAGGATGTCCTCCCTCCCCGCAAAGACTGAAGAGGTGACTTTAGCAAAAGAGCTTCTCCTAAGGGCAATGTGAGTATGAGAAAAAGTTTGGAACAAAAATAGGAAGCAATGGAGCAAAACCAAAAAGAGAGGAAAATGAGAAGAACTTATCCTGTATACAGTTATAAGGAAATGGTGATAGAATTTTATAAGCAGGGCTTATAATTAGGAAAAAGCTAACATTTCCTAGGGATTAGGAGAATAGACCTTTCAAAGTGACACCCTCCCTCCCTCCATCCTGCTTGGGGCCAGTTCTGTGTCCTGTGCGGGGCTTGGTGACTCTGGACCCTCCTTGCCTGCCAACTGCTGCTGGCCTGAAGCCCGTTTCCTCCCCAAGCTGGAGCTGGGCCTCCTAACTGCCCCCAGTTGTTCCCAGGTGTTAGTTGTCCACGGTTCTCAGGAACTCCCATGGAAATCCTCTGACTTCTTTTTCTTTCTGTGAGCACTTGCCCTGGGTAGAAAGCGTAGCTTTTGTGAAGCAAGTCCCATCCCTTGTCACTGAGCCCCAAGACACATCTGGATCTAGACGACACACAATGGGCTGACCAGAGAGCCAGGGGATACTTTAGGATGTGTCTTGGGCAAAACTCATTTCTGAAGACTGTAATGAGCAGCAGAGGCAGATGCTCCTGGGCCCTGGCAGAAGCGAGGTGATGCGAGTCACCAGGGCGCTTCATGGAAGGAGACTCTTCAATAGTGTCCTCGAATCCCACTCTCCCATTGCCAGAATTCCCAGCTGTTTGTGTCTAGGGTGGCCTTTGACATCGACCTTTCTCTTCTGTCTCTCAGCATCTCCCCATGACCCACTGCTGCCAAAAACTACCTTTTTCATTTTTTTTAAATTACTATTTATTCTTTTGGGACAGAGTCTCACTCTGTCAGTGATCTCAGCTCACTGCAACTTCTGCCTCCTGGGTTCAAGTGATTCCTGTGCCTCAGCCTCCCAGGTGGCTGGGATTACAGGTGCCCACCACCGTGCCCAGCTAATTTTTGTGTTTTTAGTAGAGACAGGGTTTCGCCATGTTGGCCAGGCTGGTCTCAAACTCCTAACCTCAAGTGATCCACCTGCCTCGGCCTCCCAAAGTGCTGGGATTACAGGTGTGAGCCACCACGCCTGGCCCAAAATCTTTTTTTTCCTTTTTTAGAGTCGGGGGTCTCACTCTGTTGCCCAGGGTGGAGTACAGTGGCATGATCATAGCTCACTGCAGCCTTGAACTCCTGGGCTCAAGTGATTTTCGATCCTCCTGTCTCAGCCTCCCCAGTAGCTGGGATCACAGGTGTGTCCAATCACACCCAGATAATTTTTTCATTTTTTACTAGAGACTGGCCCTCACTATATTGCCCAGGCTGGTGTCAAACTCCTGACCTCAAGCCACCTTCCAGCCTTGGCCTCCCAAAGTGCTGGGATTACAGGTGTGAGCCACCGCACCTGGCCAAAATATCTTTTTAAAGCATAAGTCTATCAACTTCCTGCTTAAAAATCCTTCAATAAATTTCCAGTGTATATGGGATTAAATAAACATCCCCACACCTCGCACCTGGGGTCCTTCATGGCCTGGTCTTGATTTCCTGTCACTCCCTTCTGTTTTAGTGCCTTAGGCTCCCGACTTTCAGTTCTTCCAAACTTGCCCTGTTATTTAAAAGCCCTGAGATTTTTGCAGGACAGCTACTATTCCTTCAAGAATCTAACCTGCCTTCTCCCTGAAAGGGAGAGCCTGCCTTCTCCCTGAAAGAAGTTCTGTCTCTTTCTCCTGAGACTTTTTTTTTTTAATTTTATTTTTTAGACAGAGTCTTGCTCTGTCGCCCAGGCTGGAGTGCAGTGGCATGATCTCAGCTCACCGCAACCTCTGCCTCCTAGATTCAAGCGATTCTCCTGCCTCAGCCTCCCCAGGAGCTGGGATTACAGCCACGCCCAGCTAATTTTTGTATTTCTAGTGGAAATGGGGATTCGCCATGTTGGTCAGGCTGGTCTCGAACCCCTGACCTCAGGTGATTCTCCCGCCTCGGCCTGCCAAAGTGCTGGGATCACAGGTGTGAAGCACCGCGCCCAGCCCCCTCTTGAGATTAATTTGTTTCCCAGACCTTCTGTTAGCAGCCATCCCTTTTGACAGTAAAAGCCTGTATGGGTGCCTCTCTTTTCTCTGGGCCACTATAGCTTAAGGGAAAGGCTGTATCTTATCTTACTTACACGTACATAACAATTCTACAAATGATCAGGGCTCGGCTCATTAAACACTTGCTAAATAAATGAGTAAGTGAGTAAATAGATGAGTGTGGGCTTGATCTCCTGATCAAGATCACACCGCTGCACTCCAGCCTGGTCAACAGAGCGAAACTTGGTCTCAAAAAAAAAAAAAAAAAAAAAAAAAAAAAAATAGATGAGCATGGGAAGAGGCACAGTAATTGCTAGAAAGCAGAAAACTAAAGGAGCTCCTTCAAGAGAATGAAACATAAGTATCCTTTTCTGAAATGCACACGGACACTCTTCAGCATCAGTGACTAAAATTTAGGTGATTGCATGGAACAGTGAGCACATTACCCATGCCGTCTCAGTTACTTGGACCAAGCTACTAATAAAGTCAGAGGCATGGGTTAGATGCAGTATGGCACAGTAACCCTTGGTCCAAAAAACAGTTACTATACCAAGCATGCATTAATTAAAACCAGGAGGGAAATTATTTTTCTCTTCCTGTATGAAAATTAGTTTTAGAAAACATTTAAAAAATAAAAGCCTCATTGCTGGGTGATAGGCTACCTTGCTTGAATCAGCTCAGTTACTAGGCTAACAAAGCAAAAGCAAAAAAAAAAAAACAAAAAACAAAAACAAAACAAAAAACCCAAACTCAGCACATTCCATCATCACCACCCCAAAAAATTAATTTAAAAAAATGTTGCCCCAACGATGGGTGAACGGTATCATCTTAAAACACAAAGGACAGCCATTTCTGAGGAGTCAAGAGAACCTTAGGAACTTGAAAACGCCACCAAAGGGTGGTGAGAAGGGAGAATCTATGTTTGGCACAGGAACCACGAAGGTGCCAGATGGGTGACCTCAAGCAGCAGCTGATTAGAGTGGGCTGAATTATAGATGTCCCCCAAATCGGTACCATGTAGCCTCGTAGAGACAAAATGGGAAATTCTGAGGGGGAAAAAAACCAGATAGATACTAATTTAAGAAGTCTGGGTTCCAGCCACTGGATGCATTCCTAACTTACACTTCCCATGAGATTATGCCCCTTACAAGTAGAAATTAGATACAGCAGAAGATACCTTGAGCAAAGAGAGAGAGAATGGGGTTGGATTGGGGAAACTGGCATCCTCACAAGCAGCCTGAAGACCTGGAAAACCTCTGAAGCTAGGCACCTGGGTAAAGGGTGTCCATATAACAAACTCTTCCTAGACAGTGTCAGGAGGATTGGACCTGGGTCCCGCCAGGGCTGTGTCACTAGTGCCAAGGACAGTGCATGGCACATAGTAGGTGCTCAAGGAACATCTTTCAACAAATGACAAGTGAACATATATTTGTACAGTGTTTTTTTTTTTACTATATGAGACCCAGAAAGGAAGATTGAGCAAGATATTATAAACCAAAAATAAAATTCTAAGGCCCCCCAACCATCTGAAAGGACTTCCTCCTCAGCCAGGACTCTTTTTTTTTTTTTTTTTTTTGAAATGAAGTCTTGCTCTGTTGTCCAGGCTGGAGTGCAGTGGCACGATCTCAGCTCACTGCAACCTCGACTCCTCAGGTTCAAGCGCTTCTCCTGCCTCAGCCTCCCGAGTGACCTGGCTAATTTTTTGTATTTTTAGTACAGACATGGTTTTGCCATGTTGGCCAGGCAGGTCTCGAACTCCTGACCTCAAGTGACCTCAGTCTCCTAATAGTGCTGTGATTACACCCATGAGCCACTGTGCCCAGCCAGGGGTCTTTTTAAAATTTAACCTGAGAGACTGTTTCAGGCCATGACAAGAAGTGGGGATCTAACATGCCTCATCATACCTCTCCAGCATTAACACCAACACAGACCTTAAGTCTGATAAGAAACATTTTACAACCTATTCTCTCTGAAGCCTGCTATCTGAAGGCTTCCTCTCAGTTGCAGTGAGCCGAGATCGCACCACTGCACTCCAGCCTGGGCGACAGACCCGTACTTTTTTCTTTTCTTTTTTCTTTTTTGAGATGGAGTTTTGCTCTTGTTGCCCAGGCTAGAGTGCAATGGCAGGATCTCGGCTCACTGCAGCCTCCCGGTTTCAAGCGATTCTCCTGCCTCAGCCTCCTGAGTAGCTGGGATTACAGGTGCCTGCCACCATGCCCAGCTAATTTTTTTGGTATTTTTAGTACAGACAGGGTTTCGCCATGTTGGCCGGGCTGGTCTTGAACTCCTGGCCTCAGGTGATCCACCTGCCTCAGCTTCCCAAAGTGCTGGGATTACAGGCGCGAGCCATCGCGCCTGGCTAGATGTATTTCTTAAATGTATTTGATTGAAGTCTCATGTCTCCCTAAAGTGTATAAAACCAAGCTGCACCCCGACCACCTTAGACACATGTTCTCAGGACCTCCTGAGGGCTGTGTCACCGGCCATGGTCACTCATATTTGGCTCAGAATAAATCTCTTCAAATATGTCACAGAGTCTGACTCTTTTCATCGACAATATTACATTTATTTTACACATAGAAAAGTATTTCAATTCCAATTAGAAGTTTCATACTTGTCCAAGGCCATGCAAGATAGACGTATCTTCTACCATAGCTGATATGTTGGCACCATAACTTAATCATATTGCACATGTGCGTGGTGTTCCACATTTTTAAAGCCCTTTTAGCTGCAATTATGATACTGATCGGTTAGATATTTTAGACAGTGATGAGACATTTCTTCATTTTTCAGAATAAATAAACTAAACTTTAATTGACTGGCTCATCCGGTATAAATAGCCTTTTCTGGATCAGAACCCAGGTTTTGGGGATCCCAGGGCTGAGAATTTTCAATGATCACACTGTCCCTCTCCTGAGCTAGAGAAAACCTACAGCTCCTTGCACCTCCTGTCTTCCACTCCCCAGCAGAAAACAGAGGAGAAGCTGCAGGAAGTACAGAAATTTGAGCTCCAAAGCCAGGATCTGAACGAGTCAGTTGGCACCAGGGGACCATCTACAAAATATACATCAGAACAGCCTGATCTGCTCTCTGGGCTCTTTTGGACCCATTTAGGGATAGAGCTAGTGGGGCTTGGGGGCTGCTGGTAAGCAGCTTGTGTTTTATTTTACCCAGAAAATTCCCCAGGTGATCTGATTTATCCCCTCTGCGCAAACCGCCTTCGCCACTGTAATCTCTAGCTTAGCTGCCAGAGGTTATCTGATACTCTTGCTCCAGCAGCTCTGGGTAATGGCTCTGCATTGGAGTCGTACACAGAAATTCTCTTCTTACCTTGTGGCTTGGGCTTCCCTGCTGCTTTTGAGAGGCTCACTGCTAGCCGGGCCATGCGCTTTTCTCCTCTGACTCACCAACTCCCCTCTTGGCTTCCTCCTCCTACTTGCTTTTGCATAACCGTCCCTACTCAGAGCACATTTCACTGTCCCTCCCTTCTGCCAAAAACAAAAAAGGACCCACCTTGCAAGACGGGCTTGAGAAAGCACTCGCTCCCAGGAAGCTGTGAAAGTAACAGCTTTAACACTGCTGAGACTCAAGGGGTGGGGAGACTGCTTGAGGTGGGCTGGGAGAAGCAAATGAGGAAGCATTTTCCCCCAGACTGGAGGCATCCTGGCATGTTGACTACTGAAAGGCAACTGTGAAGGTCAACTCCCTATGGGCAGAGTGGGGAGGTGGGGAAAAAGAGAAAGAGAGAGAGAGAGACCCAGGGAGCTAGTAGATGAGGCTGATAGGGAAATTTCATGACACTTACAAGCCGAAAGGCTACAAAATCTCAAACCTGATTTTTAGACCTTGTTCTTATCTCCAAGGAGAAAATGTGAAAGTTATTTCTTGCATTACACCTGCCTGCTCACTCCACCCTGGGTCTAGGGAGGTAACATTTCTCAGCCTCTGTGTTGTATTCAATATCTTCACCCTTGCTACAAGAGGTAATAAATATTTTCTGGGAGGACATAGATGTACTGGCTTGGTGGTACAGGAGAAAAAAAAGTCCCCTTTAAGAAAAAAAGAAACAAATTATCATTAAAGATTACAACCTCTCCCTTGCTGTGTGCCCTTGGGCAAATCACTTACCTACTCCGTGCTACTTTACACGGTTGTCATGAGTCTGAAACAATGGATGCCCGTGAATAAACGTAAATTGTGGTGGAGAATGGAAGCCTCAGACTTTCAAGTCCAAGATCTTGCCGGGCAAGTCATACCACCTCTTTGAGCCCTAGAATATCATCGGTGTTAAATAAGGGTAACAATATCTATTTTACAGTATTGTTGTGAATGTTAGGATTAATGCGTATGAAGCTCCTAACACAATAATATGACAATATAAGAGTTAAAAAGTGGTTGAATAATAATACCTTCCCACCGCCACCCACCCCCGCAACTCAGCTGCCACTTCCTTTTCCAGACCTTGGAAGAGAGAGAGAGCAGGCAGGGAGTTGTGTGAGCTTTGGGATGATCTTTGCCGATTTCCATCAGCTAAGTCCGCTAAGCACAAATGACAAGAACCTGTGGTGCTTGCCTTGACTTGATTTCAATTGTGTGGCTCTTCCTCCCTTCCTGTTTCTCTCTGGCAGAGAGAAGAGAAATTTCTCTTCCTCCAGTGAAGGACTTTGGGCAGAGGTGTAACTGGAAGCACTAGAACTGGGCAGTCGGTAGTTTTGCTTTTATGCACAAAGAGATGATTCAGGTGCTGGCACGACACAGCGAGATGGCACAAGGCTTCATCATGCTACTCAGAATAGTATGTAATAAATGAACTGTTTATTTCTGTAATTTTCCCATTTAATATTTTCAAATCGTGGTTGATGATGAGTAGTTAAAACTGGGAAACAAAACCGTGGATAAAGAGGGGACTCCTGTAGTTTTATTCCAGCCCTTTCTAACATTCTTTTCGTGTTTTTCCAGCGCCTTCCCAAATATAGTGAGGTCACTCAAATACACCATAACCCCAAGTAATTCAGATCACCTGCCATCTTTCCCGTGCTAGGAATTCATGCTGGCAGAATGCCAAGCAGCTGAAGAAAGGCATCCTCTGGTCACTAGTATACGGTGGTGACCAGCATGTTCAGATACTGGACTTCCAAGGGTCTACCACATTCCACAGCACTGGGAAGAAATTTGAATGCTGGTGTCTGATATCCAGGCCTTCTTGTGGAAGTCCTGCAGCCCACGTCTCTAAGGCAGCACTGTCCAATAACAGTCTCTGTGATGATGGAAATGTTCCATATCTGCACTATACAGTAGCCACTGTCCACCTGAAACGTGCTAGTGCAACCATATTGGATCGTGCAGTCAAGTAAGAGATCTAATCTTTTTCTTTTTGAGTCTCCAAAATCTGATAACAGATATAGACCTCTGTAGAAAAATGTACAATTGCTCATATACAAACACAAAATCATGTGCAATGCCAAGGAATCCCAAGTTTAAAATCCGTACAAAAGGCTGTGTGTACTTGAAGTGATTTAGACAATTGTCTCCTGGGGACCACTATTCAGCGGAGTCGCTGATCTCATCTTTGCCCTTGGAAGTTTACCATCTTTACTGTCTGGGGACCCACCTGAGTGGTGAAGAGACCTGGGGTCAGCTACTGACCTAGACTCTGATTTTCTCAGGGGTCAAAAGGATCTTTCTGCTGGTTATACTACCTACTCCTGCTACCTTACCCTGACCATCACTCCAAATGAGATTGCAGTTTCTTCACTTCCACACTTACCTACATATCTTTTCTGTCCCTAGTGACACTGAAAGGACAGTGATGCTTCCTTGAGTTTCTTTTCTTATGGGGGCTCTAGCATTCCTCATTTTTTTACGCTAAGCATCAGCCTGCAATGCAGATGTCCAGGCCTGAAACTGTTGAGGAACATGTCACTCCCTACATTGGTCACCAGCCCTGTTTTGCTTACCAAAGCCAGTGTCTGGCCTGAGTAGGTCACTGGCTAAGTGGCTGAGTTTAGAGAATAGATTCTGGAGGGCTTTGTAGTTTGGCTAAGTTTCTGAAGTCTATAGAGACTGGATCTTAGCATCACAGGGAGCCAGCGCCTTCGGAAGAAGTGTCTGCAAGCCAGGAAGGAAATCTTGGTTGCTGTAAATCCTATTATCAAATGGGTAATTGCTTTCAGTAGAACTTGCTTCCTTGAGCTGGGCCCTGGTGGTGGACATCTGTGTAGGGAATCCCCCAGCAATACGATGTCCCTTATCTGTGTTAGAAATATTTGTTTCAACAGTGGGAGAATAAGTTGGACTAGAATAGATTAGGGAAAAAACGAACACAGTTTTAAGTTTTTCACTGGTTCTTGCTTTTTTGTTGCTCCCTTGAAGGGCAGAGGGGATGGGAAAATAGGAAATAATGAGCCAGGAGCTCCTAGTAAAACTCAGGCATCCCTTATATGTCTTTGATGGTTCAGGAACATAACATTGCTGCATAATTGTGGCTTTATCTGGAATCAGGCTCCTGAAATTCTACCTCTGGTCTTCCAAAAACTGTCAGAGACTGCTTCAGGTGACCCGTGATGATTTAGTCAGGGAGTTTCTGGGGATGAAATCTGGGGAGACTATCAGTGTGTCTTCCGGTGGACTGTCACCTCATGTATCACATTGATCACCAATGTCTGTCTAAAGGTAAAATAACCTTAAATAGCTGTCAAATTTGCCCTCCTTTATATGTCAACAGCCCCTGTCTTCAGTCTGCCTTTCAATTTTTTTTTTGCTTGAATTTCTGCCAACAGTCTCTCACTTTTTCCCATATCCCCAATCTTATGCCCTCCAGCCTTCCCACTCTATGCTGCAGCTAGAATGATCTTTCCTAGGATGGATCTGATCCCCAGCATTTCCCTGATGAAAATGCTACAAAAGAGCTCATTAGAGACACAGTACAAATTCCTCGAGATGCTTAGTTAGGCACCTTTTAAGAGTTGGTGTCTCTCGGCCAGGTGTGGTGGCTCACGCCTGTAATCCCAGCACTTTGGGAGGCCAAGGTGGGTGAATCGCCAGAGGTCAGGAGTTCGAGACCAGCCTGGCCAACATGGCGAAACCGTGTCTCTACTAAAAATACAAAAATCCACCAGGTGTGGTGGCATAGACCTGTAATCCCAGCTACTCGAGAGGCCGAGGCAGGAGAATAGCTTGAACTCAGGGAGTGGAGGTTGCAGGTAGGTGGGTAGATGATGTGCTGGGAATTTGTGGAAACTCCCTTCTTATTGCTTTTATTTTCCTAGTGAGTGAGGGGATAAGGTTGTCAGCTGAGTCTGAGGATGGGGAAGGAGTTAATGGAAGCCTGAAGAGAGAGGAAGATATGGAGTGGCCACCTGTGAGGATACGTTAGTGACTATGCTAGGGTAATGAGGTAAGATAGATGAGTGAAGCCGAAGGTGAGTGGTCATAAACTTAAAATGAAAGCAGATAGCAGAGGTGTGTAGTTTTTCCAGCCCTGTTCGGCTACTACTACTTGTGTGGGGATAAGTGGAGAGTTAGATTTAAGTAAGACCTCTGCTTTTCTGGAAGAGTACAATGAAGTATTAGAGAGGCAAGGGAGCCTAGGGGATATTCAAAGGTGTAATTATGATAATGAACCATGGAATCTAAGCTGGTTAAGAGGAGAAAGAAGGACAGAAAGATTATAGCTGAACTAAGTTGGAGGGCAAGTTTTTTGGGAGTGAGGAGGTCAAGGATTTGAGACATCAGGGCTTTGAAAGTATCATCTCTAAGGATATTGAGTTCATGTAGAATTGTCCCAGGAGTAGAGTTGGAGAGTGGCAGGGGTCATATGACTGTAATGAGGGCCATATAGTCTGGTTAATATCAGAGTGAAAGCTGGAAATGTTTAGGAAGGAGGGAGCCAGAATAATCTGGAAGCAGCAATGAGGAACAAGAAAACTTATTCCATTGTGGAGTGTAAGAAACAGCCACCACTTGAGAGGACTGCAGAGAAAGCAGTGTCTTCAAGGGAGACCTAGTTTCCTTTAGAGCAAGAAAGTGAAGAGGAAATTAAGACACTTCGAGAAAAGATGGATTTTGTGGATCCCAACAAGGGTGTCGGGATGGGGAGGGTGGGAAATGGGGTCAGAAAATGAGACATTTGGAGCCATTTGGGATGAAACACAAGGGATAAGGAACAACTGAGGATCCTGGGCTACTTGTGTGACTGGCATAAACCAGGATAAAGGAAATAATAACAGATAATGATGGCCTCCAGGAAGATAGTGGTGGCCAAACTGAAAACTTGGGGAAGGGCAGTGTGAAGTACCTGCTGGAAGAGGCTGGGGTGCTCTCTCTTTACTCTTGGCAATGGTGACGTGGAGGCCAGGGTAGGGGTGTTGTTGAAACTCTAGACATTGAGAAACTGCATCACCACTTCTCCAAACAATGCAAAGCATCTGGAGTCAGCTTGGTTGAAGGAACAAGATTTTTGGGCTGGGCATGGTGGCTTATGCCTGTAATCCCGGCACTTTGGGAGGCCAAGGCGGGCGGATCACCTGAGGTCGGGAGTTCGAGACCAGCCTGACCAACATGGAGAAACTCCATCTCTACTAAAAATACAAAATTAGCTGGGTGTGGTGGCTCATGCCTGTAATCCCAGCCACTCGGGAGGCTGGGGCAGGAGAATCGCTTGAACCTGGGAGGCGGAGGCTGTGGTGAGCTGAGGTCATGCCATTGCACTCCAGCCTGGGCAACAAGAGTGAAATTCCATCTCAGAGAGTGAGAGAGAGAGAGAGAGAGAGAGAGAGAGAGAGAGAGAGAGAGAGAGAGAGAGAGAGAGAGAAAGAGTCTTGACTGAGGGAGAAAGAAGAGATAGATCACGGAGCACTGAGGGACTAGGTAGTTCTCCAGGGGATATCACAGGAGTTCCTGGGTGCTGACCTGTGTGACATGAAGTCATGTAGTCATACAGTTGGGGTGGATACAGTGGCTCAAGAATGCCATTGGGTGACTTATTTCTACAGACCATCAACTTCATGCTTATTGCCTCATGGCCAGGAGACAGCTGTGCACATCTAGGGCTCACATCTACATTCCAGACAGGAAACTGCAGAAAGGTTAATAGCTGCAGGGCATATGCATCACATAAAGTAAAGACGTGGAAGCACTTCAGTCTCCAAAGCTCTTGGTTCATGTGGGTTGCTCTGCTTAAAGCGCCCTCTCTGCTTTATTGCCTGGTTAACTTGCGTCTTCTCTTTCAAGATTCAACTCAAGTCAGCATCACCTTCTCTGGGAAACCATTCCTTATGTCCCTAGGCTGAGTTAGGTGCCCTGGTCTGTGTGTTCAGAGCTCATGGCAGATTGCCATGATGACCTCCATTCTCCCATCTTTGTATCCATGCCCTATGACATATAACTCTGCCTGGGGTCTCAGCTATGCTACTCGCTTTGATTGTAGGGATTTTTTTTTTTTTTGAGATGGAGTCTCGCTTCTTTACCCAGGCTGGAGTGTAATGGCACAATCTTGGCTCACTGCAACCTCCGCTTCCAGGGTTCAAGCAATTCTCCCGCCTCAGCCTCCCCAGTAGCTGGGATTATAGGCATGTGCCAGCATGCCCGGCTAATTTTTGTATTTTTAGTAGAGACAGGGTTTCACTATGTTGGCCAGGCTGGTCTTGAACTCCTGACCTCAAGTGATCTGCCTGCCTAGGCCTCCCAAAATGCTGAGATTACAGGCATGAGCTACCGTGCCTGGCCTGTTGGGATGTTTTTAAGCAGAGGCTTTAAAGTAACTTGTGCAGTTGGACATGTTCTTGCTCTTGTGTCTTAGTCACTGCCGTGAGATCATGCCTGCTGGATGAAAGGCACGGGAAGCACATCCAAATTACCATGGTTGTCCTAGCTGAGGCCATCCTAGATCAGCCAATGGCAGCTAACCACCAGACACTTCAGTGAACCCAAGCCAAATCAGCAGAACTACCTAAGCAACCACCCTAGATGCACAAGAAATGAGGTTTTATTGTATACCACTGAAGTTTCATGGCTGGTTGTTACTCAGCATTATAGTAGCCTTAGAAAATTGTTGCAGAGTCCCTTCAGCATAGCCACAAGCCTTAGCCATGTCTGTCTTCCCAACTCACGTTGGGAGAGAATCACCTTTTATCTGTGTATATTACCTCTTGCCTGTGTATACCTAGCACGTAGCACAATGCTTGGCCCATAGAAGGCGCTTGGTGAAAGTCTGGGAAAGGAAGGAATGAATGAGCCTTTGTTCAACCTTAAAAAGGAACTTTTTTTTTTTTTTTGAAACAGAGTCTCTCTCTGTCACCCAGGCTGGAGTGCAATGGCATGATCTCAGGTCACTGCAACCTCTGCCTCCTGGGTTCAAGCAATTCTCATGCCTCAGCGTCCCTAGTAGCTAGGATTACAGGCGTGTATCACCCTGCCCAGCTTTTTTTTTTTTTTTTTTTTTTTTTTTTGAGATGGAGTCTTGCTCTGTCGCCCAGGCTGGAGTGCAGTGGCGTGATCTTGGCTCACTGCAATCTCCGCTTCCCGGGTTCAAGCGATTCTCCTGTCTCAGCCTCCTGAGTAGCTGGGACTACAGGTGCCTGCCACCACGCCCGGCTAATTTTTCTATTTTTAGTAGAGATGGGGTTTCACCATATTGGTCAGGCTGGTCTTGAACTCCTGACCTCAGGTGATCCACCCACTTTGGCCTTCCAAACTGCTGGGATTACAGGCGTAAGCCACCGTGCCTGGCCTAATTTTTGTACTTTTAATAGAGACAAGGTTTTGCCATGATGCCCAGGCTCATCTCAAACTCCTGACCTCAAGTGATCTGCCCACCTTGGCCTCTCAAAGTGGTGGGACTACAGGCGTGAGCCACTGCGCCCAGCTGAAAACAACAACAACAACAACAACAAAAAACAGGTGCACATTCCCTATAACTAAACAATGTAATCAAATACACGCACCCACAGAAAACCTGGTCCAACAAACATATGTGAAGCGACAATATAAAACCAAGTCTCATCACTGTTTAAAGCACTTTTCTACCTCAAGTACAATGATTGTCTCTCAAACATGGGGCACTTAATTTTACATTTTATTGTATTGTATAGTTCAATCCAAAGATAATCTAAATCCCACAAGTACATTTTAAAAGGTCGAAGGTAAAGAAGTAGATATGACTCAGTGTCGATATTTTTTCTATTATTTTCAGTACGCAATACTAAATCACTCTAACCACTGACGTTTCCTAAACAATGTCAAGAAACTTGCATTGCTTAAAAAATTATTTGTATTAACATTAAAAACAGAATTTCCACTAGGAGACCACAGAGGACACATGTATCTAGTAGCCTAGTTAAGTATGTGGCTGGGGTGGCGAGAATATCATCTTTATGAAAGGTCAGTGTTCACATGGGATTGTGTGTTTGAGGCACACTAAGAAAATTAATTTTGTCAAAGAAGAGGGTTTCTGTAGAGCAATAGTGAAAAAGGGTGTGGATAGGGGGCAGAATAGAGCTTAATTGTGGAAATCTGAGTGTAAGGTTAGGGCATTTTTATATTCTACTTAGCAGAGAATAGTTACAACTTTATTTTTTATTTTTAAGACAGGCTCATTCTGTTATATAGGCTGGAGTGCAGTGGTGCAATCACAGTTCACTACCACCTTGACCGCCCGAGCTCAAGCGATCCTTCCACCTCAGCCTCCCAAATAGCTGGGACTATGTGTTTTTATTTTGTGTAGAGAAAAGGTCTCACTTTGTTGCCCAGGCTAGTTTTGAACTCCTGGGCTCAAGTGATCATCCTGTCTTGGCCTCCTAAAGTGTTGGGATTACAGGTGTGAGCCACCACATCTGGTTGCTTTCAACCTTTGAGCAAGGGAATGACATAATGAAGTGTTGGGTCAATCTAGCTGCTAGATTCTAGCAGTATGGTGAAGTGGTTTTTGCAGAAACATGTTTAATAGTCATATCAAATAATTTAATGCCAAAACACTATTATGCAGATATACCCATTTATTTAAAAATCACATATTTCTTAAAGTCTAGATTGATGCGAGGATGCAAATGAACAAGAAATCATTTTGAGATCATAAGGTTTGCTCTTCTCTTCCTAATAGTCATCTAGTTTGTTGCCCGTTGTGAATCCATGAATTACTCGTTTTTTTTTCTGAGTATTGGGTTGTCCTCATTTTCCTTTGTTTTGCCTTTGATACTCTCCCTTGGGTCCTGTTGGTCCAGTTCCTTGAAAAAATAATTACAGTAGGGGTAGAGGTCAGAAGTAAGAATGAATGAGACTCCATGAAGCCAAAACCAGAATCAACATTGGGATAAACTGTTTTAAGCTCCCTTTCCAAGAACACAGTTCACCCGAGTTATGATAGCATTTACCTTTTGGGTGTGAGGATATCATTTTGCCTTTGAAGTGTGTTTCATAATCCACTGATTGGACACATTGCTATATTGCTGTCACTATTTCTTTTTATTCAAGAGGAACTTAAGAGTTAGGAAGGATAAATAACTTTGTCCAAATTATTTTGTTATGTTAGTCACAGAAGCACGTCTTTTCACACTCCATGCCTCTCTAAGACCTGCTGTTTCTTCTAGAATATTCTCCTCCCCACCTTACTCCCATTCCACCTGCCAAAAATTCAGCCTTCTAAACCCTGTTCAGATATGCCTTTCCTGTGCAACCTTCCCTTCTCCCCGTGCCAGTTCTTTCTCCTCGCCCCCCAAAGTAAATTGTACAAACCTCTGTAATGATGCACATGCGTTTACATATATGCCTCCCTATAGGACTATAGGGGTCTTCCATTTTGTGCCCCCAGCACCAGCATCTAGTACACAGTAGGTGCTTAATTAACGTCGGATACAAGATTAGAGAATCTAAAGGCAAGGAGGGAAATTTTAAACCCTTCCAAAATCTAAGCAAAAGATAAAGAGGCAGCACCTAAAACCACCCCCACTTGGATTAATTTTTTTTTTCTTTTTTTTTTTTTTTTTGAGACAGAGTCTCGCTCTGTCGCCCAGGCTGGAGTGCAGTGGCGCGATCTTGGCTCACTGCAAGCTCCGCCTCCCAGGTTCACGCCTTTCTCCTGCCTCAGCCTCCCGAGTAGCTGGGACTACAGGCACCCGCCACCACGCCGAGCTAATTTTTTGTATTTTTAGTAGAGACGGGGTTTCACCGTGTTAGCCAGGATGGTCTTGATCTCCTGACCTCGTGATCCACTAGCCTCGGCCTCCCAAAGTGCTGGGATTACAGGCGTGAGCCACCGCGCCCGGCCTAATTTTTTTTTTCTTTAATGTATTAGGGAAGGAGGCTTCTCAGCCCTCCCGCAGCCGTCAGGGGGTCGTCGTGGGGCCGCTTTCCCGGCTTCACCTCGGGGGCTCCCATGCGATCCCCCGCAGCCTCCCCGGCCTCGCACGCACGGTGGCCGTGACCTCTCCCCACACCGCCCCGCAGCCCCTACGCTCTACATAGTGCGCATGCACTGTGCGCCTTGCTGCGTTTCCCAAGCTGATGCACCCTCTTCTTTACTCCTCTTTGTCCTTTTCTCACGTTTCCTTCGCCCAGGAACTTTGTTTTCCCCCTTAGAAGACATCTGCCTTTCTGGCCATATCCTCCACCCAGCGCCTCCCTGGAGAGCTGGCAGAGCCCCGCTGCGGCGCCAGGAGGGGGCTTCTGCGCCCTGGGTTGCGCTTCCTCTTGCACGAGGCTTTTTCCTTCCAACTTCTCCAGTGCGCAGTCGGGCGGTGAGGACTCAAGGAACGTGAGCACAATTTGGTTAGGGGGCGAGGAGGAGGTCTACCCTGGCAGGCAGGCCGGCTTTTCTAGCTGCTTCTAGCTCCCTGCAGACAAACCACTGGTCCCACAGGCTTAGGGTTGAATCCTGTAGGTGGATAGTCCTGGGGTCTCACACACAACCCATGCCAGAAGAATGTTTTTATTTTCTTATTTTTGCTCACTTGTATTTTTTGGGGGACGGCGGGGACAGGGTCTTGCTCTGTTGCCCAGGCTGGAATGCAGTGGTGCTATCATAGCTCACTGCAGCCTTGAACTTCTGGGCACATGTGATTTTCTTGCCTCAGCCTCTCAGGTAGCTGAGCCTACAGGTGTGCACCACCACTAGCAAGAACATTATAGAAGAAACACCTGGCCCCCCCCCGCCCCACCTTTCTTTTTTTTTTGTAGAGATGTAGTAGTCTTGCTATGTTTGCCCAGGCTGGTCACTCCTGTATTTTCTAATTTTTAAAAGTGCGCATGTATTTCTTATGTGATAAAAACCATTAAATGCAAAAATATCTTCTTTGGAAGTAGGGATCGTTTGTGCAGCAGACTTGGCGGAAATCTCAAATATCTGTTGAAAGTGCATAAAAGAATGTGCACATCAATTTTATCCCGAATCCTGCCTCTTCTGAAGTTCTAATTCAAATGCAGCCTTCTCATAAAACATTTCCTTATATCCTCAATTACATAGGCCTACAAAGCCTTACCTGATTTGGCCACGCCCAGCCCATCCCATTCCTCACTGACCCCCTCACCTCCTGCTGTTCCTCATTCCTGAGGCTCTGAAACCTTGGCCTCTTCCTCCCTGTTGTTCCTGGCACACTGGAGAAAATCGATTAATATTTGTTGAATGAGTGAATGAATGTGACCTCTTCCTGGTTTGTATCATTCGGACAAAATCTGTTCTGTTCTATAATTAGGTATTTGTCCTATGTCCCCTACTGTTAAGCAACTTGAGGCCTCTTACACCCTGTGATATGACCCCTGCTGTGCCTGGCACAATGCTTGATATGTAGTAATAGCAAATATTAACAATAATAGTAGGAAGAGTTGTTACCTGAGTGATTACTAGGGGCCAAGTACTGTATTAAATATTTATAAGTATTACCTCACTTATATATATAATGACCATGAAGATACCCAGATTATAGGAAGGCATGTGGCCATAAACGTAGCCTTCTATTCTTAGTGCTGCTTTACAGCGGAGGAAGCTGAGGCTTAGAGAAGTTAAGTAGCTCACCCAAGGTCACATTGCTAAGACGCGGCATTACAGGAAAATGCAATCCTAAATTATTTTCAGATCCATAGTTTTCAAAGTGTGGTCCAGGAACCATTGGGGTCCTCGAGACCCTTTCAGGAGGTCTGTAGATGCAAAATCATTTTAATAATCATGCTAGGACATCGTTTGCCGTCTTCATTCTCGTGTGTGTGTGTATGGTGGTTTTCCCAAGGCTATGTGTCATGTGATATCAAATCACCTTGAATGCAGATGCAGAAAGGAGAATCCAGTTGTCTTCCATTAAGGCAGACTTTAAAGAGATTTTCAAAACTGTAAAATAATGCTAATCATTCCCCTTAATTTTTAAAAAATAAAATATATTTATTTTTAATAAAAGCATTTTTGTCAACATGTAATATGTTCATAATTGTCATTTTTGAATAAATAAATATTTAAAAATTTATCAATTTTGATTTCTAATATGGTAAATATCTATAGAGAGGAGCCCATATAAACAAAAACACTATGGGATTCTCAGTATCTTTCCAAGTGTTAAGGGGCCCTGAGACCAAAATGCTTGAGAGTAGATGTATTAGATAGTATTTGTTTCCTCGCAACTCTAAAATTTAAAGGTTTTCAGCTCCTGGGGCAGTTTAGATAATTTGTAACTGGTCTAAATTTTCAGTCTGCAGATCAGCTTGGAAAGAGAGGCAGCCCTGGGGTCTATCTCCATGCCTGGTCCTGACTGGTCTTGGCTACCTGGATTTATTCTGGTCTTAACTGCTCTGTGAACTTCTGGAAACTCCCATTCCTGTCTTGGGCTCACACATAGCTCCCAGGTAGACTCATTATTTCATTCTTTTATCCCCCATTCTCTTTTATGGTTATGTGGCATGTCAGATTTTACCTTGATCCTGGAGTAGACCTTTCTCCCAACTTTCTATACTGTCTTACAGAACAAAGGTTTTTTTTTGTTTTTGTTTTTCCAATATCCAAACACTTCCTGGATTCCGGATGAGCCCTGAATGGCTTATTTCCTGTTGCCATGGCATGTACAGAATTATAACATATCTTACATTCTAAATTATTTCTCATTGATTACCTCTGGGAAAAGGAACTGGGTGGCAGGAGAAAAGAAGTAGGAGGAAATCTTACCTCTTTTGTAATAGCTTTTGTACAGAAATTAAATTTAAAACTTTGCTCCAAGCAAAGCAAAATCAACAAACAAAACAACAAAAAGCAAACCATACACAAATATCTCCTGAAGTGTGATTATGTCTAGAACTTCCTTGTTTGGTGGGAAACTCCTTTCAGAAGAGGATCATTTTACAGGGTGGATTCAGAAGTAGAAAGCATGTCATAGGTCACTGGACTGTGAAGAAGGAGGTGCAGTTTAGAATGGAGACTGTCTTTGGGAACTTCAGGTTTTGGTTTTTTTTTCCGCCTTCAGATATCTGAATCATAGTTTGCTGGAATAAACTAAGAATATGAATTGGCCTCTCTTTATGAACATTATTTTAAAAAATCTTTGCCCAGGCACAGTGGCTCACGCCTGTAATCCTAGCATTTTGGGAGGCCGAGGCAGGCGGATTGTTGGAGCTCAGGAGTTCGAGACCAGCCTGGGCAGCCATCTCTACTAAAATAGAAAAAATTATCTAGATGTGGTGGTGTGCGACTGTAGTCCCAGCTACTCTGGAGGCTGAGGCATGAGGATCGCTTGAACCCGTAAGAGCAAGATTGCAGTGAGCCGAGATCATGCCCCTGCACTCCAGCCTGGGTGACAGAGTGTCTAAAAAAAAAAAAAAGTTGATGTACTATGAACTTAGATATACAATTGCTTCTTGGCCTTTTGACTAACATCAAGTGTAAACTTGTTTTCTCCGTATTTTCCTGTGCTGATGCATTTGGAGAAAGGAGGTAAACGCAGGTTCTATTCCCAACCAGGTCACCTATTTGCTGTGTGATCTTTGGCCAGTCTCGCCCTGGGCCTCCGTGCCCCACACCTGTTGCACAAAGGTGAGACTTGCCTTTGAGGGACAGTTGAGAGGGAAACAGAAGATCCAGGCAGCAAAGTCATTCAGAAAGGTAAAAGTGCTATTCAAAACCTAAGTAGTACTGCTAACCTTCATGCTGAAGACTAAACTCTGATTTTTAAATCTTGGCCAAATTCCTATCTAAGGGTTCTGAGAATCTGCTCTACAAACCATAAATTCTCATCAGATGGGTTTTATTTAACTTCATATATCATGACTTACTTTCCAATCTGACTGTGGCATAACATTATGTGACAAAGAAGAAAGTCAAAATATTTTACCCCAAAACTCGTTTCTTTGCCATGTTTTGAAATGGTCCTGCAAAGCTGTCCTTTGTGGGGGGAAATGTGCATCTAAAGAATCTCTATTAACGTAGTTAGATCTTTTTCTTCCAGATCCTCCCAATCTTTAAGAGATTAAGTAAGAGTCTAGCACCTTTTAAAGGTCTGAATAGGAAACAATTTGTCATCTATTGTCTCTAAGGGCAGCCACTATAAGACTTCAAAAGAACCTTGGTCTCCATAGTCTTTTGTCTTAACCTGAACATTTTCTTTCTATTGATCCCAGGTCTTTAGACAAACTCAACCAATTGTTGATCAGAAAATGTTTAAATTTACCTATACTCTGGAAGCTTCCCACCTCTCAACCCGCTTTGGGTTGTCCTGCCTTTCTGAACCAAACCAATGTATTTCTTAAATGTATTTGATTGATGTCTCATGCCTCCCTAAAATATATAAAACCAAGCCGTGCCCCGATCAGCTTGGGCACATGTTCTCAGGACCTCCTGAGGGCTGTGTCATGGGCCATGGTCACTCATATTTGGCTCAGAATAAATCTCTTCAAATATTTTACAGAGTTTTGACTCTTTGTGTTGACAATGCTTAATTCTCAAAATACCATGAGAAGGAAACAGGAAACTAGATATTGATTCCAATTTCAGATTAGCACAGTAAGACATTAAGGAAAGTTCTCCAAGTTTCAAAGCAAGTCAGTAACAGTTGAGACCACTGTTATCTGCCTTTTTCCAGTCTTTTGAGGAAATATTCTCAAAGCAAGGGGTCAGCAGTCAGTGGTCTTCAAATTGGGAAGAGTAAAGTGGACAGTTCTAGGGGACTCCAGTTTTAGATCCTCAGCTTCATGTGTGGTCTTCTGGGAATGGCCCTGGTTGCTTGCGCAGATGCTCCTTTCCCAAGCGCCTCCTATAATCTGTTCTTCTCTTGCTTTGCAAAAGGAGTGCATACCCTTAATCTGCCCTGAATTGCCCCTGGGAGGCAAAACCTCTGGGGCACCAAACAAAGGGACACTTTCAAATATGGACTTCTGAAAAGGCTCTTTTAATAATCAAAGGGGAAAGGGGGAGAAAACTTGCCTACCGTTTACCTTCCGTTGTCTTGAACATTTTCCTATTGGGAGGAATTGGCCTGCAAATGGATATTCTGAATTGAATATTGTGGAGTAGGAATAGTGGAATAGAAGTTATTTCACCTCTTCTGAGAGAGGTTCCAAGATGGCTGAATAGGAACAGCTCCAGTCTACAGCTCCCAGCATGAGCGATGCAGAAGATAGGTGATTTCTGCTTTTCCAACTGAGGTACCCGGTTCATCTCACTGGGGCTTGTCAGACAGTGGGTGCAGCCCACAGAATGTGAGCTGAAGCAGGGCGGGGCATCACTTCACCCGGGAAGCGCAAGGGGTCGGGAAATTCCCTTTCCTAGCCAAGGGAAGCCATGACAGACGGTACCTGGAAAATCGGGACACTCCCACCCTAATACTGTGCTTTTCCAATGGTATTAGCAAATGGCACACCAGGAGATTATATCCCACACCTGGCTCAGAGGGTCCCACGCCCATGGAGCCTCGCTCATTTCTAGCACAGCAGTCTGAGATTGAACTGCAAGGCGGCAGCAAGGCTCGGGGAGGGGCGTACACCATTGCTGAGGCTTGAGTAGGTAAACAAAGTGGCTGGGAAGCTTGAACTGCGGGGAGCCCACTGCAGCTCAAGGAGGCCTGCATGTCTCTGTAGACTCCACCTCTGAGGGCAGGGCATAGCTGAACAAAAGGCAGCAGAAACTTCTGCAGACTTAAATGTCCATGTCTGACAGCTTTGAAGAGAGTAGTGGTTCTCCCAGAATGGAGTTTGAGATCTGAGAACGGACAGACTGCCTCCTCAAGTGGGTCCCTGACCCCTGAGTAGCCTAACTGGGAGACACCTCCTAGTAGGGGCTGACTGACACCTCATACAGCTGGGTGCCCCTCTGAGATGAAGCTTCCAGAGGAAGGATCAGGCAGCAACATTGGCCTTTCTGCAGTAATTGCTGTTCTGCAGCCTATGCTGGTGATACCCAGGCAAACAGGGTCTGGAGTGGACCCCCAGCAAACTCCAACAGACCTGCAGCTGAGGGTCCTGACTGTAAGAAGGAAAACTAACAAACAGAAAGGACATCCATGCCAAAACCCCATCTGTACATCCCCATCATCAAAGACCAAAGGTAGATAAAACCACAAAGATGGGGAAAAACCAGAGCAGAAAAGCTGAAAATTCTAAAAATCAGAGCGCCTCTTCTCCTCCAAAGGAACACAGCTCCTGGCCAGCAACAGAACAAAGCTGGACGGAGAATGACTTTGACGAGTTGAGAGAAGGCTTCAGTAATAACAAACTTCTCCGAGCTAAAGGAGGATGTTCGAACCCATTGCAAAGAAGCTAAAAACTTTGAAAAAAGATTAGATGAATGGCTAAGTAGAATAAACAGCATAGAGAAGACCTTAAATGACCTGATGGAGCTGAAAACCATGGCATGAGAACTACGTGACACATGCACAAGCTTCAGTAGCCAATTCGATCAAGTGGAAGAAAGGGTATCAGTGATTGAAGATCAAATGAATGAAATGAAGCGAGAAGAGAAGTTTAGAGAAAAAAGAGTAAAAAGAAACAAACAAATCCTCCAAGAAATATGGGACTATGTGAAAACACCAAATCTACTTTTGATTGGTGTACCTGAAAGTGATGGGGAGAATGGAACCAAG
The DNA here is from genome assembly GCF_000001405.40 of Homo sapiens. Lineage (NCBI taxonomy): Eukaryota > Metazoa > Chordata > Mammalia > Primates > Hominidae > Homo > Homo sapiens. The sequence continues at coordinate 71,509,786 of NC_000016.10, read as the reverse complement.
TTGGAAAACACTCTTCAGGATATTATCCAGGAGAACTTCCCCAACCTAGCAAGATAGGCCAACATTCAAATTCAGGAAATACAGAGTACACCACAAAGATACTCCTCGAGAAGAGCAACTCCAAGACACGTAATTTTCAGATTCAGCAAAGTTGAAATGAAGGAAAAAATATTAAGGGCAGCCAGATAGAAAGGTCGGGTTACCCACAAAGGGAAGCCCATCAGACTAACAGTGGATCTCTCAGCAGAAACTCTACAAGCCAGAAGAGAGTGGGGGACAGTATTCAACATTCTTAAAGAAAAGCATTTTCAACCCAGAATTTCATATCCAGCCAAACTAAGCTTCATAAGTGAAGGAGAAAAGGAGAAATAAAATCCTTTACAGACAAGCAAATGCTGAGAGATTTTGTCACCACCAGGCCTACCTTACAAGAGCTCCTGAAGGAAGCACTAAACATGGAAAGGAACACCCGGTACCAGCCACTGCAAAAACATGCTAAATTGTAAAGACCATCGATGCTAGGAAGAAACTGCATCAACTAATGAGCAAGATAACCAGCTAACATCATAATGACAGGATCAAATTCACACATAACAATATTAACCTTAGATGTAAATGGGCTAAATGCTCCAATTAAAAGACACAGACTGGCAAATTGGATAGAGTCAAGACCTATCACTATGCTGTATTCAGGAGACCCATCTCACGTGCAGAGACACACATAGGCTCAAAATAAAGGGATGGAGGAAGATCTACCAAGCAAATGGAAAACAAAAAAAGGCAGGGGTTGCAATCCTAGTCTCTGATAAAACAGACTTTAAACCAACAAAGATCAAAGGAGACAAAGAAGGCCATTACATAATGGTAAAGGGATCAATTCAACAAGAAGAGCTAACTATCCTAAATATATATCCACCCAATACAGGAGCACCCAGATTCATAAAGCAAGTCCTTAGAGACCTACAAGAGACTTAGACCCCCACACAATAATAATGGGAGGCTTTAACACCCCACTGTCAATATAAGACAGATCCATGAGCCAGAAAGTTAACAAGGATATCCAGGAATTGAACTCAGCTCTGCACCAAGCAGACCTAATAGACATCTACAGAACTCTCCACCCCAAATCAACAGAATATACATTCTTCTCAGCACCACATCGCACTTATTCCAAAATTGACCACATAGTTGGAAGTAAAGCAGTTCTCAGCAAATGTAAAAGAACAGAAATTATAACAAACTGTCTCTCAGACCACAGTGCAATCAAACTAGAGCTCCAGTCTGGGCAACGAGACTGAAACTCCATCTCAAAAAAAAAAAAAAAATTCGGAGAGAAATTAACTCTGATTATTTTATTGGTTTGAAAATGAGGATCAGAGTGTCCAATTAGGTTATATGGTGGGTATTTTTCATAGGTGAAATGAAATAGATTTCCAAGGCTTTTTAACAAGAATGTATTTAAAACATAGGATGAGATAAAAATATTTTTATTGAAAAAATATTAAATTGGTGATGGTGGTTTGATATAAATATTTTGATTTTCCAGTAGTTTTTGAGTATTATCAACAAGTTAAACAAGGTGTATCTTAAGTGAAAGAATAATAGCAGGCTGATGCACTGTGATCCTAGTGCTTTGGGAGACTGAGGTGGGAAGACTGCTTGAGGCTAGGAGTTCAAGGTGAGCATGGACAACATAGTAAGACCCCATCTCTACAAAAATAAAAATAAGACAATTTAATGGGGCATGGTGGTGCATGCCTGTAGTCCTAGCTACTTGGGAGGCTGAGGCAGGAGAATCACTTGAGCTCAGGAGTTCAAGGCTACAGTGAGCTATGATTGTGCCACTGCACTGCACTCCAGCCTGGGTGATACACAAGACCTTGTCTCAAAAAAAAAAAAAAGAAAGAATAACCAGTATAATTAATTATAATTACCTGCCTCAAAATTAATAATTAATAAGTCTAATTAATAAAGTAAGTCTCAAAATCAATAACTAATTAATATAATAATGATAATTTCTGAAGTTGAGTATACTAGTTTCTAAAAATTAAGAGAGTGGTGACTCTGACAACTAGGGAACAAATTCTTCTGCAGGTTTCCATTTACTGGCTTTCATTAAAATTGAAGAGGAACTCCATTTCATAATGATGGATCCAGGTTGTGTCATTGATAGCTGCTAAAACCATTAGATGGAAAGATAATAACACTGAACCCACTGCACATACCATCTGTGAAGGATTCTTGCCAAAGTATAAAATCTGAATCTGACCAAGTCTTGAGATCTAAAGATCAATTTTCAGGAAATTCAGAGGCCAGAAGAGCATGTTAAACAGTAAGCCAAGGAGATGCAAAGAGACTTAAGAGAAATATCAGCCAAATGCAATTTGTGGGCCTCGTTAGGATCTTGAGTTAAAAAACCAACACTAAAAAAGAAAAGAAAAGAAAGAGAAGAAAAACCAACACTAAAATCTAAACCAAACCAAAACAAAAATATGTGTGAGACAATTAGGGGAAATTTGCACATTAGATGGATATTGAATGACTTGCATTTCTTAGGTGTACTGGTTTATAAGTTATGTTTTCAAAACATCCTTATTTTTAAGAGAGATATATATAGAAGTATTTACAGGTGAAGTAAAAGTGTGTAACCTGGGATTTGCTTCAAAACAGTCCAGCAGTGATGAAGTGGTGTGAGGTGGAGAGGAGATGGGAAAGGTAGAGATGAAACAAGATTGGCCATGGGTTGATGATAACATTGTTGATGCTGGTGATGGGCACATAGGGATTCTTTTTATTCTTCTATATTTGTGTAGACTTGAGCTTGTCAGTATAAAAAATTAAAGAATAAGTAAAAACAAACCTAAAAAACAAATTAATGCATTGAAAGAATACCTAACCTAGCCATGAGCTGATAGATCACTAAAGATAAATTTTTGAGGAGGGGTGTGGTGGCTCAGGCCTGTAATCCCAGTGCTTTGGCAGGTGGAGGTGGGAGAGTCACTTGAGGCTAGGAGTTGGAGACCAGCCTGGGTAAGACCCCTGTTTCTACAAAAAAACCTTTTTAAATTAGCCGGGCGTGGTGGTATGTGCCTGTAGTCCCAGCTACTTGGGAGTCTGAGATGGGAGAATCGCTTGAGCCCAGGAGTTTGAGGTTACAGTGAGCACCAGTGCATTCTAGCCTGGGTGACAGCAGGAGAGACTCTGTCTTAAAAAAAGAGATTTTTTTTTAATGATTAACAACTGTGTGATTTGGGGCATAAAACTCAAAAGGATTGAGTGACTGACACTGATATCTCAAAACTCTCCATTTCTATCTTCTTGTTTGTGTAAACAGTGCTTATATTTCTAGAAACAAAATTTAAAAATAGAGTTTATGCTGAACTCTCATTCTAGTGTAATATTTATCCACAAATGTGTGAATAAACAGAAAAAAGCCCCACCCAATCTATTAAAACATCTGTATTTTTAACAAATTTTTTATTTTTGTGTTTAATAATTATTTATGTTATTTATCAAAACTTGTAATATTTATGTTGTTTTGATCAGTTATATACTAATAGCAATAATAATAACCAATCCAGAATAAGTTTCCACTATTTGAAGACTTTGGTGTCAGTAGAGTTTTTTAAAGTTTCTAATTTAAATTATATACATATTTTATATATGATAAGATAATTGGGAGAAAACTTTCAAACCTAAAAAATTATACAAGTTTGAAAGTTTGTGGAGAAGTGTAATGGAAACATAATTTCAAGGAGGAAAAGGAATGACAAGTTAAAACGACTGTTAAAGAAAAGATTGTTCATATATTTTTTAAAATAGGCGATCAAGTCTGAAATTAATAGTGCATTAAGATTGTACGGCTATATTTAAAAGATTGATGTAACAGTTTTATTTTAAATTACATCCTTTGCAACTATTTACACTTATGTTTGAAAATATTAAATATTAGCTAAAAACATATTAGGGGATCTGGGTTTATTTTCTTTTATGGATTTTTTTAATTGAGTAAAATTCACATAACATAAAATTAACCATTAACTATTTCAAAGTTTACAATTTGTGACATTAGTACATTCACAACTTTGTACAACCACGATCTCTTATTTCTGAGACATTTTCATCACCTCAAAAGGAAACTCTGTACCCATGAAACAGTTACTCTCCATTCTGCCACACCCCCCACCACCCCCCAACTGCTTGTTTGTTTTCTGTCTTTATAGATTTATTTGTTCTGAACATTTTGTATAAGTGAAATCATGCAGCACGTGGCCCTTTCTGTCTGGGTTCTTTCGCTTAGCATAATGTTTTCAAGGTTCATTGCATTGTAGCATGTTTCAGTACTTTGTTCCTTCTTATGGCTGAATAATATTCAATTGTATGAATACACCACATTGTATTTATTCATCAGTTGATGGACATTTGGGCTGTTTCCATCTTTTCACTATTGAGACTGGTGCTGCTGCAACAAACATTCCTCTACAAGGTGTTTGTTTGAATACCTGTTTTCAGTTCTTTTCGGTACACAGTATTCCGCCTTTCTGCTATTTCAGTTATCCTTGGTTATCCATGGCCCAAAAATATTAAACAGAAAATTCCAGAAGTAAACAATTCCTGGGTTTTCAATTGCATGTCATTCTGAGTAGTGTGATGCAACCTCTCCCTGTCCCGCTCTGTCCTGCCTGGTACGTGAGTCACACCTTTGTTCAGCATTTCCACACTGTCGATGCTACCCACCTGTCAGTCACCTGGTAGCTGTTTTAGATATCAGATCAACTGTTATCACATTGCAGAGCTTGTATTCAAGTAACCCTTATTTAATGGCCCCAAAATGCAAGAGTAGTGATACTGGCATATTATTATTATTGTTCTATTTTATCATTGTTGTTAATCTCTTACTGTGCCTAATTTATAAATTAAACCTTATTGTAGGTATGTATGTATAGGAAAAAAACATGGTGTACATAGGATTTGGTACGATGCACGATTTCAGGTATTCACTGTGGGTCTTGGAACCTATCCCCTGAGGATAAGGGGGAACTACTATGTACCTAGCAGTGGAATTGCTGGTAATTTTATGCTTAACGTTTTGAGGAACCACCAAACTTTCCCACAGTGACTGCACTATTTTACGTTTCCACCAGTGATGCACAAGGTTTCCAATTTCCCCACATTCTCCACAACTCTTGTTATTTTCCATTTTAATTATGGCTGATCTAGTGGGTGTGAAATAGTATCTCTTTTTTTTTTTTTCTTTGAGACAGAGTCTCGCTCTGTCACCAGGCTGGAGTGCAGTGGTATGATCTTGACTCACTGCAACCTCCACTCCCTGGTTCAAGCAATTCCCTTGCCTCAGCCTCCTGAGTAGCTGGGATTATAGGTGCTGCCACCACGCCCAGCTATTTTTTTTTTTTTTGTATTTTTAGTAAAGATGGGGTTTCATCATGTTGGCCAGACTGGTCTTGAACTCCTGACTTCAGGGAAGCCACCCGCCTTGGCCTCCCAAAGTGCTGGGATTACAGGAGTGAGTCACCGCGCCCAGCCTCGTTTTGGTTTTGATTTGCATTTCCCTGATGACTAACGACATTGAGCATCTTTTCATGTGTTTGATGGCCATGACTACCTAAACTAATTTTTTAATGAAACTGTTTTAATGGGTATGAAAGCAAAAAAAGGTTGCAGACCATGGCTTGTAAGTGAGAACATGCGGCATTTGGTTTTCTGTCCCTGTGTTAATCTGCTTAGGATAATGGCCTCCAGCTCTATCCATGTTGCTGCAAAAGACATGATCTCATTCCTTTTTATGGCTGTGTAGTATTCCATGGCATAGATGAACCACATTTTCTTTATTCTGTACGATGAAGTTTGAATGCCAAAGTGAGTCCCTTGCACACAGTGAGTGTTTCCCATGCTAGTTTGTTGGTTTGTCATGACAACCAGAAGGGACCTTCTATCCTCGCAGACATTCTTTAGTGGGAGTGCACCAGGAAAGACACGTCTGTGTCAGGCTGGAGGAAAGTGAAGGAACCAGGAAGCGTGTGGGCAAATGGATTTGTGGATGGCCAAAGAGCTGTGAAAGTAAGAAGAGAGAGTCTCCAGACTCTAGGAAAGCGGAGAACACCGTGAGTGGCAATCTCCACAGGTGCATTGTTAGATCATTGGACAGCATCCTACTCCTATATCCGTACGTGCTCCCTAACACGGAATCTGGCGCATAGTAGGTACACCAGGTGGCTGCTGAATCAAGTTGGTCACTGTTGATCTCTGTCCCATAGTAGGTACACCAGATGGCTGCTGAATCAGGTTGGTCACTGTTGATCTCTGTCCCATGATGGCTCTGTCGAGTCCCTCTTGTCTCCTTGATGGAATTAAGAGGTAGACATCTTGGGTGCTGCTCCTGCTCTGCCCTCATCCCTGCCCATCTCAGTCTGACATTCTCCATGGTTCCCCATGACCTCCTACCAGCATGTCCCTTGGATCACTAGTTTTAGTGCTAAATATCCCCGATGCTCTTGATCATTATTTCTAGAAATTCTCTTCTTCCTTGTCATTTCTATTATGTTTGTGCTACCTGTAGGCATGGCTGTGTTTGGGGTCCTAGAATCACACCCAGTCCTCTGTGGTAAAGAAGAAATTGTGAGACTATGGCATTTTTTTTTTTTTTTCGCTGATAGACCCTTACCCCAGATGTTTTGTAGGTTTATCTGGGGTTATTCACTGCCTCTAAGGCTCCTCTGCAGACAGTATAAGCCTGCTTGATAATGTTTTGAGAGCCAGGTGGGAGAATGGAGCTGGGGCAGTGGCAACGCCTTGTGATGTTTGTTCAGCATGCACACTTTTAATCATCTCCTTGTTTTAAATCCACTGTCTCCATCTGGCCCTCTGCTGGTGTTTTCCCCAGAGAATAAAGCTCCTATATTGCAAAGTTTGGGAGGAGAGGTCTTTGGGCTTTGCAGGTGGGAATGAGATCGGTGGGTCCAATTGATCCTTATACGTCTGTCACATGGCTCGCCTCTGCCTTGTGAAGTCTCTGATGCCCGATCCCTGAGCCTTTCCACTGGGTGAATCAGCTTGCTTCCTGGTATCACCGAAACACTGTGAACATCTCTCATCTGCGTTTGTCTCCTTTCTCACTCTCTTGTCCTTGTGAATCTGCAGCCTTTTTGTCCTTTCAGTGTCATGTTATGGGGCTCAGGAAATGCCAATGTTCATTCCACTTACATCTAATATGCAACTATTCTTTAAAATCAAGTCCATGCAATGTAATATTCTGCAGCTGTTAGAGGAATAACATATATCTACATATCTGGGCATGCTAAGTGGGTAATATAGAGTGTTAAGTGAAAAAAGCAAGTTGTAGGTTGGCTTGTAAAATACGACACTATTTGCATTACAAATTTTAAATATTATCTATAAATACGCATGTATACATATAGTGTGTATATATACATATATAGAGAGTAACATATATTATCCTAGCATTATCTGAGATAATATAAATAAATGTCAAAGTACATATGGAGAGCTAGTGGAATATTTTCACGTAGGCAAAATATTTAAATATTTCATGTAGCCTGGACTGGGCCAGGCACGGTGGCTCATGCCTGTAATCCCAGCACTTTAGGAGGCTGAGGTGGGAGGATCACTTAAGGCCAGGAGTTCAAGACTAGTCTGGGAAATATGGTGAAACCCTGGGTCTACAGAAAAATTAAAAAATTAGCCAGGCATGGTGGCATGCACTTGTAGTCCCAGCTACTCGCAAGGCTGAGGCAGGAGGACTGCTTTAGCCCAGCAGGTCAAGGCTGCAGTGAGCGGTGATGGTGCCACCACTCTCCAGCCTGGTCAATAGAGTGAGACACCCTCTCTTTCTATGTATATATGGGACTGATTTAAAAGGCTAGGCATTCTGGTGAATGTAAAATTAACTTTGAGGGCCATGAAGCCTGGGAGCATCGTTCACATTGTGTTCTATGTGACTGGTTCCCCCTAGAGTTTCACAACTGCAGTGGCCCTTCCTGGGAGGTCCCTAGTGGGAGAAGCTGTCATTCTGTGAAACATTAGGGAGTGCTCATTTGCAAAGGAGTTGCTTCTCCCACATGTAATTCCTAGTGACCCGTACCCCAGGACATGTGTGTTTGACAGTGGTTAATGATCCTCTTGAGCTATGCCGGGGAGGCCAACTCACAAGGTGAATAATAACAGCTAGACTTCTATTTACAGAGATACCCATTCTAGCATGTTGTGGGAAACCTAGGCTTTCTCACAAAAGCAACTAGCTCTTCCTCCTTCCAACCACCCTCACCTCCCAAACAAACAACTCCCAAATCAAACAAGAAGAAATGGAAAATTTTCAGTTCAAGCTCAATGGCAAGGGGTTGAGAGGAATTTAGCCATATGATTGAATGTTCTCTAGGAACATGTCTCTAGCAGTGGTTCTCAAGCTTTACTGCCTAGAATAATCACCTGGGGAGGTTTCAAAAATCCCACACCCAGGCTGAATGCATATGGATATTTGTATCTTTGGACAGGGTTTCTCCACCTTGGCTCTATAGACATTTGGGACGAGATAATTCTTTGCTGTAGGAGCTGTCCTGTGCATTGTGGGTTGTTTAACTGCACCCTTGGGCTCTACCCACTAGATGCCAGTAGCACACTTACCTAGTTGTACTGACCAAAAGACATATCCATGTATTTCTAGTAGTGGGGCAAACCACCTAGTTGAGAATCACTGTTTTGCGGGGTGGGTCCTAGGCACTATGTTTTTTTAAAAAACTTCCTAGGTGATCCCAATGTGCAGCCAAGTTTGAGAACCAGTGCTCTGATGGATTTTCCCTTGGAAAGCGTAGCCTGGTGGTAAGTCCCAGAAATTTTGGAGTACATTTTTATAAACTGTGATATAATATTGATTCAGTAAGAATGGATATATTCTGAGCCAGATGAGTGGACCCACTCATCCTGTCTAGTAGACATCTGTTTCTCTCCATCAAGGGGAGTTTGGAAAACAAACAGGCTGTGAACACCTTGATGAGCCAGATGAAGGGTGTCATGAGCCAGATGAGCTTATAGTAGACAGAGAACCTTTACAGCGAACAAGGTATGCAAATAATGAAAGCTCTAAGCAACATTAGAAAACCACAGGGCGTACGTTATTGGTGCTAAGATAATGTCTATCATTGACTGGAGGTCCTCTGTGGATCAAGGTCTTGTGCTAGAGGATCTATTTACATGTCATCACATAAGAAGGCATCTAAGTTAATAATAATAGTAGTAATAATAATAAATAGGGCGGATGTAAAGAACACGCATGTCGATACTTCTGAAACATGCTTTAACCTTAACTGTTGTATATAAGCACTTATGTAATTTGAGTGCTTCTCTGTCTCACTGTGGCAGGAATTGTAGATGGGCTCACGCAAACCCCCCCTTTCCATCTTCTTCCTACTATGGAAGCAAGAAAGTAAAAAAACTTGCCTTACAGATTCCTCTGCTGTTAGGAGCAGCCATGTGACATAATTTTGGCCATTAAGAATGTAAGCTCTATGAGGACAAGGGTTTTTTTAATTTTTCTATTTTGTTCTCTGCTGGTCAAAAACTCATCATATTGTACACTCTAAACATCTCTGGTCTATTGTACATTAATTTTAAACCCAATAATGTATAAAATTAAAGAGCAATTGTTAAGAAAATCCAAAGGCAAATTACAAATTGGAAGGAAACATTTTCTTGGCCCTGAAGGAAGTTGAGGTGAGGATCCTGAGGCACTGAGACCCTGTGCTTAAATTTCTGGTAAATCGCAGAGCTAGCTGAAATTTATCCCGCTGACACTAGATGTCACCATTGTGCCAAGTAAATGTAGCTGCTGTTCAGAGTGCAGTTCAATATTCAGGACAGAGTCAGGCTCTTCAAATGGTTGGAGATTGTTAATTTTTCTTCCCTCTTGATGCCAGAATATGGTCTGGTTCAAAAATGACGACAGTAATAATGATGGAGGAGAGCAAAGATCACCTGGTGGCCATCAGGCAGACCATCTGGAGGCAAAACTCCCTGTCTGAGGAATTAGAAAGTAATTAGACTTGCCTATTATCTAAAGCTGGCATCTGGTACCAGACTTCTTCCCCCTAAATTTATAAGTAACTAGGAGTTCTATACATCTCCGAAATCCATGCACGTTGAAACTCATTGTGCATCCCTTGCTGACATCAAGGCACTAAAATGTCTACAAATGTGATCATTTTTCATGACCTACATTGCTAATGTGGTCCACATTACCCTTAAGCTCCTGCTTTAAGGTCCATAAATACCCCTAAGGAAAATCCACCAGCACGCTCAGTCCTCTCTTGCTGAAGTGCCTCACTGCCCTCTCCTGCAGTGTTCTTTCTATCTAATAAAACTTTCCTTTTCAAACCTATACTGTAAATTCTTTTTTACCACCTGCAAGCCAGCCACTTGCCATTGCTGGGGCTCTGATACCTCGCCTGGCAGGGATCAGAGAAGTTTGTACGAGGAGCAACAAATAAGATAATTCTACCCAGTATGAGACCACATTTACATTATTAAAGCTAATAAATATGCAAAAAAGTTTCAATCTATGTTGGAAAAGACCCAAAATTAAATATTTGAAATGAAGTAGGCCGGGCGCAGTGGCTCACACCTGTAATCCCAGCACTTTGGGAGGCCGAGGTGGGTGGATCACGAGATCAGGAGTTCGAGACCAGCTTGACCAACATGGTGAAACCCTGTCTCTACTAAAAATACAAAAATTAGCTGGGCATGGTGGTGGGCGCCTGTAGTCCCAGCTACTCGGGAGGTTGACACAGGTGAATCGCTTGAACCCAGGAGGCAGAGGTTGCAGTAAGCCGAGATCACACCACTGCACTCCAGCCTGGGTGACAGAGTGAGTCTCCATCTCAAAAAAAAAAAAAAGATGAAGTAGGGCATAACATTGCAAATCACTAACTAGATGAAAACTTTGGGTGTGCTCGGGGAGAAGAGGGAAGAGAAAGACCTCAGGAATGAACAAAGAAGCTCAAGGGAAGAGTAGCTCAGAACACCATCAATGACAAGCAAGTAAAATAAGAAAAAGCATGAGGACAGTTAATTACTACTTCAAGGTAACAGGCTTGGGAGGGAGAAGCAGATTAAAATGGCATGTTGAAATTCTGAATGAAGTTGCTAAGACACTTGAACAAAAACACAGTAAATTCACAGAATTGCAGAACTTTTGTGTGCGGAGTGAAAAGAGGGGAAGAGAACAGTGCTGGCACACTGCGTTGGGCTGTTCTCACCTTGCTATAAAGAAATAGCTGAGACTGGGTAATTTATACAGAAAAGAGGTTTAATTGGCTCATGGTTCTGCAGGCTGTACAGGAAGCATGATGCTGGCATCTGCTCAGCTTCTGGGGAGGCCTCAGGAAACTTACAATTATGGCCAAAGTTGAAGGGGAAGCAGTCACATCACATGGCAGGAGCAGGACCAAGAGAGAGAGCGGGGAGGAGCCACATCCTTTTAAACAACCAGATCTCAGGAAGACTCACTCACTATCGCAAGGACAGCACCAAGGGCATAGTGCTAAATCATTCATGAGAACTCCGCCCCTATGATCCAGTCACCTCCCACCAGGCCCCACCTCCACCACTGGGGATTACATTTCAACATGAGATTTGGGCAGGGACACATATCCAAACTATACCAAACACCATCTTTAGAAAACAAGGCACTAGAGCCCAAACTCCACACATGCTAACTCTCCATGGACTGCCAGTATCTTCAAGGAGCCACTCACTCTCTCGCTTGCAGGTCTAGCATCCAAATCTGCACAAGAGGGATCTTCCACAAGATGGGAGCATGAAAAAGAAATGTAGAAGATAAACAACAAGAACGTATAAAAATAAAAGCTAATATGCTTAGCTCAGAACAAAGAACTAAAAACCAAGGTGGCACTTTGGTCTGAAACTTCTATTTTTATTCTTTTTGGAGATGGAGTCTTGCTCTGTTACCCAGACACTGTACCCAGGGGTACAGTGGCACGATCTTGCCTCACTGCAGCATTCATCTCTTGGGTTCAAGTGACTCTCCTGCCTCAGCTTCCTGAGAAGCTGGGACTACAGGTGCACACCACGATGTCCAGCTAATTTTTATATTTTTTATTAGAGATGGAGTTTCACCATGTTGGCCAGATTAGCCTTGAACTCCTGACCTTAAGTGATCCACCTGCCTCCGCCTCCCAGAGTGCTGGGATTACAGGCATGAGCCACCACGCCCAGCCAGTCTGAAACTTGTAGGACAAAGATATGTAATAAAATCTCTGCAAATGAACTGACCAATGGCCCTTCCTCCTATTTGGTGTTGATTAGATTCCGGAAGATTTTTGAGGGGTTGTTAGATTCCTGTAGCTCACTTTCATTTTATTTGAGAGTCACCTTACTGTAGGAAATGGATGTTCTCTGTGAGTAAGCCAAATCCTGAGGATAAATTATTTCAAAGGATCATCTTGGAATCAGAAGAAAACTAATTGGTAAATTTCTGTTCTAATACACTTAGATCTGATTCCAGTGCTGAAGGGCCTAGTCTAGGGTTTTCAACTCTAACTTTTTTGTTGTTTTTGTTTTTTTGAGAGACAGAGTCTCGCTCTGTTGCCCAGGGTGGAGTGCAGTGGTGCGATCTCAGCTTACTGCAAACTCCACCTCCAAGGTTCAAGCAATTCTCCTGCCTCAGCTTCCCAAGTAGCTGGAACTACAGGCGTGTGCCACTCTGCCCAGCTAATTTTTATATTTTTAGTGGAGATGGGGTTTCACTATATGTTGGCCAGGCTGGTCTTGAACTCCTGACCTCAGGTGATCCACCCGCCTCGGCCTCCCAAATCAACTCTTACTTTTTAATAGAGGCTTTTACTGGTATAAGCAGAAGTACGAGAAAATAATTTTTCTAATACTGTCTGATTTCATTTTTTACATTTAAGCCTACCTTGATAATTTATTTAGCTGTTAAAAAGTGTTAGTTTTTCATAAACTTCCATAATTTTATAAAACTTACAGTCATCTTCCAAAGTTAATTTGGAAATTAATTTTGCACCCCAGAATGCTATTTCCAAGTGAATTAGCATCTTAAGTGGTGGTTAAGTCACTACCTGGAAATGAAAATCAGTTTTTCCATAATGGAGCAATTTTGTTATATGTATATGTCAGTGCAACAAAACAATTACAATATTAGCAAATACCAAATAAAAAATTTCTTCCATTTCATTCTCTTTATTAAGACAGCAGGTATAATGTGAGAGAAATTAATTACAATATAATGCAAGTTCTATAAATGTAAATATTTTTTGTCTATTTTATTCACTGCTCTATCCCCAGAATGATACCTGGCACATAACCAGTAAAACCTCGATAAATATTTGCTGAATAGATAGCCATTGGAGAATTAGGAGTTTATTGAAGATGTTATGGAAGAGGCCTCCTGGGAATGTCTAAGGGCTTTAAAACTTGATCTCTTAAAACTATGGTCATTAAAAACAAAATACAGAGAGAGCCAAAATTTGGTTAATGGATACAAAAGGAGAACTAGATAGCAGGACTGAGTTCTAGCATTCTAAAGCATAATAGAATGACTATAATTAACAATAATTTATTGTATTTTGAATAGCTAGAAGAGTGGATTTTGAATGTTCCCAGCACAAAGAAATGATAAATGTTTGAGGCGATGGATATGCTAATTATGTGGATTTGATCATTATGTATTGTATATATGTATTGAAATATCACACAGTATCCCATAGGTATGTACAGTTATTATTATTAATTAAAACTAATAAAAGCAAAAATAGAGTTTTCCATTCCACATTCAAGTTTTATCTCTAGTTCGTCTACTATAATTACCCATTACCAAGGTCTTTTTTTTTTTTCCAACACATTTAATGAACAGGCAGAGAGGGAGACTGAGTTTTCTGAGAATATTGAGTAAATATTGAAAAAGAGAAAAAGGAGAACAAAGATGTTTAGGAAGAGTGTGCGAGGAGCCACTAGAGTTGGACTTGAATAAAATAAAATCAAACTCCTGGATCACACTACCAACTCACACTAAACATGGTGGGGAACAAGTCAAGATGTTAAATAACACCACAGCCAAACACAGAATGGGAGAAATTCTGTAGGACAAATAGTCCAACGTCTTCAAAGAACAAATGTCATTTTTAAAAGGAGGACAAATTGTTATATATACTTAAGAGACTTAAGAGACATATTGCTAAATGAAGTATGATGACCTTGTTTGGATCATGATTAGAAAGACCACCTGTAGACCTGGCGAGGTGGCTCACACCTGTAATCCCAACACTTTGGGAGGCCGAGGTGGGTGGATCTCTTGAGGTCAGGAGTTTGAGACCAGCCTGACTTACATGGTAAAACCCCATCACTACTAAAAAAATAGAAAAAAATTAGCCGGGTGTGGTGGCGCATGCCTGTAATCCCAGCTACTTGGGAGGCTGAGGCAGGAGAATTGCTTGAACCAAGGAGGCTGAAGTTACAGTGAGCCAAGATCGTGCCATTGCACTCCAGCCTGGGGAACAACAGCAAAACTCTGTCTCAAAACAAACAAACAAACAAAAAAAAACCCACCACAACAAAAAACAAACAAAAAAACCCCACCTGTACAAAGCCATTTTTGAGACAATCAGGGAAAATTGAATATGGCTGGGTATTAGGGGGTATTAAGACTTTTATTAATGGTAATATAATTGTGTTATCTTTATCCCCTTATCTTTATCTCCTAGAGAAACACAGTGAAGTACTGACAGTAGAAATGATATGATGTCTGAGTTCAACTCCAGCAAAACAGGTAAACAATAACAGCAAAAGTGTGTGTGCACATGTTTACATGTGTGTTTGTAGGAGCAGATGCAATGAGATGGAATTGAAGCTGGTGATGATGGATGGGCACCGGGGGTCCATTATACTACTTTACAGAGTAACTTTTAAAAACCTAAAATTAAAAGTTTAAAAAATATGGGCTGGGCGCGGTGGCTCACGCCTGTAATCCCAGCACTTTGGGAGGCTGAGGCGGGCAGATCCCCTGAGGTCCGGAGTTTGAGACCAGCCTGGCCAACATGGTGAAAGCCTATCTCTACTAAAAATACAAAAATTACCCGGGTGTGGTGGCACACGCCTGTAATCCCAGCTACTTGGGAGGCTGAGGCAGGAGAATCGCTTGAACTCGGGAGGCGGAGGTTGCAGTGAGCCGAGATTGCGCCACTGCACTACAGCAATGGGGGGACAAGAACGAGACTTCATCTAAAAAAAAAAAAAGTTTAAAAAATAAGGAAAACATGAAAGAAAAAAACTCCAGGCAACTCTAAAATAATAAGAATGTACACAGAACTATATTTAAATATATATATTTTAAACGTGGGCATGTGTATATTTGTGAGAAAGAGACAGAAGTGTGGCCTCAGAGCTTCCAGTTGTGAAAGGTCAAAGAACACAGGCAAGAGGAGCAAGAGAAAAGACGGCTGATTACGTCTCCCAGAAATTTCCACTAGGTGGTACTGTTGTGGTCCTTATTTTATTAATATAATTTTTATTAAAACTCTGCTGGTTTGGGCCGGGAGCGGTGGCTCACGCCTGTAATCCCAGCACTTTGGGAGGCTGAGGCAGGCGGATCACAAGGTCAGGAGATCGAGACCATCCTGGCTAACACAGTGAAACCCCATCTCTACTAAAAATACAAAAAATTAGCCGGGCGTGCTGGCGGGTGCCTGTAGTCCCAGCTACTCGGGAGGCTGAGGCAGGAGGATGGCATGAACCTGGGAGGCGGAGCTTGCAGTGAGCCGAGATTGCGCCACTGCACTCCGTCATGGGCGACACAGCGAGACTCTGTCTCAAAAAACAAAACAAAACCCTGCTGGTTTGACACAGTTGAACTCCCATTCCATAAAACCCTACTTCTGTATCTTCCAAGATTCCACATCCTCTCTTAATTTGAACCTATGTCATGAGAGGTTTCCTCCTAAAATGTCATTGCTTTCTAGGGTTCCTTCCTTAACCCACTGCTTTCATCAGTGGTGCTCAAACATTAATGTGTGTCATAATCATCCAGGGGACATGTGAAAAATACAGAAACTTAGGCCCCTATTCTATTTAAATGAACCATCTGGGCCTTTGAACTTGTAACCGAAGGCAGGTCTGGCCGCTTGCTGCTTGCAGAATCCAATAACAAGAGCGAGCTATGATAGAAAGAAAGTGACATTATTCTTTACCAAAACTTGCAGTGGGGAAGTGGCTGGATTCACATCCAAGGTAACCACTTCAAATTTTAGGCTGAGGAGAAGGGCTTAAAAAAGGGAACTTGGAATGGGAGGCATGTGAGAGGGGTACTGAGTACAAGGTCTACGTGTCTTGTTCCAGTGGCTATCTTGAGCTGTGGTCCACTTAGAGTGTGGGCTGGCATCATCTCAACAATGGCCAGGTTATTTTCTAACTGCCTTGAATTTCTGGAATTTTGCAGCTGGGTCCCTATGCTTGGTCTGTTTCAAGATTAGCCCCTGGAATTTCTAAGTAATCACATAATTAGATACCAGCATATAGTTAGATAAAAATGTGCATGGTGTAAGGAAGTGTATGGTAAGAAAGGGAGGGACGTGGTGTTTCAAAGAAAGTAAATTTCAAGGCTGTACTTTAAGACTAAGGAGAAGAAAACAATGATATATGCAGTAAGCTTCAAGGTTATATCTTGAGACTAGGGAAAAAACAGAAAAAAGAAAAAAGGTTTTAAAATGCATTTTCAGGCTAGGCTGTTTGGTTACAAATTCTCTGTTGGCTCATTGTGATCCCATCTGGTCTTACATCTTTATCCACCCATATCACTACCTCTGCCCTGCACTTTCCCCTGGGCTTCAGATGACATGTCCAACTAGATGTATTTCCATGCAGACACCAAAAACTCATTATTGCTTGTCCGCCTCTCCCCCTGAAACCTCACCACCTACTCAGTTACCCCAGGCAAAACCCAGTATAATTTTAGCCTTCCTCCTCTGATTCACCAAATAATTAGAGTTACAATTCTCATAATGGTTCACATTTATTGAGTGTGATGTAGAACAAGTGTACTCTCATATGCTGCTACTAAACAGGAAATTGGTACAAGCACACTGAAAAACTGCATTTTACACGGAGACTTCAGAGACATATTGTTAAATGCAGCGTAAGGACCTTGTTTAGGTCATGATTAGAATAAACCACCTGTAAAAAGACATTTTTGAGACAATCAGGGAAAATGGATTATGGCTGGGTATTAAAGGATATTAAGAATTGTTATTAGCTGGGCATGGTGGCTCATGCCTGTAATCCCAGCACTTTGGGAGGCTGAGGCAGAGGATCTCTTGAGCCCAGGAGTTCAAGACCAGCCTGGGCAACATAGCAAGGCCCCATCTCTAAAACATTAAAAAAGAAAAAATTATTAATAGTAATAAAGTTGTGTTATCTTTTTGCTTATACCACCTGGTCTGGTGGCAGTTATTGACTGAGGCGAAATGTATGATATCCAATGACTCAGCAAATTCACTCTTAAGTATGTTTAAGAAAGATAAGAGCTTATGTTCACCAGACGTGTGAAAATGTTTATTGCAGTTATTCATAAATAATCTTCAAGGTTATTCATAAGAGCCAAAAAGTAAAAAAAAAACTAAATGTCCATCACAGTAGATTTTTTTGGGTAAAAAAATGTGGTTTATTTAACAATGAACCATTAAACAATGATAAAAATGAATGAACTATAGTTATATCCAATAGATGAATCTCAAAGATATTATGTTAGATTAAAGAAATGAGCTGCATGGTTCTATTACAATATGATTCCATTTATATAAAGTTTAAAAACAGGTAAAGCTAAGGTGATGGAGGTCAGAATAGTGATTATTTTGGGGAGGCTATCAACTAGGAAGGGGTATAACAGAGAGGTTTTTGGGGTGCTGGGGACATTCTATATCTTGATCAGGTTGAAGTTACATATATAAATATTCATCAAGTTTTACACTTAAGATTTGTACTCTTTACTGAACTTAAATTATACCTTATCTGGGCACAGTGGCACATGCCTATATACCCAGCTATTTGAGAGGCTGATTGGGGAGAATCACTTGAGCTCAGAAGTGCAAATCCAGCCTGGGCAACATGGAGAGACCCCTACTCTAAAGAAAAAAAAAACTAAATAAAAATGAAACAATCAATTAATTAGAAATGTAGCGAATGTTTACAATAAGTTAGATATGAAAATAAATGATTTTCACATGTTGTTTAATCCTCTCAACAGCCTACAAAGTAGGTATTAATATTGTACCCATTTTATAGGTGAGAAAATTGAAGGCACAGAGAATCTAGGTAACTTGCCCCAAATCACAGTTAATAAATGGAGGCTTGGAAACATTAGTTTGGCTTAACATATTTCAACTTCTTCACTATGAGACACAGAACTACGTATCTGAGGCAGTGATAGAGTGCTTATGTGTGTATACTGAGGCCAAACTATCATGGTTTGAATTCTGGCTCTGCCACATAAGAGCTGTGCATGACTTTGAGCACGTTATTTAATCTTTCTGTGTTCAGTTTCCTCATCTGTAAAATGGGACTCGTGTCATCTTATATGGTTCTTTGGCCCTTATTTCAGAATTTGATGATTTTTCCTCTTACAGTTACTGTTGCTCTTCTCTCTCTCTCTTCCTGAAGGGACTGAGGTCAGAAAGCTTGTGTCCACGGTGTGAGAGCATAGAAAGGCGTATTGGGACTTGGAATACCACTTAGTATATTGTTCTGGAAAGCCAGTTTGACATGGTGGAAATAATCTAGGGTTTAAATCTTAACTCTGATACCTATTATATGCTGTGGCCTTACTGAAACTCTTTGAGTCTTGGTTTTCTCTTACTCATGATTCATTCTGCGTTGAGTGCTTGTATTATCTGTCCCACTCTCCCTTATAGTAAGGGAGTATAATCATATATGTCCAACTCTTTATTCATCAAAAAATGATTATTGATCATGAACTGTGTTATAAACACTATTCTAGAAACTCAGGATACAGTCATGGACAAGATAGAAAAGCCTCTTTCTTGAGGAGTTTACACTCTGCAGAAAGCCTGAGGGTTGCTCTTGAAGACCTGGATCATGGTCCCATTTGTCTGGACTTGTGTTGCTGAAGTCCCAACTGAACAGCAAGTCCAACTAGTCATCCTGGAAGTCCTCAGCTCATGATGAGCTAGCTATTTTAGCACTCTGATCTTCTAAGAACCAACCCTGAACTGCCACCAGGCTTTGCTTATACTATCTAGTCTGGTAGTAAAAAGTGTACAGATGCCCAAACCCACTGAGGTTTATAACCATTTTCAAAGGTTTTAATAAAAAGATTGAATACTGGATTAACTCCAGAGCCTATTCAGGCTCAATTCCTAAGCTATTAATAATCGCTAATATCTAGTGAGTGTAATAATTACTAATATCTAGTGAGTGTTTAGTATGTGCTAGACATTGTACTGATTTACATGTACTAACATCTAATCCTCACAACAATCCGGGGAATAAATACTATTATTATCCTAGTTTTAGAAATAAATGTGACACTTACAGGTTAAGTAATGCACCAAAGGTCACAGAGTGGTCCTTTGGCCTTTGAAACAAAGCATCCTGATGCCAGGCTGTGCTCCTTACCACTATGTCATACTGTTGTAAAGGAGATGGGACTAAGAAGCTCTAAGTCCCCAGTTTGTTTTGTAATTCTGTGACAGTGATCACAAACGTTTTGACAGTCCAGCAAAATCCTGGCCAGAGTTCTCTTTTGTGGACCCAGAAAGCCACAGGCACTAACACTTTAGAGCTATCTCTCTTAGCCCATATGCCCTGCGCTTTTGGCATTTTCTTTATCATTTAGAGGGGAAGGAGGGCAAGGGTCTGAGGAGCCTTGAATGGTGACTTGGACTCCAGGGGTAGTGGCAAACCATTGGAGGTTACAGTGCATGGAATTAAAGACAGCTTGAATGGTATAATCTGACTGGCTCATTTTACAGAAGACAAAAGCTGCTCAGAGACACAAGGGTCTTCCTCAATGGCCCGTGAGTGGCAGAGCTTGTGAAAGGAAGTTGATTCACTGCGAGTGAACCAGAACTCAGAAAGACCAGTAAGCAACCAGGAAACACCGGCCACCATCTAGGCCTGTGGTGATGGCGGTTTTATCACGAATTCCTTCCTGACAATCAACTGCTCCCGGGCAGAAGCGATCGCTTTCTTGACCCACCCAAATGGACAATGACCCAGGCGTGAGGTTCCTGAGGAGAGAAAAAAGTGTGTACAAGGAAAGGAAGAGGATGTCTCCCAATCGGAAACACCGAGATGCGGAAAAGTTGCACCGTAGAAAGAGCAGCCGTGCTCATGACGCACTTCTGGCCTCCAAGCGCCCCACAAGCGTGACGCACTTCCGGCCTCCTAACCGTTCTCGCTAGCGGTGCGCTTCTGGCCTGTTTTGAGTCCGCGCTCAAAGGTGCCAAAGTGCAAGGACCCACAGTTGGGCGGAGCTTGGGTTGGGAGTGAGACAGCATAGCAGTCCAGGCTGGTCCTTTGAGCGCAGCTCAAAGAAGGGGACGGGGAGGGCGTCACTATACAATTGTGGCCGGGTGGGACCTGGGCTGTTTGCTCTTGGAGGCTGTACAGCTGCAAGCTTTGCCGCTCACGAACTGGAGCTGGAGAAAGAGCCCCCCAAGGATGGGAGGATGACAGAAGTGTCTGCAGATGGCACTGCCTGGGCACCAGGAGAGGCAAGGACTCCAGCTGATTCCTACCTCCTAGGGAAGCCATCCCCACTCTTAGTTGGGGCCGGCTTAAGTCTTTAACCAAGGCTCTTGCAGTTGCAGTGTCTGTTTCTTTTGAAGAGGCAGATTTGGAGACCTGTGTCCAAACAAATGCCATTGTCCCATAGTGTTTTTATGTTTTTGTTAGTTTGTTTTGGTTTTTTTGAGACGAAGTCTCGCTCTTGTCACCCAGGCTGGAGTGCAATGGCACCATCTCTACTCACTGCAACCTCCGCCTCCCGAGTTCAAGTGATTCTCCTGCCTCAGCCTCCCGAGTAGCTGGGATTACAGGTGCCTGCCACCACACCCGGCTAATTTTTGTATTTTTAGTAGAGACGGGGTTTCACCATGTTGGTCAGACGGGTCTCAAACTCCTGACCTCAGGCGATCCGCCTGTCTCGGCCTCCCAAAGTGCTGGGATTACAGGCGTGAGCCACTGTGACCAGTCTGAACTCACTTTTAATTTTAGGAGCTTGTTTTGTAGATTCTTTGGGACTTCTTATACAGATAATCATGTTGCCTGCAGATAGTAACAGTTTTGTTCTGAGTTTCGAATCTGTGTGTCTTTCATTTCATTTCTTTTTCTTTTTCTTTTTTTTTTTTTTTTGAGATAGTCTCGTTCTGTCACCCAGGCTGGAGTGCAGTGGCATATTCTCAGCTTACTGCATCCTCCACCTCCCGGGTTCAAGCAATTCTCATGTCTCAGCCTCCTGAGTAGCTGGGATTACAGGCACACACCACCACACCTGGCTCATTTTTATATTTTTAGTAGAGATGCGATTTCTCCATGTTGGCCAGGCTGGTCTTGAACTCCTGGCCTCAAGCAATCCATCCACCTTGGCCTCCCAAAGTGCTGGGATTACAGGTGTGAGCCACTGTGTCTGACCTATGTGCCTTTTATTTCTTTTTCTGGCCTTGCTCTTGCTAAGACTCCCAATATGATGTTAAATAGTAGTGGTAAGAGCAGACATACCTGCCATGTTCCCAATCTTGGAGGGAAAGACATTCTGTCTTTCATCATTAAGTATGTTTGCAGCTGCAAGGAGAGAATAATATTGAATTATATGTCAGTATAGATACTGCAGCACAATATTTAGCTTAACTACATATTTTTTTGCAGCCAAGGCAAAAATGACTTTGTGCATGAAACTTAAGTTCCACCACAGCCTCAGCCTATTTGTGGCTGGGATTTTCAGACATATGGGAGAGAAGTTAGTATTTTCAAGTCAGGATTAAGTAACAGTAAATATGCCATGATCATACACCATACTCTGGGTATCATGATCTGATATTACTTATAGCTTCAGTTAAAGATACTGTAGGAGTTAGAGGGAGAGCTGGATAGTTAGGCTGTGAGGTGACCAGAAAGAAAGGTGGTTCCCATTGGAATCTAAGGAATGGTCAAAGCTTGAAAGTAATTATGTTTGATGGTAGAGATTGTGACAGACATGAGTATGAGTATTGTATTAGTCCGTTGTCACAGTGCTATACAGATATACCTGAGACTGGGTAATTTATGGAGAAAAGAGGTTTAATTGGCTAACAGTTCCACAGGCTGTACAGGAGGCATGGCTGGGGAGGCCTCAGGATACTTACAATCATGGTGGAAAGCAAAGGGGAAGCAGGCACAATCTTCACATGGCCAGCAGGAGAGAGACAGCAAAGGAGGAAGCGCAACACACTTCGAAACAACCAGATCACATGAGAACTCACTATCACGAGAACAGCAAGGGGGAAATCCGCCCCCATGATCCAATCACCTTCCACCATGTTCCTCCCCCAACACTGAAGATCATAATTCAACATGAGATTTGCCTGGGGACACAGAGCCAAAACATATCAAGTATACATTTCCTTAGAGGTGATACATTGGCTGGGAAGACAGGTCAGTGTGAATTAGCTATTATTATTAATGATCTTGAAAACTCTCTGGGAGACTTTCCAGACAAATGAGAGTGGAAATTTTCTTCCTTTCCACTCCCTGCAAAACAAAAATAAGTTATTCCCAACTCTTTTTGTTTTTAATTTTAGTGTTCCCATCTTCTGGCCAAGAATATACTCAACTCTTCACCAAGTAAACATACGGGTTCCCATGTTTCTAAAAACCGATAAAATTAACAATAGAGACTTGTTTTTGTTTTATATCCAGACTTAATGGTCATTTATGTAATGTAAATATCCAGAATAGGCAAATCTATAAAGAAAGTGGTTGTCTAGAATTGGGGGAAGAAGAGAGGTATGTACATGTGTGTCTATTAATTTTCTATTGCTGCTGTAACAAATTGCCATGAGTAGTGGCGTAAAACAACACTAATTTATCTTAGAGTTTTGGAGGTCAGAAATCCAAAATGGGTCCCACTGGTATAAATTCAGGATTTAGACTAAGGAGAGAATCTGTTTCCTTGCCTTTTTCATCTTCTGGAGGCCACCCACTTTCCTTGACCCTTGGCCCCTTCCTCCATCTTCAAAGCCAGTGAGGTTGGGCCAAGTCCTTCTTGTGCTGTCATTTTTGTGATTCTCTTTCAATTCCCTCTTTCACGTTCAAGAACTCTTATGATTACACTGGGCCCACCTGAATAATCCAAGATAATCATCTTTTTTTTTTTGACAGGGTCTCGCTTTGTTGCCCAGGCTGGAGTGCAGTGGCTCAATCAAGGCTCACTGCAGCCTTGACCTCCCAGGCTCAAGTGATCCTCCCAACTCAGCTAGTAGCTGGGACTACAGGCGTGTGCCCACACCTGGCCAATTTTTGTTCCTTTTTGGAATTTTTTTTTTTTTTTTTTCGGTAGAGACAGGGTTTTGTCATGTTGCCCAGGCTGGTTTGAACTCCCAGGCTCAAGTGATCTGCCCACCTGGGCCTCCCACAGTGCTGGGATTACAGATGTGAGCCACTGTGCCTAGCCCCAAGATAATCTTAAAGTTGGCTGACTAGCAATCTTAATTCCACCTGCAACCTCAATTTCCCTTTGTCATGTAACTTAATGTACTCACAGGTTCTAGAGATTAGGACATATACATCTTTGAGGGGAACAAAACACCATTCTGCTTACCAGAGGGAAAATGGAGAGTGACTGCTGATGGTTATGAGGTTCCTTTGGGGAGATGAAAATGTCCTGAAACTGATTGTGGTGATGTTTGCGCAAGTCTCTGAACACACTAAAACCTATTTAATTTTATACTCTGCATTGATGAATTGTATGGTGTGTGAATTAAATGTTAATAAGGCAGGTGTGTGTGTGTGTGTTCAGTATTTTTGAAACTAAATTCTTTCACCTTCTTGCCTGAAACCAGCTCCTCTTCTTCAATTCCTGATCTCAGCTAATGGCACCTTCATCTATCAGGTCATCCAAAATTCATGGCTATTATAGATTGCTCTGGCTGCCTTGTATTCAGTCATTAAAAAAAAAAATGTCCACCGTTTTCACTTCCTAAATAGTTACTTAATATATCCCTCCTTAGACCTGGTCTTTCTTTCTTTTTGTTTTTTTTTGTTTTTTTGGTTTTTTTTTTTTTTGAGATGGAGTTTTGCTTTTGTCGCCCAGGCTGGAGTGCAATGGCACAATCTCGGCTCACTGCAACCTCCACCTCTCGGGTTCAAGCAATTCTCCTGCCTCAGCCTCCCGAGTAGCTGGGATTACAGGTGCCCGCCATTACGCCTGGCTAATTTTTGTATTTTTAGTAGAGACGAGGTTTCACCACGTTGACCAGGCTGGTCTCGAACTCCTGACCTCAGGTGATCTGCCCGCCTTGGCCTCCGAAAGTGCTGGGATTACAGGCGTGAGCCACCGCGCCTGGCCTGCTGACCTGGTCTTTCTTAACGTGTCTGGGTCTTTACCTCTAAGGAGGACAGCTTTTTTGTGCAAAGACCCTTTGGCAGTCTGGTGACACCTTCAAAACCAATGAACATACAATTAAACAGTTTTTTAGAATTTGTGATACAGAAATATAAGTGCAGCTTTACCAACGTGATGAAATGTAATGACAAGACTTGAGGTGGGCCCGATAACAACAAGGACAATTTCAAATTAGTGACGAGAATAGCCATATTCTGAGATCTGCATCAACTGTAATGTGATATGAAAATATCTGTGATTTCTATCGGTGACAGTCACAGATACGGCTGATACTACAGTAGTTTGTTGCCAACATAGAAGAAAATGCTAAATTTCGGTTAGAGATTAGCGAAAACAATGATATACTTTCTTTCCTATTCAAGGTCTCTGAGGATCCCCGGGTGGAAACTCCTCCCGGGAGTAAAACCACACAACCACTGAGAAGACCGCTCCGGCATCCTAGAGAGTACGCGTGTGAGCCTGGGTGCAAGGCCAAAGTAGTGACGCACTTCCGTTCACGCACCGCTTTCTGTTTTTCCTGAGGTGAGTGTTGGGGTTTGTCGCCTAGGAGTCCTTGCTAGGCTCAGGCACTGCACCTCTAGAGAAGGCTGTCGGCTTCGTCCCTGCTGCCTCAGTGGAGGGAGACAGGGCGGCCCCTCCGGGACCGGGGAGCGGAGGCTGCTCGCGGGCCGGTCCCGGTCTCCCTCTGGTGCCTTCGCTCCCCCACGCCTGCATCGGCGCCTTGGGAAATGGAGGCTGTGGATATGGGCGGCTGGATGGAAGGGACGCCTCTGTTCTCGACGCCGCCCAAACCCCATCTGCTCATTGGGCCACAGCTGCTTACTGAGCAGCTATGTGCCAGTTCCTGCTCTAGATTCCGGGGATGCAGCGGTGAATGAGGCGGGGCGTGGGCCCCGCCCCCAGGAAGCTTTCCGCCCAATGGGAAAGTCATGTATTAATCAAATCTGGTTATTTCACTCCACCTGCCCGTGACTTAGTGCACGTAGATCGAAGACCAAGTTCTTGACGTGCACAAAGTGTGGCTTTGTCCCTTGTGACTTCTTCAGCATCATCTAACAGCACACTCTCCTTTGACTGCTACTACAGTGTTCTTGATCCTTCACTACTAGAACATGGCTTTTGCGTATGCTGTTACTTTTGTAAAGATTTCCTTCATACCTTAGTTAATTTATTTTCTTAAGCTTCCCATCCACGTTAGTTTCCCCTGGCAGTGATTTAAATTGTGGACTTAAAAGTTATTTGAGAGAATCTTGATTAATGTGTCTTTCCTTTAGACTAAGCTCTGCGAGGGACAGGATCATGCCCCTTCTCTCTCTACTTCATCTGTTGTGTGTCACACGTGGCCTTGCATGAAATATGTATGAGATAAATATTTGTTGAATGAAGAAAGCACAAATCAATATATAATTTCAAACTGGATTAAGTGGTATATAGGAAAAGGAGTACGGTGCGAGTGGAGTGTTTAACAGAGACACCTGACCTGGTCTGTAGAGCGATCATGATCTGAAGGTGAAGGGTGGATAGATTACTGGAGAGAATGGCGGCTAGATTACTGGAGAGAATGGCAGGCAGAGAATCTCAGTTGTAATGGTTCTGAGATTGGAGAAGAGTAGTTCATACAGAAGAAACAGCAGGTATGAAGGTCCTGAGTTAGCACAGAGGAAACTGAAAGAAGGCCATTGTAGCTAAACTAAGAGAAAAGAGGGTGGCGGCACAAGATGAGGCTCGCAGAAAACAGCATCATGCATTAAGTCCCTGTAGGGAAGATGCTGGCTTTTTATAGAATATTGCTGTTTAACTAGAATACAAAGTGTCTGTAAGAGATGATATAGTTAAAACAATAACCCAGATGTTTTAGTGTGTTGAGTTGGCCCTTCAGGGTCCTTTGGTAATCAGTTTCTGGTTTTCATGGCCCTTGAGTGGGGCAATGAACAAAAAAGATGCCTGCTCCAGGTCCAAGTAAAGGAAGACTTGCTCTGAGATTTTTTTCCTGAGTTTTCTTGGCCATTCTTGTCTATTATTTTATGTTAACCTTAAAATCATTTTGCCAGTTCTAAAAGCATTCCTGTTAGGATTACTATTGGAAAGAATTTAGTGTAGTTATTAAAAGCAGGAGGCGGTGCCTCACGCCTGTAATCCCATCACTTTGGGAGGCCGAGGTGGGTGGATCGCTAGAGGCCAGTAGTTTGAGGACTAGTCTGGGCAATATGATGAAACCCTGTCTCTACTAAAATTACAAAAATGAGCCAGGTGTGGTGGCACATGCCTGTAATCCCAGTTACTTGAGAGGCTGAGGCAGGAGAATTGCTTGAACCTGGGAGGCCGTGGTTACAGTCAGCTGAGATCACGCCATTGCACTCCAGCCCAGGTGACAGTGAGATTCTTGTCTCAACAAACAAACAAACAGACAAAAACATGACCTTTGAAGCCTGGCAGATCTAGTGTGGGATCCGAGTTCATCCATTCACCAGCTGAGTGATCTTGGTAGAAGAAATTATTCTCTTAGCCTTGTCTTCTCATTTGGGAAAAATTAAAGGTTCAAAAGATTGTTGTGAGGACTAAATAAGAGAATATGTATTTTTCATCCAAAAGCATGATACTTGCTATTTTTAACCTTTTATATTCTCAGTCAAATTTATTTTTAAAAATAAAGGTCTGAGATTCTTCTTGTTAGGTTTCGCTCTGAGTTTATTGGTGTCTTTTGCTTGTTTTGCTCTTCATTTAGCTTGGTGTTGGTGAGGACAGGCTCTGGTGTCCTAGGACAAGTTACTTATTCTTTCAAAATCTGTTTCCTCAGAATTACAAACCTCATGGTATGATGTGGATTAAAAAGTACATATTTATGCACCACTAACCCAGTGAGCATTTAGTAAGTGAATGCTGCTTGCTATTGGCAAATTTATTGCTCTAAAGAGAGCATTTTACTGGGCTGAGCTCACTGTTGGTTCTCTCTGTTTCTTCCCTCAGCCTTTGCCTGCTAAGAGGGAGACCAGGTCATGGCAGCCATGCCTCTGAAAGCTCAATACCAGGTGAGCTGTGGATCCCTGAGGTCAGCTCTATGGAGGTCTGAGTTGAAGGAAATGAGGTGGATAAAGGTGATTCTGGCAAGTCTTAGAGCCAAAGCAGTAGGAAAACCCCTGCTGATTCCCTCCAGTAGGACTGGGTGCTGGGGAAAGAGCTAGGGGCAGTGAAGATGGAAACAGGAGAGAGTGATCTGGAAAGCTGAAGTACAGCCTCCTGAATACTGAGAATCTCTCCTGGGCCAGAGGATCCCCAGGTTCAGTAGCTGTCCCTCTGCAGAGGGAATTGTGAGAACGAGGGACTCAGGCTGGTGATGTAGGGATCCAGGATAGGATGGAAGTGACTAAGATCAGCAAGGGCACAAGGTTTTTGGGAAGTAGCAGCAGAGGGACAGCAGGAAGAAGACAAGAAAGAGGGGGCCTATCTAATTTGTCCTCCAAAAGAAAGGAGGAAGTTTGGGCTTCAGAATCAGGAAACATATGTCCTTGAGGTCAGTACTGCTGGCGAAGTGAGGCAATGGGCTGTGATAGGAAAAGTCTACACTCCCAACAGGACACCTGAAGTTAGGGATCTGTTAGGCCTCAGTGGCATCATAGCCTTGAGCCAGTCACATAATTGCTTTGCATCTTAACTGGATTCATTTGTAAGGTGAACATAAGTACCTTACATTTTTGGGACAGAGAATTGATTTCTTGAATTACATTTCACTTTTTGAGACGGAGTTGCTGCTTTGTCATTTCTTTTCTCCTGGCACTTATTTATCCAGTAACTTAGTATCCATGAACCATATCCCAAATCATAATCTCATATTTCTCACATCCTTCAGTTTTCTCTACCTGACTGTGTCACTGATATATCAGCTTCCTTGGAGCTCCCACCCTCTTCTGGTTTTTCCACAAGTGTCTGACATCACACTATATTGCAGTCCTGATCACTCAGTTTCTAAATTGCTGTGTAATTGTTGACTATGTTCTCCCCTGATACCATTTCCAGAGAGACACAAAGTCTTGTTGTTTTTCCTTCTCTCTCTGCCACTTGTGCCATCTTTCAGATTACATTTAGAGTTTGTTGTTCCTTCTCTGGAATTTTGTTTGCAGCGCTTCCCGGATAGATTCTCTGTGTATAGTTGTGCACCTTTCCATCACTTTGTCACCTAATACAGCTCAGTTTCCTGAGTTTGGATTTTATCCTCCAATCCAGGGTTCTCAGACTTCAGTGTACATCAGAATTACCTGGAGGGCTCACTGAAGTATGGACTTCTCTCAGAGTGGGGCCCAAGAATTTGCCTAACAAATTCCCAAGTGTTGCATCCGCTACTGGTGGTGGTCTGGAGACCACACTCTGAATACCACTGCTCTAGTTAGTGGTGATTCATTCAAGAGGTTCATTCAGGAGTTGATGAAGTCAGGTTGTCAGCTGGGCAGAGGATAGATTCAGTGTGGGACAAGACTGGAAGTAGAGCTAAAGTGTCCCCAGCTGTTGACCTAGTTTACTGATTGTACCACAGTGAAGAAGAGTCAGATTCCAGAAATAACGTAGGTAATAAAATTGGCAGGACTTGAGTATTAACTGTCAGCAATGAGTGATGATGGGGGTTAGAATGTCTAGGATTAATCTGAAGTTCTAGCATTAGAGACTGGGTTGAAATTGGTGTTATCAACAGAGAGGGAAAAATATTGTCACACTGCCACTTAGTTTATATAAATTAGAAAGGAAGCCATTTTGGGGAAGATGAGTTTGGGGTTGCTTGGTGAGTCAGTGTGTTGGGTCATCCAGAGAGTCTGAGGCAGTGCTGGGATGAGGGGGATGTGGATATGTGCAAAATCAGTTGAGGCATTGGAAGGTCGGAGTGTATTCCCTGAGCACTCCGGTAACGAAGTTCAATACCAACATCTGAGGAGTGAATAGAGGCTCTAAACCAGATGCCAGAACTTTGTGGAAAGGTAGAGTTGAGGCCAGCAGGGAGGGAGAAGGGTGTCTGTTGAAAAAGCATGAGGGGCTGGGCATGGTGGCTCATTCCCGTAATCCCAGCACTTTGGGAGGCCGAGGCAGACGGATCTCTTGAGTCCAGGAGTTTGAGACCAGCCTGGGGAACGTGGCAAAACCTTGTCTCTACAGAAAATACAAAGATTAGCCTGGCATGGTGGTGTGCACCTATAGTCCCAGCTACTCAAGAGTCTGAGGCGGGAGGATCACCTGAGCTGGGAGGTCGAGGCTGCAGTGAGCTGAGATTGTGCCACTGCACTCCAACCTGGGTGACAGAGCAAGACACTGTCAAAAACAGAAAAAAAAGAGAAAAAGAACCAAAACCGAAAGAAAGAAAGAAAAAAAAACCCAAGAAGCATGAGGCTTGGTTGGCAGAAGCTATTACAGATTGTCTTGGAGCTATAAAGATAAGGAGCTAAAAGAGCTACCCAGCAGCAGCAATTTAATTCTAGAAGCATGGTTTTCTAGGAAAAGCCATCAAGGAGCAGAGTGGATTGTGCCAGGAGACTCTGAGCTCCCTCTACAGGATGCTCTTGAGCACAGGCAGCCCAGTCCTTTATACAAGAATCGAATGGGAGTCGGATGAGATAGGCCCATCAGTGCAAACCATGACTCTGTGCTTGTTTCATGGGCATAAGGTTTGGGGCAGGGTGAACACATGTGGGGAACAGATAGATTGGCTGAGAATAGGGAGTACCTAATAGGAATAGGTGGGTCCTGAGATACCATTTGAAGCAAATTGTCCACCTGTAGGTACAAAAGTAAAAGACTGAAAATATTTACTAAATCAAAGAGATTTTTGCCCTAGGAAGGTTAACTAATAAGAGACTTTTTTTCCTAGGGTTTAAAAAATGTTAAATCACATTTTATGACAGTCAATTTTATATCCTAATGGAATCTCTTCTGGTAGTGAGAGAAGTTCCAGATTTTTCGTTGTAAAAATAGTCATATAATGGTCTAATATCCAGTTCTGTCACATTTTCTCATTACCTATCCCTCACAGGACTTTCCCTCAAGTCCCTACCTGTCCCCTCTGCCCCACACTCTGGCCCGGAGCCAGAGGATTGGCTCTGGGGCAGCAGGAACCTGTTGTTTTAGGAGATGGTGACCTTCGAGGATGTGGCTGTGCACTTCACCAAGACAGAATGGACTGGCCTTTCTCCTGCCCAGAGGGCCCTGTACAGAAGTGTGATGTTGGAGAATTTTGGGAACCTGACTGCTTTGGGTAAGGCCATTTTCCTCCTAGGACTCAGATCTGTACTTTTCCAGTTTCCTTCCTTCTTTTACAGCCTGGGGGGAGGAGTGTGGAGTGGAGAGGAGAGGTTGTCTCTTGTGTCCTCCACTGAGTGACTGCAGAGCTGAGGCTCAGTGACCAACTTCAAAGATTGCTGGGTAGGGAGAGGTCTTGGGTCACTTTGGTCTCCCAATGAAGGGAATTACTGTCCCCTGGTAAGAGTATGTTCCATCTTCCAAGAGGCTCTGCACAGTAAGGAATAAGTAGTAGTTGTTGTCTGGGGAAGGGCATGTCCCCTTCCCTGTGTTTGCTCATGCCTTGTGGATCTCACTGACTTACTTATCCTTGAGTGTTTTTTTTAGGAAGAAGTCACAAATGCTCAGTTTCCTGTTGATCGGAATCTCTTTGGCCTTCTCCAGTCGAGAACCCTCTTCTGTGGGTCTTATTCTTACTGAGACTCCTGGGGTTTTCCTTCTTTTGACACAGCAGATACAGGGCTGAAAAGTACCATTTTCTTCCTGTTTTCAGGGTACCCAGTTCCCAAACCTGCACTGATCTCACTTTTGGAGAGAGGGGACATGGCTTGGGGCCTGGAAGCACAGGATGATCCCCCAGCAGAGAGGACCAAAAACGTCTGTAAAGGTAGGTGAGGCAGATTTAGAACCAACAATTGTAGCGTTTTATGGAGCACTGTATTTTAAAATGAATCATGCTGGGCAGGATTTAAATAAAATAGATGATTTCACCTAATAGGTAAAATATGAAACGTTTCTCACCAATCTTAACTCTTACCAACATGTAATCACTCAGTACGTCTCATCTGCAATCCTTGAATCCATTGTTCCTTTCTGAGTTTCAACATTGCCTACCTTAGTTGTCCTCCTTGGTTGGGATGGATTTATTCAGGAGCAGTTTTTGAGCAACTTGCCATGTGCTGAACGTTGTTTAAGAAGTTCTGGCAGGTACAAGTTATGGAGACAGATGTAAAAAGCGAAAAAGAAAAGTATTAAGTGCTGTTGGGAGTGGGACGGAGAATGTGAAGGTAAAATGGGCCAGATCTTCCCAAAAGTTGGCCATAAATGGGGAGAGCTGAGTCAGATAACACTAGGAAGTCATGGCATGGGAGGAGCTTTTTGAATTCATAGGAATTCAGAGCTGAGCACAGGGCGTGAGGTGCCTTTAGAATAGGCAAGTGGATGGCTAGAGCAGGCCATTGAGAAGGTGGGTGGAGAGTCTGAGATAAAAGGCAGGTCTGAAACAGTACTCTAACACAGCTGGGTTGAAACGATCCCCAGGAAGAAAAAATGAAGGCTGAATCTTAACCATTAAGGGATATTTAATTTCAGTGAGAGAAGGAAGAGAAAGTAGACAGTCAAATAGATGGGGGCCACCAAGAGCAAACAGTGAAATTGAAGGCAGAGGCAGGAGTTTCAGTGCAGGTGGTTTGCAGAGAGCAAATACGTGGAAAATAATGAAGCTAGCACAGCACTTCAGCCTCTTATTCTAAGAATCTGAAAAAGAATCATCAAGACAATTGAGAACCTGTTGGTTTGTTCTCACACGCTTCCTCTGTCTGGTGATTATTCTTTTTCAGACTCTTGGTTACCTTGTTTACTTCAATCTCAGATTACTCTCCTCTGAACATTCTCCTTCGGAGTTCCCTTACTCCTTTAACTCACACTCATAGGATGAACTTGATTAACCATCACATGAGTCCCAGGTAACCCACATTAATGTTAAAACCAAGCCCATCATTTCATATAAAATGGATTGACTTTAACTCATTTAAAATGTCATCCAATCTTTTGGAACACAAATGCCATTTTATGGGCTGTTTGTCTCCTTTTTGCTGATAGGAGAAAGAATACTCTCAGTCTGGGTGTGTCTAAGTAAACTGTTCATCCCTTTTCAAATAGAGAGTCTAGGACAGTAGTTTCTCTGCATGTTTGAGGTTCAGCAGTTTTAGGGCGTTTCCTCATCGTCTATAGTCCATGTGTGGTTCTGCAGTTAAGAACCTCTGAACTAGGTAATCTTACAACATATTGGGAATAATACTCTCTAAGCACTTCTGTGATTTTCTTTCTCTCTGTCTTGCCACAACCCAGTGTCTGTAATGTTCAGTGTCTTAAGTCTTTTGGGACATCTGCAGGGTATGAGTTTTTAAAAAGAACAACAATTCATCCTTTGCCTTTGCTTTCTGATACTGTTCTGTTTCACTTTCTGATTCTAAGTCTTGCCAGCCCCGATGTCACTACTTGTTCTTAAGACCTGTGCCTTCTTTGGCATTTTGTAGGCTGTAAGTAGCATCAATTCAAAAGATACTAGCTCATGCCAGGGATGACCAGACATCATTCAAATATTAGAGTAGAAAAGCTTAGGAAGCAGTCTCGTGTGTTGTGTCCACTGATACCCTGTTCCACCTCAATGTTCTCTGCCTGTGTGATATTTGGCACTTTCACTTTAACAGCCTTTTCTTCCCAGCATGCTGATGTGAAAGTTGAAATGATCTCTTTTAAAGCCTTATCATTTTCAATGCTCTATTATTTCTAGTATAGTTCTCAGGTGGCATTATTTGTGTTTTCTATCTCTTATGTCAGATGTTGAGACCAACATTGACAGTGAGTCCACATTAATCCAGGGAATTTCTGAAGAAAGAGATGGGATGATGTCACATGGTCAGCTGAAGAGTGTCCCTCAGAGAACTGACTTCCCAGAAACACGTAATGTGGAAAAGCACCAGGACATCCCCACAGTGAAAAATATCCAAGGAAAGGTTCCAAGAATCCCCTGTGCAAGGAAACCTTTCATATGTGAGGAGTGTGGGAAATCCTTCAGCTACTTTTCTTACTATGCTAGACACCAGAGAATCCACACTGGGGAGAAACCTTTTGAGTGTAGTGAGTGTGGAAAAGCCTTTAATGGTAATTCTTCGTTAATTCGGCACCAGAGGATTCACACTGGAGAGAGACCCTATCAGTGTGAGGAGTGTGGGCGAGCCTTTAATGATAATGCAAATCTGATCAGGCATCAGAGAATCCACAGTGGGGACAGACCCTATTACTGTACAGAGTGTGGGAATAGTTTCACGAGTAGTTCCGAGTTTGTTATACATCAGAGAATCCACACTGGGGAGAAACCCTATGAGTGTAATGAGTGTGGCAAAGCTTTTGTTGGTAATTCACCCCTACTTCGGCATCAGAAAATCCACACTGGAGAGAAACCCTATGAGTGTAATGAGTGTGGCAAAAGCTTTGGAAGGACTTCCCATCTAAGCCAACATCAGCGTATTCACACAGGGGAAAAGCCTTATTCTTGTAAAGTATGTGGACAAGCCTTCAATTTTCATACAAAACTAACTCGGCACCAGAGAATTCACAGTGAGGAGAAACCCTTTGACTGTGTAGATTGTGGAAAAGCCTTCAGTGCTCAGGAACAATTAAAAAGGCATCTGAGAATTCATACTCAGGAGTCTTCCTATGTATGTGATGAGTGTGGAAAAGCCTTGACTAGCAAAAGAAATCTTCATCAGCATCAAAGAATCCATACTGGAGAGAAACCCTATGAGTGTAGCAAGTATGAGAAGGCCTTTGGGACTTCTTCCCAGCTAGGTCACCTTGAGCATGTCTACTCTGGAGAGAAGCCTGTGCTGGACATTTGTCGTTTTGGCCTCCCAGAATTTTTTACCCCCTTTTACTGGTAATAGTACACTCCAGTGAAATGTACTGAGTGGATTCCGTCTTCTACTCAGGAATGGAATGTGTGACACAGGCCTGACTCAGCCTCTGATCCATCCCTCAAGCCACAGTTAATGATTCAGATGTCAGTAGATGACCAAAGATGGTTCAATTAGAGTCCCAGGATTGCAAGAGCTAATAGGAACAAATACTCTCCCCCCGCCCACCCCCATTGGTTTTAATGCTGAGAAGAAGAACTAGACTCTTACAGAGGTGAGAATGAAGTCCACACAGCAAAAATGCATCTGAGAATTGGAGAGCAGTAAAAGACTGAAGATAATGTTTGAACAGCCACATACACCATGCCTGAAGCTAAAAATATATACGGGTTTTTGAATTGCAGCAGCCAATAAATTCCATTTTTGTTTGGTTGGTTTTGGCTTTGGCACACCTGAGTTAGGTTTTCTTGCCTTGGAACAGAATTTTGACTTAAACAGTGTTGTCATTGTAGCAGTTGTTTGAAGTTTTCAGGGATAACATACCTGATGGAGAAATGTTTTGTGTGTATGATATATGGGAAAGTCTTTAGTTATAGTCATGGCAGCTCCTCAACCCCATGATTGTGATGAGATTGGGAAGCCCACTGTAACACTGGAGAGCCCAGGTTATATCAGACACCACTAGTAGATAGAAGTTCTAACAACTTGAGCTCTGTAACAAAAATCTCATTGTACTACAAAATTATGTCTGCACCAGTGAATCCATTCTCAAGAAAAGTCTTAACTAGGAAACTAAAAGCTTTCACTCTTAAAGCTTTCATTTTCTGTTTATTCAGTTTTTTATTTGGAATGGATGCTACTCTAGGCCTTAAACTGAGAAATGCCAGGCTATTGTAGCTATTATATCTTGGTATTTGCCATTTTAATTCCTAGGACAGCACGCCCGCTTTGCCCTTGACCTGGCTAGGGAGCCAAGGAAATGCCATGGTTCTTGGTCATAAGACACACTGCAGAGATCTCTCAGTAGGAAAACAGGGCTGGCCCTTTTCTTTGGTGATGAACACAAACTGCACCCTTTTTTTCTCCCACGTGTCCTTCCGCTGCCAGCCAGTGTTGGAATCTCCCTACCCAATTCCAGACTTAATTGCTTACTGCGTCTAGCACCTGGGTGGCTTCACCACCTCTTCCTTACTTGTCAGCAGATGAATGAGCAGTTGTATCATGTGCTTGGGTTGACCAATGAATGATAGACTTGGGGAATTGAGTAAACACCTTTTAATTGAAGTATAACACAAACATAAAAATGCATGAGTCAGCCAGGCGCGGTGGCTCACACTTGTAATCCCAGTACTTTGGGAGGCCGAGGTGGGCGATTCATCAGGTCAAGAGATCGAGACCATCCTGGCCAACATGGTGAAACCCCGTCTCTACTAAAAATACAAGAATTAGCTGGGCGTGGTGGTGCATGCCTGTAGTCCCAGCTGCTCAGGAAGCTGGGGCAGGCGAATTGCTTGAACCCGGGAGGCGGAGGTTGTAGTGAGCCGAGATTACACCACTGCACTCCAGCCTGGTGACAGAGTGAGATTCCTCAATAAAATAAAATAAAACCATGAATCATGGTTGTACAACTTGAATTTTTACAAAGAACATAGCCTTATAATCACCAAGATAAATAAATAGAACATAGGACCTTACAAGTCTCCTGTACCTTGTTAGAGTCCTTATGGAACCTCTACCCTGACTTCTATCACCAGAAATTATTTTGCCTGTTTTTGTTCTTTTGTGTCAATGGAATCATCAGTACAGATTCATTCTCATTGCTATGTCGTATTCCATTACATGAATATACCACAATTTATTGCTTACTGTCGGTGGGCATTTGGGTTATTTCCAGGGGGATCTTTTTGAAGGCAGAAAACCTAAAAGCCACTCAGAAAAAAAAACTGGTTAAAGTAACCATGGTCAGGGACTGCTTCAAATGCTGCTGCATCAGCCCAGCTGCCCTGTAGTAAATGATAACAGCAGTAATTTTTTTTTGGCACTTAACATGTGACAGACACTTTCCTAGTCACTACACAGATTTACTCAATATGATAACTTTATGAAGAGTGTGCTACAATTAACTCCATGTTACAGTTGGGAAGACATTAATTAGGTTGCCTAAGGACACAGTAGTGGAGTAGGTATTCGAATACAGGCAGTCTGGTTTCAGAACTCATGTTCTAGCTGTTGCACAGTATGGCCCTATGGAAGTTGTATGTAAAGTATGTGACACTGTATCTTGGTAACAGAAGAGAGATTGTTGGAAGAAACAGATATGGTCCTTAGGGGTGGAGGAGAATATTAGGATAAAGTCAAGATGGGGAGGCTTTGCTTGGCTTCACACAATGGGAGGTGGAGAATTGGCATCAAAGAGGAAACCATAGGTTGAGATAGAATCATAAAATATGTCCAGTACAAACTGTCCCAGGAGAGTTGTCATGAGGGAGGTAGCATGCCTCTAGTAGGGAGAGGATCCGGTTCTTAGCACTGCCTCCCTGTCTTATTGGCTGTGTACCTCTCAACAGCGTCTGAAAATGGGTGTCTTCATATCATGTACCTGAAGCAGAGAGCTGGCCCGACTGAGGTCCAAGTAAGGCCCCCCAACTTCAGCCTTGAGGTGTAGGGATAGCTGAGTGAGGTTTGTTTCCTTTTCTCTGTTCTTCACTACTGAGTAGTTAGCTCCCTTGGCCCCTGACCCCAGTGCCACTGTCAGGAAGCCCCCTCCAATTGAGTAACTGTCTTTGAATCAGTTATGATTAATGTACTCGTTTTCTTTGGCTTCTTAACAGAAATCTGTTCTCACAGTTCTAGAGGCTAGAAGTCTGAAAACAATTTCCCTGGGCAGAAACAGTTTGTCAGCAAAGCCATACTCCCTCAGAAGGCTCTAGGGCAGAATCTGGTCTTTCTTTAAGCTGCTGGTGGCTGCCGGCATTCCTTAGTGGCAACATCACTGCAATCTCTGCTGTCTTCACATCACCTTCTCTGTGTCCAATCTCCCTGGCCTCTCTCTCATAAGGGCATTTGTGATGGCATTTAGGACTCACCCAAATAGTCCAGGATAATTATTTATCTTAGGACCCTTAATTTAGTGACAACTGCAAGAACTTTGCCATTTAGGGCAACATTCATGCGTTCCAGGAATCAGGACCTGGTATCTTTGGATGGGTATTATTCAGCCCACCACCGTCACTGAGGTTCATCTGTATATATCAGAAAACCCCTAAACAAGACACCCTAATACAAGATAGAATTTTTCTTAGGAGTCTGGAGATAGCCCAGGGCAGCTAAGGCAGTTCTACAATGTTAGTGGGGACCAAATCTCCTTCCAAAGTACCACTTGGCCATCCTCAATGGGGCCATTATCCTCATGGTCCAAGGTGGCTGCTAGAACTCCAACCATCAAGAGCTTGTTCCAGACAGTAGAGGAAGGGGAAGAAGAGCATGGCACTTTGCCTTAAGGAAGACTTTCTGTAAGTACCATAGAACATTTCCAGTTAAATGTTTATTTCAAGAACTTAGTCACCTGACTATACCTGGCTCCCGAGGACACTATATCCTTCACCTGAGTGGCAGTGTACTACATCAAATAACTTCGAGATTTTGTTTAGGAGGAGGAAGGAGAACAAGTGTTTGAGTGGATAGCTAGCAGCCTCTGCCATGGCGCATGACTGCCATTGTATTCTACATGTCTAAAAGCTTTGGATAAGGAAAAAAAAATTGGTATTTGAATTTCAATGTGCATAACAACTCTAGGGTAGTTGCTATATTTATCCCCAGTTTACAGGCTGGGTATAGTGAAATCTAGTAGATTGATGGGAGAATAGAGCAGATACCTCTGAGATGCACGCACATCACTTTGGCACACCTCTTGCTTTCGCTGTAGCTGCGGTGAACAGTTGTATGTGAACTTAGAGCTCCCTTTGCACTGCTCAAACACTCCACATGCCTTCTGACATTCTGCTTCAGGCACTTTTCCAGAGCTCACTCAACTAGGAAGCACAGCCTGCGAATACACAGGGCAAGTTAGCAATCCCAGAAAAACCCTTAATGATGCTGGACAAGAGTTTGAGGATAAAGGTTCCAGTTTCCCATCTTTCAAGTGGACAATTAGAGGAGGAATTCTTTACTCTTTCCTGGAGGTCCCAGTGCTCATAGCATCAACCTTTAGAACACTTCATATTGTCATTTCCTCCTATCCTGTCTCACTCCTTGGGTTCTTTTAGTACTGCTTCCTGGGATCATCTCCTGAATAAATGTGCGTTCGAGTCCTTGTCTCAAGCCCTGCCTTCAGGGAAACCCAAACTAATGAGAGGGAGACAGAACTTTCAGGCAATGAGAATGTGTCTTATATTCTAGTAGTGAATATTAGTAGTCTACTCAACTGAAATCCTTTAGATGTTAGAGGATGGCCCAGATGAGCATTTTTGTGATGAAATCCCATTCTGTTTTCAGTGGTGGCTGCACATTTCTTATTTCTACTTCAAAGAAGCTTCCTCTCAGAGCAACTATGCTGTGGGGCACAACGTTTTCGTGTGTCACTGAAGTGCCTAATTTTAGATAGACTAAGTTGTTTATATAACTGTAGCTATGTGTGGCCAGGAGGTAAAACATGGTAAATATCACGGTTATCAGCCTGTAAGGAGGACCTGGCAATGCATGTCCCTCAGATTATCAACTAAAACAAGCACTTGGAGCCATGCAAATAAAAGAATCCTTAGAAGTATGCCACATACAATAAATGATTTTATTAATTACTCAACTTTTTTTTTGACACAGGGTCTTGCTCTACCACCCAGGCTGGAGTGCAGTGGCACGATCATGGCTCACTGCAGACTTGCCCTCCCAGGCTCAAGTGATCCTCGTACCTCAGCCTCCCTAGTAGTTGGGACTACAGGCATGCGCCACCACACCCAGTTTATATATATATATAAATTTTTTTTTTGAGATGGAGTCTCGCTCTGTTGCCCAGGCTGGAGTGCAGTGGCATGATCTCGGCTCACTGCAACCTCTGCCTCGTGGGTTCAAGCGACTCTTCTGCCTTAGCCTCCTGAGTAGCTGGGACTACAGGCAAGCGCCACCACGCCTGGCTAATTTTTGTATTTTTAGTAGAGATGGGGTTTCACCATATTGGCCAGGCTGGTCTCGAACTCCTGACCTTGTGATCTGCCCACCTCAGCCTCTCAAAGTACTGGGATTACAGGTGTGAGCCATTGTGCCCATCAATTTATGTATATTTTGTAGAGACAAGGTTTCACTATGTTGCCCAGGCTGGTCTAGAACTCCTGAGGCCAAGCAATCCTCCCACCTTGGTCTCCCAAAGTGCCGGAATCACAGACATGGGTCACTGTGCCTGGCAATAAATATTTATTTAGTGACTTCTGTGTGCTAAGCAACATGCTAGATGATAGCACATGATGACAGAACATGTTACTGATGAGCAACATGGAGCTTCTCTCCAGTTCCTGGTGCTACTGCCTTGTTCTGAGCCACCAACATTTCTTTCCTAGACTACCACAATTGCTCCTTAAGTAGTCTCCCCACTTCTGCTCTTGAATCCTTCTAATCTATCTGCCAGTCAGCAGCCAGGTGTGCTTTTAAAAATATGGAACATAACATGCTTTTCTTAAAACATTTCAATGGGTTTCCATTGACCTTGGAATAAAATCCAAACTCTTTAACATGGCCTGCAAAGCTCTAATGACTTCATGGCGCAGCACTTCCTCCCTCCTCTCTCCCCATGATGTGTC
Organism: Homo sapiens; assembly: GCF_000001405.40. Classification (NCBI taxonomy): domain Eukaryota; kingdom Metazoa; phylum Chordata; class Mammalia; order Primates; family Hominidae; genus Homo; species Homo sapiens. Next base: position 71,469,407 of record NC_000016.10, on the reverse strand, counting down.
AAGCTTTTTTTTTTTTTTTTTTTCCACTGAAGGGCCTACACATGCTATTCCTCCTGCCTGGAATGCTGTCTCCTTGATTATGTGCCCAGATAGTTCATTCTTATCTTTCAGGTCTCAGCCCAAGATCAAGATCACTTCCTCAGGCCTTTCCTTACCTCCAAGTTAAAATGGTATTCCCTTGATATTATCTCCTAAACACCTTGCTCTTTACCTCCCTCACACGAATGAAAGTTTACAATAATATATTTATCCAGGTGTGGATTTACTTAAAAGTTGTGTCCCCCACTACAGTCTATGTTCTACAAAGACTGTAACATGTAAGCTTTGTTTTTCTTCATCTATAAAATAGATATAATACCTACTGGATCTTCTTCAGTATGGATGTGAAGAAAGCATTACATAATAAACATAAATGTGTCTAATAGTTAATGAAGTGCAATTCAGATTAAAGATGTCTTTGGGCCAGGCATCATGGCACATGTCTATAATCCTAGCACTTTGGGAGACTAAAATGGTTGGATCCCTTGAGGCCAGGAGTTCCAAACCAGCCAACGCAGCATAGCGAGACCCCATCTCTACAAAAAAGAGAAAAGAAAGAAAAATGTTTTCATGGCTCAGAACACCTGAATGCAAGGTAACTCACCAGGAAAGGAGTGTAAGTTAGTTGAATAAAGCAATTGGAACACACGAAGTTTCAGGTTTTATTACATTTTTATTATGTTCAAATAGTGTTGAGGTAATTTATTGTTAACAACAAGAACAATACATAGCTTCCTTGTCTTTTAAATCTTTCAAATACAAATAATTCATGTTAACAAAAATTTATATGATGTAAGAAAGCTTCCCAGAAGAGCCTCTCTTAGCCATTTGGGCCCACAATAAATTATCATCCTTGGAATCTCTGGATTTTGAGGCAGAGTGATAGAGAAGACAAGTAGGAACTGGGGCACTGGGTGATACGTGTCAGGTTCTGACCAAATGAATTCAAAGAAAGGAATAGGGTGAGATTAAGTATTTGGATATCAGGCTTAAAATATAGCCAGAGGGAGGCTGGGCATGGTGGCTAATGCCTGTAATCTCAGCACTTTGGGAGGCCAAGGCAGGTGGATCACCTGAGGTCAGGAGTTCGAGACCAGCCTGGTCGATATGGTGAAACCCCATCTCTACTAAATATACAAAAATCAGCCAGGTGTAGTGGTGGGCGCCTGTAATCCCAGTTACTCGGGAGGCTGAGGCCAGAGAATCGCTTGAACCCGGGAGGTGGAGGTTGCAGTGAACTGAGATCGTGCCACTGCACTCCAGACTGGGTGACAAGAGTGAGACTCCTCAAAAACACACACACATATATAGTCAGAGGGGACCAACACACCAGGTTGGAGGACAATGGTTCTGAGGCCAGCCCCAGAACCTTGGAGAGCGCCACAGACACACCCCCCCCCCCCCCCCCACTGAGTCGGAGCTAGCACCTTGGACAGCACCACGGCTTCTCTGTTTTCTACTGCTGTCCTTTGTACCTGGATGACACTAAACACAGGTTGTAGTGGTCACTGTTAATTTCTTGGGGCTTTCCACTCCGGTGTACCTGGCAATTGTAATCCTCTAAAATCAGCAGTCTTTTACAAGGTTCTTTATGACACGGTGGGGGTTGAGATTCTTTCTCTTCCTTCTAGAAACTTCAGCATCAGAGCTGATAATTGGACCGATTCCCTTGGGAGGTCTATGGGATTGGTACCTAGTATCATTGTGTTATGCCAGAGGCCAACGTCCTTCAAGTTAGGGGAAAATGTGTAATACCTGGTCATACTATGTAAGGAAGAATGCTCAGGGCTCTTCCTAGGCACATATAAGCAAATTATCAGGCAATACATGTGAGAAAGAAGGTATGTTGTATTCATTTGGAGACAGGCTGCTTGATTCTTTTTCATGCCCTCTCCTCACGTGCTAACCCCCACCTGTTAACCTATTTTCAGAAACATACAATGGATTGGATCTGCTTTCTCTGTGGTAAAAATCTTCCGAACTTGATTGTTGTTAGCATGTTTCTGTGAGGTTATGCACAAAAAACTTTGAAGGAGTTTGGCACTGTAGGTCTTTCTCCTACTTATAATATGTCATATTTACAAACTTATGCATTACTAACTTCATTACTGACAAATAAAAAAGTGTAATCAGGTCCACAAATAATTTAGAGGAGGGGAAAAGTTAACATTAATTGAGCAACTACTGAATCCTGGTCCCTGTTGTATGTACTTTAAGCAAAACATTATGTGTAGTATTTACAACAACTGTGAACTATTATCTCATTTTTCAGATGAATCATTGGAATTTCAGAAAAGCTAAGTGGTTGTCCAAGGTCTCATAGCTAGTAGGTGAAGAAATCAGGACTTCTCAGTCCTGTACATTTATTTTTAATTTTCTTTTCTCTGTGTTTGTTTTTGAATAGTTTCTGTTGCTATGTCTTCAAATTCACTCATCTTTTTTCTGTAATGTCTAATCTGCCGTTAATCCCATCCAATGTATTTTTATTGCACATTATAGGTTTTTATCTTTAGAAGTTTGATTTGGGTCTTTTTTATATGTTTCATTTCTCCACCAAACTTTTAGATGTATCAGATATGGTTGTAATAACTTTTAAATGTCATTGCCTACTAATTCTGTTGTGACTATTTCAGAAGTCTATCAGGATTAGTTTTTAATGTAATTTCTTGGATTATGAATTACTGGTCCAAGTAGATAGTATTAATTTAAACTCTATACTTAATGATGCAAACTATGATTATAAATTTTTAGAAGACATTTCTACTACCACTTCAAAGCTTAGGCAAGGACCATAAGATTCTTTGTTATCTCTCTTTGTTCATGAGATTTTTAAAAAATTTATCCTTTCATGATTGGATGAGTGTATGTGTGTGAGAAAAGTCTCTGTTCCTATTCCTTGTTCCTGTAATATGCCTCCTGCATATTATAATTCTGCTTTCTCAGATATCAAGACTTACAACTCTTCACCATTCCCACCCCTGTTGGCCAAAGCATCAGCTGAGGTCCTCAGTCCAAACCAATGCCTCTGGTTTTAGTTTCTTGTTTGGTTTTGGTACGTGGGTACACTTTCCTGTGAGTTAAGTATTTAAAATGATGTCGAATATTATATCTTATTCTAAATTTCTAGATTCTAGTTTATATTATTTGCTACATTGCCCTCAACTGAATTCTGCGTAATATTTATTGTCTTAAACTTATTGTTGTGAGATATTAATATAGCTGTGCCATTTTCCCTTTCCCTTAATACTTGTCTGATATATCTATTTTCCATTCTTTGACTTTCAATACTTGTGCTTTCTTAAGTTTCAGTAGTACCTTATAAGCATCTAACATTTTCTTTCCTTCCTTCCTTCCTTTCTTTCTCTTTCTTTCTCTTTCTCTCTCTCTTTCTTTCTTTCTCTCTCCTTCTCTCTCTCTTTTTTTTTTTGACGGAGTCTCATTCTGTCACCCAGGCTGGAGTGCAGTGGCATGATCTTGGCTCACTACAACCTCCGCCTCTCGGGTTCAAGCAATTCTCCTGCCCCAGCTTCCCCAGTAGCTGGGATTACAGGTGTGCGCCACCACGCTGGGCTAATTTTTGTATTTTTAGTAAAGACAAGGTTTCACCATGTTGGCCAGGCTGGTCTTGAACTCCTGAGCTCAGGTGATCTGTCCACGTTGGCCTCTCAAAGTGCTGGGATTATAGGCATGAGGCACTGTCCAGTCACTTCTAACATTTTTTCTGCGTAAATTTTAGAATCATTTTCACAAGTTTTAAAACAAATCCTATAGGGGTTTTATTTGGTATGACGTTGGACTTATGGATTAAATAAAGAAAACTACCCTTCCTACTGAAGGATTACCTGTGCCTTTCCATTTACACAAGGGGTTTTCATTGGTTTAGTCCCCAAATGTTTAAAATTTTCTTGATATATGTCTTATACATTTATTAGTAAACTTATTCCTATATATGTTTGGTTGCTTTGAGAATAAGACCTTGCCCTACCCTAGTACATTTCTCCACATAGATTAAATGATTTATTCACAGAACTCACAACATCAATAAGTAGGTAAAAATTTTGTAGCCTGAAAACAGCCTTGAACTCCTGGAATGAACATCAACCAGACAGTTGTTTTGCCACAGTTTTCATGAGAAGAAGCAGGCAAAGCCATCTTTACTCTGTCCTATTAAAACTGGAAACAACAAGAAATATTTTTTCTTTTTTGAGACGGAGTTTCGCTCTTGTCGCCCAGGCTGGAGTGCAATGGCGCTATCTCAGCCCACCACAACTTCCGCCTCCTGGGTTCAGGCGATTCTCTGGCCTCAGCCTCCCGAGTAGCTGGGAATACAGGCATGCGCCACCACGCCTGGCTAATTTTGTATTTTTAGTAGAGACAGAGTTTCTCCACGTTAGTCAGGCTGGTCTCGAACTCCCAACCTCAGGTAACTCCCCCCACCTCAGCCTGCCAAAGTGCTGGGATTCCAGGTGTGAGCCACCACGCCTGGCCAACAAAAAAGATTTTTTTTAACATGAGAAGATTGTCAGCTTTCCCTGGTGGTCAGAGAGGAAGGGCTTTAGAGAGGTCTTGGGGCTGCAGGGACAAAGGGTGCAGGAGAAGAAGCCTTAGAGCTGAGCAGGAGGAAACTGACACTACATGGCTGCAGGCCCAGCATGGAAATGAACTTCTAGAATGCTGTAGTCGAAGAGCCAGCTTAATTTTTTAACTCTTGTGTTGTGTGATTTTTCCATCCTTCCTCATTTCTAGGGGTATTAGTTAGGCTATGGGCTTGGAAATTAATTTGAAGAACCCAAATAAATGTGGTTTAAATTTGATGAAAGTTTATTTCTCTCTCATGTATCATCAGAAAGTAAGCCATCTGGGGCTGATATAGCAGCTCTGTGCCTCCTCCTTTTAGTTGCTCTGTCATCCCCAGCAGCCACACCCTTATTCACATGGTCCAAGATGCTCTGATGCTCTCCCTTGTCAACATTCCACCTGGTCGATGAAGGTTTGGGGGCAGGGAGGGCATGTCCCTTGTCTTTAAGGACACAGCATCACATTTTCTTACAGCCTGTTTGCCAGAAGTTGGTCACATGGACACACTTTGCCTTAAAGAATGCTGGGAAATGTGTGCTTTTTCCCTGAGCTGTCATGTCCCTTGCTAGAGATTCTGTAACCTTATAAGAATGGAAGAACAGGGGCTGACAGACAAGAACTGATCTCCATCTCTCCAGACCTACCATAGAGCTTTTGAAACTTGGTTTGTGCATTATTATCTCATTTTTCTGATATGTCTGAAGTAGGAGTAGGAGCTTTGTGGTTATTTAGAGAGCTTTATTTTCTCAACTGTAAAATTAGGCAATGGGTTTATGATGCAAACATTTGGGGCCAGCATTTATGTGATCTGATTCCTTCCTATTTCTTTCAACAAGTCCTCACTCCTGATTTCTGACCCTAGAAAGAAGTGAAAACCAGAACTTATTGACAAGAGCAACGTAATCCCCAGCTATTACTCTGCCCAATCATTTTCTTAATGAACTCATTTTGGAAAACAGTGAAGATCAGGGTCAGGGCAAGGCAGAGAAGGGCACCTGGCCATGGTCACTGTCAAGGTCCAAGGCATAAGACATATCCTACCCTTGGGGACACACAAAGTAGGCTTCTGCCTAAGAGTTAGGGCTGGAGCCTTTGGACCATTGTCAACAACAAATGTTTATTGCTCTCCTTCTTTCTGCCAGTTATTCTCTAGCTGAGGATGATGATGTTGAACAAGATAGATACAGTGTCTGTTCCCTGCAGCCACCAGAGAAGACAGACATATAAATAAACTATCACCATTAAGTAAGTACACAGTGCTGTGATGGCACATAAATGAGTGTCCTGCCTTATTCTGGGTGATGAGGGAAGGCTTGCTTCCCATGCAAAATGGGATTTGAGCTCACACTTCCAGTAACAGTCAAGATGGAGGGTAGGAATGGGAAGGGAAGGGCATTCTAGATTTAGAGAACAGCATTTTTAGCATGTAGGGCTGAGGTAGAGTCAGGGAATGAATGGGAGTGATAAGAAGCCACAGAGGCAAGTGGGAGCCAAATACCAGTCTCCAGTGCAGCAGCGTTGGATGGATCAGAGCTGGAAGGAAGAAAAGCCCACATTACCAGGGTTAGGGGGTGTGTGAGGGGGTGGGGATTTTAAGGGTCGTCCAATCCAGTGGCATTTAGTACTGTCTCCCTTCCCCCAGGGCTCATTTTGGAATTTTATGGTAGGTATTTTGTTATATTTGGTGTCAGTGGTAACATTGCTACTAGCGTTGTGGATAGGAGCCAGGATCCTGCAATGTACAGGACAGTCCTGCCCACTGAAAAAATGTTCACACTTTCAAATGTCTTGCTGAACATTCAGGTAGGTGAAAATTCTATTTCTAAATTATCTGAATCTAAACCTGTTTTCTGGATAAACATGTATTTTTGCACAGTTTTAACATACACTGATCTTCCAGGAATGTAATTATTGTATAATCAAGAGACGATTGTCCTGTGTTTCATTCAGAACTTCACGAAAACATGTTTGCCATTTTGGATCATAATTTTGTGACTTTTGCAACAATGTAAGTCACAGCTTTGTGGCTGTGGCACTCAGACAACGTCTATGTGTAAAGGCGACCACCTTATTAGGTCTCCTGCAGCAGCCAAGACCAAACACATTGAAGTATGTGTTTTTAAACGACAGATGACGGTCCTCTTTTTTTTCTCTTTCATTACACTTAAGGCATAACATTAGTTTTTAATATGTAGGTGTGTATGTTATGTATGATTTTCTAGGCCATTATATATGAATATCAGGTCAGGAGAATAAGATGGACATTACAAACTATTTGTTAGAAAAAGGGGGCATTGGGTGTGACAGCGCGCCATCCACTGGTCCATTTCCAAGACTCCCACACGTGGCTGCACCTGCAGCTTCACCTCCCCGGGCTGGGTCCCCGCTTGGCTCTGATTCTTACCTGCCCCATTCCCCAGGGGTAACAGTCACCGTGGGCCAGACCCGAGCTAGCCGACAGGGATGCGGCCACAGCTGGCCGGGCGTGACCACCACCGAGGCGCAGCGACCTTGCTCCTAGAGAGGCCCGGCCGCCTGGTGACGCACTTCCGGCAGCGCCGGGGAGCAGTCCGCTACGGAGGTGAGTGCAGGGCTCCGGGCGCTGTGTGCCGTGCCCTGTCCCCCAGGCTCTGGGTCCGGTTGAGACGCACTCCCACCCTGGGTGCTGCAGGGTCTCCCGTGGCCTACGCTGCCAGGAGGCCCAGGCTGGGAGAGGGAGCAGGGCGGCGGCCCGGGGTGCTCTTCCGCGCTCCTCGACTCCAGCTTTGGTCTTTGTGGCTCAATAGCTTGCGCCCATTGGAAGGGGAAACGCACGTTGCTGTCCCAGCCACGAGGCCCTGAGCATTTAGCACTTGGTCGACGGGGGAAGATGTGTCGGTGCAGCTAAAAGATGGAATATTTGCGGGCGTGAAGCGGCCCGAGGTGATACCACAAGTCTTTTGACATGCTGAGGTCTGGCAGGAACATTAACCTATGTGCATCCCGAGTATGGACCGTGTGCTCCCAGGCTCCTGACATAGGGTCATGAATTAGGGCCGAGTGGGAGCGCAGAGCCCCTCCCAGTCACCCGGCAGCAGAAGCAGCCCGGCTTTTGGAGGACATTGTCTCCTGGAGCAGTGTCAGTCCCAAAAGGTAACTCAGCCCTGCTTCTCTCGGCTCAGGGTTGACAGTGACCTGGGAATGACTTCTACAACGTAATTACGAATTCACTCAGTTTTAGAATATATTTAGTAGTCTCAGAATCGCTAATTCATACCCCCATGAAAAGCAAATTTACTACCTAAAGTACAGTACTTGGATACAGGTCTTTTTGTCTTTACTCTTATGGTATTTAGTCAAAATACTGTTTTCCAAAGTTGCTTACCCCTTTTCTTTCCTACCACTTAAGTGTGGTTATGTTCACTGTAGTATAGTTAAGCACATTGGCTGTTCTTTGTATTACATTTTGGGTCCTCAATTTCACCCCATCCTTGCTGGTTTATATATTTATTTAAAATATATATTTATATGTTACATATATAGTAGTAAACATCCATGAACACACCACCCAATTAAGAAAGAGAAGATTGCCAGTACTGCTGAATTTATCAATGTGTTCCTCCTCCTCAACCCAACTCCCAGCCTCCAACCCCTAGAGGTAACAGTTATATTGACTTTTGTGTTAATTGTAGCCCTGTTATTTTAAAAAATAATTACATATGCATGTATCTGTAAGCAATGTACTTAAATTTTTTTTTTGAGCTTCATATAAATGGCACCATTGTGTGTATAAGTCATCTGGGACTCGCATAATTCAATGTTAAGTTTCCAAATTCATTCTGTGTGTAGCTTCTGGGTAATGTTCCATTGTAAAAACTGTATGAAAATTTATCGATGTATTTTCAATGGACATGTGGGTTGTTTTCAGTGTTTTGTTATTAAAATGTGCTGATAATATTTTTGTACGTACTTCCTACATATGAGAGTTTCTCTAGTGTGTAAGTTTTTAAAATTAGGCACAAATGTTGAATTATGTTAAACATCTTTGGCATCTGTTGAGATGGACAGTGTGTTTATCTTTCTTTGATTTATTAATGTGAAAAATATACTAATTAGTATCTTCGTGGGATAATCCTACTTACTCATGATGTATTTAATGAACTATTGGAGTCTATTCCTTGATAGAATTTTTGCATTAGAATTCATAAATGAGACTGGTCTGTAGTTTTTGCATCAGTATTGTGCTGGCACCATAAAAAGAATTGGGAAACTTACTTTGCTGTGCTCTGCTACGGTTTACATAGTGTTAGAATTACTCATTTCCGAAACATTGAAAGAATTTGCTCATGACACATCTGAGCTCAGTGTTTTGTGAGAGTTAGTTCTTCACTGGCCATCTTGGTTTAATTAGGTAAAAGTAATCAAGGATTATGTAGAAAATCTATATAATGTCATAACAGGAAAAAACCTGGAATCGTATTTAAAAAAAAAAACTATCCCCTTGGGAGGGAGCCAAGAGACCAAAGAATGCCTTGGACGAGTCCAGCTTGGCAAGTAGATGAGTTTATTAGGACTTACATACTTACTCCTGGATGGCAGCAGGACAGCTTTAGAGACCTGTGATGCCCCTCGTCTCTAAGTACTTTTTAGAGAATTTTCTGGCTGTTTGCCTACTGCATTTAAACGATGAGACTTTTCTTGGTAGGTTCTCATATACTTTCTAGGATGTTTACGTTCTTGCAAACACCTGCTCCTCTGCTGAGCCCCATGGTCTTGACTCACTGCCCGGTCTTCAAGGTTCAGGCAGCAGGTATACACCCTTGACTAGCTGAGCGGGGTAGCTATCACACTACATATGTAATTGGTAGAGTTGGTTTATTATCTAAAAATGGAGTTGTATATTCTCCCATCACAGAATAAGTTTTCTCTTTAAACACCAGATAATATATTTTTTTAAATGGACATGAGTCACAAAAAAACCCTGAAAAATGTGTAAAGTAGAAGTTAGTAGATTGGGTTATATAACCATCATGCAATAAAGCCAGAACTTATAAACAGAAGAAATTAGCAACAGTAAACTATCCTAAGCAATTACTAGGTCAGAGACAAAACAGAATTGCTGACTGACTATAAAACAGTAATTAAAACATGAAATATAAAAACCTCTGGAATGTGGCAAATAGTGTATCCCAAGGAAAATTTGTGGCCTTATAGGCTTTAATTGCCAAATAGGAAGAATGAAAATAAATGAATAAGTCATGCAACCTCAAGAAGGTGGGAAAAAAGCCTTTTGTAGTCTAAGCTTCCCCAAAAGCAGAACGTGGAACAAAGATTTGTATGTAGGAATTTATTTAGGAATATGGTCACAGGGGCAGAGTGAAAGACAAGGGGAGTGAAACAGAGATGGGAGAACTGGTACAAGGATGCATTGGTATGCTCGGCCCTCAACAGGCTCTGCCTTGCAGGGCGTTTGAGGAGCCTTGGAGTCTTAAGGCTGCCCCGCTGGGGGATCGACGGGGAAAACATTTATCCATTGGTTTCTCTCCCCTATTGGTCAAGGGGGTCCCACAGGTGTTAATGCCTCTGCACTTCAGGGCCCAGCAGGTGTCCACAGGTGTCCCACATAGGACACCAGAGAAGCCCCAGGGCAGGAACCAGGCATAGGTGATGTAGGTCCTTGTGAAGGTTCTGGTAGCTTGCAGCTTCACAAAGCTGACTAACCTCTGTAGAACTGGACTGAGGATGGGATAAGAGGATTGGAGTGGTGCTTACACTGCCCCTTACAGAGCTGAAGGAACAAACTAAGAGCAGAATTAGTGAATTTAAAACAAATAGAAGAAAGTAGTGTTGCTCAACTAGAAAAGCTGGTTCTTTGAAAATAAAAGGAAACCACATTAAAATAAGTAAAACACTGCTCAGCCTAACTGTATTAGTCTGCTTGGGCTGCCATAACAAAATACCATAGACTGGGTGGCTTCACCAACATACTTATTTCTCACAGTCCTGGAGACTGGAAGTCCAGGATCAAGGTGCCAGCTGATTTTGGCTCCTGCCAGGGTTGCCTTCCTGGCTTATAGATAGTAGCCCTCTCGTTGTGTCCTCACATGGGGGAGGCGGGGAGTGAGTGGTTTCGTGGGCTCTGGGTCTCTCCTTCTTCTTGTAAAGGCATCACCCCTATTGGACCTCATTTAACCTTAGGACCTTTAGTCCCACCCTTAGGACCTCATTTATCCTTGTAACCTCCTGACAGGCCCCGTCTCCATATACAGTCACATTGGAGGCTAGAGCTTCAACATATGAATTTGGCAGGGGCATAAATGTTTAGTCTCTAACTCTAACCCTGGGAAAAAGGTCTAGAAAGCACATATATTCAAAAGAAGAAGTGGGAAAAGCAAACTAGCTCTGGATATGGAGGAAATGGAAAGAATCATGAACCAGTATTTTCTGCAACTCTGTACTAGTAAAGTTGAAATCCTGGAAGAAATGGATGATATTTTAGGAAAATGTAATTTCAAGACTGACTTTAGGGGCAGTAAAAGTCAGAAAATCACTAGTCCATATGTTTTTGAATACAGTGAACAAGAGGCTCTGGGTCACGGGACTGGCTGCTACAGTGATCTCCTCTCTCAGGAGCTGACGCAGAAGTGTAGGCCTTGGCTCATTCACTATCAGAAGACTGGAAAGTTTGGGAAACAGCCTGGTTCCTAACTTCCAGCTCAGCTTCCTAAGGACAGCCTGTGCTGTCCTTAGGAGGACTGACCTCTCAAGACCTCTCCAGAGGTGTTAGGATTCTTGAGGACATTCAGAGCTCTGAGGAAGTGGGGCAGGATACTGGGGGGCAGCTGCCTTCTCCAGGCGCTGCCTCCCTGGGGTCTGACTCCCCAGGCTTGTGTACTGGGGCTGCAGCCCAGCCAGTCCAGCTTCTCCTGCTGTGATACTGAAGATAATGCTTGTGTTGAGAAAGAGAAATAAGTCAAAGATCTTGGTATTGTCCTATTTCTTGAAATGAATTGTGGATACATGACTCTTTGCTTTATTTTTTAGGCTCTGCATACATTTTATTTTATTTTTATTTTTTATTTTTTTGAGATAGCGTCTCACTCTCATCACCCAGGCTGGAGTGCAGTGGTGTGATACTGGCTCACTGCAGCCTTGACCTCCCGGGCTCAAGTGATCCTCCTACCTCAGACTCCCGAATAGCTGGGACCACAGGCATGTGTCACCACCTCTGGCTAATTTTTTTTTTTTTGAGACGGAGTCTTGCTCTGTTGCCCAGGCTGGAGTGCAGTGGCGCAATCTTGGCTCACTGCAAGCTCTGCCTCCCGGGTTCACACCATTCTCCTGCCTCTGCCACCCGAGTAGCTGGGACTACAGGCGCCCGCCAGCACGCCCGGCTAATTTTTATATTTTTAGTAGAGACGGGGTTTCACCGTGTTAGCCAGGATGGTCTTGATCTCCTGACCTTGTGATCCACCCGCCCTGGCCTCCCAAAGTGCTGGGATTACAGGCTTGAGCCACCGCGCCCAGCCTAATTTTTGTATTTTTTATAGAGACAGGGTTTTGCCATGTGTCCAGGCTGGTCTCGAACTCCTGAGCTCAAGTGATCCACCCGCCTTGGCCTCTCAAACTGTTGGGATTATAGGCACGAGCCACCGTGCCCAGCAGGTTTTATATGCACTCTTCTTCTTCTTTTTATTTTTAATTTTTATTTGTTTATTTTTAAATTTTATATATATACTCTTCAGTGTGTGTGATATGTATCAGAATTGTAAAGTCCTAGGGTTCCTGGCAGTGAATTTCAGTGTCATAGCCTGGAGTCCTAGGCACTGAGCCAGTGAACAGATCATTCCCTTCTTGGGCAGCTCCTGTTCGCACTCCTATTTGGATGCAAGCTGCCTGTGTCTTGCATTTTCTGTGAGGGGCTATGTTGCTCTGGTTGGGGTGGCTTGCCTCACACTTGTCTCTCTTTGTGTTTCTCCTTAGCTCCAGCCCTTCTCTGAGACGGGGACCAGGGGATGGCAGCCATGCACCTGACAGCCTGGCCCCAGGTGAGCTGTGGGGTCCTTCAGCTCTTCCTCTGGGCAGTTTCAGATTGAAAAACATTGAGAAGGGGAGCTGGTGAGCCTCGGGATGACAGCTGCTTCCACCTGCTGGACTGGAACTTGTGGGAAAGAGGTGTTGTGCAGGGAGGGCGGCAGAGACCAGGACAGTAGCGAGTGGAGGAAGCGGGAGAGTGAGCAGGAGAGCAGGAGGGTGGTGGTCTTCTGCACACTGAGGGTCTCTGCTCCTCTCTACAGGAGCACCCCCAGCATAGGGCTCTGGGTGAATGGGGACGTGGAAACCGCCCCTGTGGGATGTACTGTGCAGGGGTGTCAGTGGAGCACAGTCGCAGAGGATTGGACTATCTGTGGTGGGGATGTAGAGAAGAGGAATAGCAGGACCTGATCAGAGAAGGATGGCCGTGCCTCTAATTCAGGGGTAAGGGAAGGTCACAGGGAGTGGAGTCAAGGGAGGGGGAAGACAGTCACATGGGACGGAATGTCTCATTGTGCTTGTGAAGCTTTCAAAGTTTAGGATGCAGACTTTAGGTCTCTGAGAAGAGCTTTCCACCCTGTCCTGCAGGAAAGAGGTGTTGTGCGGGGAACCTGCAGAACATAAACCTGCAAACCAAATTTTCCATACATTTTCAGGGACTTCACGGATCCCCTGAAGCTCATCCATGGACTTCCATGGACTACAGGTTGGGAACAGTCCACAGTCACACCAGTTGTATCTTTGGAGGCTTACTATGCTCCAGGAGCCATACTAAGCCCTTTGTATGGTCGTTTGGTCCTGACAACCGCCTCTGTGATAAGTGCTGTGTTGTACTCTTTCCACCTAAAAAGAAAAGGCAAAAGGGGAGTAGAGTAACTTGCCCAGGATCACAGAGTTATTGTGTGATTCAGAACTGCTTAGCCATAAGACAGCTGTGGAACCAGTGATGTTAACTTGGTCAGATTTGTGATGTGTATGGAATAATTTGTAAGGAAGATTCAAAAGCACGGTGACCACTTCACAAAGAAGAATCCCACTGGTCCCGTGACATGGGCTTCATCAAGGAAAGCCATCATTAAAGAGGGATCCAATTCAAGTAATGCTTAAGATAGAAAAATCATGGCCGGGTGTGGTGGCTCACACCTGTAATCCCAGCACTTTGCGAGGCTGAGGTGGTTGGATCACTTGAGGTCAGGAGTTCAAGATCAGCCCAGCCAACATGGTGAAACCCTGTCTCTGCTAAAAATAGAAAAATTAGCTGGGTTTTATGGTGCATGCCTATAGTCCCAGCTACTCAGGAGGCTGAGGCAGGAGAATTGCTTGAGCCCGGGAGGCAGAGGGTGCAGTGAGCCGAGGTCATGCCACTGCGCTTCAGCCTGGGTGACAGAGCGAGACTCCAACTCAAAGAAAAAAAAAAATCTTTCGGACATAGAGACTCAAAGGATTTGTGGTGATAAGGAAGGTGGGAAGTCAAGAACAATCCCCAGGTTTCTGGCTGAGGTTTCTTGTGAGGGTGATTCTGACCCCAGCTGAAGTGTAAGTTCAGAAGGAAGTGCCAACTTACCAGGGTGGTGGTGGCGGCACACAGTGAAGACATTATATTTTGTGCAGAGAAGTTACTTGTTGAAGGTCACACAAAGAAGGCTCACAGAAACACCTAAAGGTTGGACTAGAATTGCTGATGGGTGGAGGTCAGTAAATTCCAGGAAGACACATCCTAGCAGAGAGGAGTTGAGCAGCAGATCCCTGCCAGTGAGCCCCCATGGTTGTTAGAGCAGGCTGAGGTGGGCAGAGGGTAAGCCTCCCAGAGGCTGCAGCTGCCCAGGAGGGGTGGTTGGGCCTGGGAGTGACACGAAGCGTCCCTGAGTGGTGGAGCTTGTGCCAACCACATAGCTTAGTGATGCAAAGGGGAGAGTAGCCGGCCAGTGGGAAGGCCGGTCTCCCTGCTTTCCCAAATGTTCTTGGAGAAACAGTGAAGCTTTCGGAGAAGTTGGAAAGGATGAGACTTGAATGGGAGAGGGTAAGGAAAATTCTGGCTTTCCAGGAAGACCCTGCAGCCTGGGCAGCATGGAGCATCCTTGGCTGGAGGTGCTCAAGCAGAGGCTGCACAGCCCCTTGTTGGGGGGTCTGTGAAGGGAATCTGGTGGGGCTGGATGAGACAGAAGCCGTGGATGATCTTTGGGGGTGGCTTGAGCTGTGAGGATGAGGGCGATGGGTGGGCAGCAGAACAGGGCTGAGGTTAGGCGCAGGGGAGTGGTGTGGGACCTGCTGGTGGATCAGCCCCGAGTTTGCTGGGAGGGAGCAGCTTATCTAAAAGAGTGGAGTTGGCTTTAGAGAATTTGCTTATGGAAATTTTTTTCTTTCAGCCTGTCTTAATGTGACCTCTTATTTGTGTGAAAAATGGCATGAGGTTTCCCTGCTGTGGGAGAATGTGGATACTTTGTAGTTTACTTTCTCGATATTTTTTTTCTGAGATCTTCCCCTTGTTGTTAATACTAATTTTGTGCTCTCACAAGCACCCTCCCCAAGCCCTTATACTGCGCTCTGCCCCTCACTTAGGGCCTGAGCTATGGAATTGGCCCTAGGGCAGCAGGAACCTATTGTTTCAGAAGTCGGTGACCTTTGAGGACGTGGCTGTGTACTTCACCCAGGCGGAATGGGATGGCCTGTCCCCTGCACAGAGGACCCTGTACAGGGATGTGATGCTGGAGAATTATGGGAATGTGGCCTCCCTGGGTAAGACCTCTCTACCCTGGGAACCTGGAATCTGCCAATTGGGGTTCCTGGCTTGCTTCTCCCTTACAGGTTACTGAGGGGATCTCTGGTAATCCTTTACTGAGTGAGAACCCCAGAGCTGTTCCTAATCTAGACTTAGAGGTTACTGGCAGGGGCAAATGCCAAGCCTTTTGTAGGCCTATATAGGACTTTGCTTGGAACTGGTATGCACTGTTGATCCAACCCATGAAAGCTATGTTTTGGAAACACTGGAATCCAGTTGCTTCCTGTTCCACAGTGGCATCTTCAGTTGCCCCCTCATCTTACCTGTCTTGAGTCTTTTCAAGGATCTCAGTGTACTCTGGATTATTTCAGGCCAAGGTCAAAAAGTGGTATCCCTTTGGGCAGAATCTCCCTGCTTGCCCTGCATGAGGTCTCCTAGGCCTACAGTCTGGGCCCTAACCAGGCTCTCCCACACGTTCCCAAGCCTTCACCCCCAACCCCCACATTTGCCTCCCAAAGCCCTTGGAAGTCTCCAAGGTCTCTTTAGTCCTTCCTAAGCCCCACAGTACTTTCCCGTAGTCCTGAGGCTTGGGACCTCCTGGGGTTCTTACCTTCCCTCCCCATTGCTGAGACAGTCTGAGAAGAGGCTTAGGAATTTGTCTGTGGGAGTTTATTCATCTGTCTCTCCTATTTACCTCTCCCAAACCAGGATTTCCACTTCTCAAACCTGCTGTGATCTCACAACTGGAGGGAGGAAGTGAGCTGGGGGGCTCATCTCCACTGGCTGCAGGAACAGGCCTCCAGGGCCTCCAGACTGGTAAGGGAGGTACATATTTCCCACTCTGTTGGAATTTAGCACTTTAGGCATAAAGCCAGCTTTAGCAACATATAAACATACTGTGTTTATTGGCCAGTCATACAGAGTGAAGTTTGAGTAAATTTTGATGATTCATAGAGATAGGTAGTCCTTATCTTTCTGTCTTCAAAGTTTGTTGTGTCTAATTCCAAGAACAGATCTTTTTTCAAACCCTTCATTCTGACTCTTCAATGCTAATTTTGGAATCCTGCCTTTCTCAGACAAAATTAAGGGACTCAGTAGTTTGGGGGTTCCTTGCCATTTCTAAGCATTATTCACATAGTGTGGAGGATACAGAATTAACAGCCTTTTCACACAGATAGAAGTGCTTAAAAGCACAGTCTTTAGAGGAGACTTTTCTGAGGTCCAGTCCCAACTGTGCTGCTTCCTAATTTGCGTGACTTTGAGTAGGTTATTTGAGTGTTCTCATCTCTGAAAATGGGTTAATAATAAAAGGAGGTAATAGTACTATCTTGTGGGTTGAGGTTTAAATGAGATAACACATATCAAATACCTAGCTTATAATGTGTGCTCAGTTCAGTATTTTTATTTTGGTTTTGGGGAATACAGCTGTACACAGGGAAGGTAATGTGGAAGGGAGGAAGTGCTCTTAATTTTTGCTTCTTAAATGTGAATGTGTAAAGGAATCCTGAGGTCTTACAGATATGCAGTAAGTGTGGAGTCTGCATTTCTATGAAGTTCCCTGGTGATGTGGCGATGCCAGTACTTCTGGTTACCAGACCACACTTGAAGGAGCAGGGCTCCAATTGGTGCCAGCAGAGTAGCTGCCAAATGACTTCTCATTCCCCCCGAGGCCCCCCGTTATTTCTTATATTTAGGGTCTGTGAGATTCTCTTGAATTTTTTCAGTGAGTCTTCATTTTTCTTAGATGGTTTCTGTAGGTTTTTATTCCTTTTGATCATTCTATCAGACGATATCTGACCAAAGAAGGCATGTTTTGGAAATGGAGTTTGCCGTATAATGGCCTTGACAAATATAGGGAAAAAAGTGATATTGTGAGGTCTTAATCAAAGGACCCTGTATTTTATTCTGTAGACAGCTGACTGTCCTGAAGTCTTTGACTTTTCCAGGAAACCCATCATGATCCTAGCTGGTGATAGAAACATTAATGTAGTCAGTGTGTGTGGGTTAATTGGGATGAGGAATCAAACAGGCTCTAGGCAGGCAGAAGGGAGGGCAAAGGGCATGAGGCCCATGGCAGCAGTGTTGACTTTCTTTTTAAAAATCTTCAGAAGCCCAGTCAGTGATACCTGTTTAAGACTCATTTGCTGTAACTGTGTCAAATGGCCATCCTCACTGCAAGAGAGGAAAGTGAAAACGAGAGATATTTCACCTATCATATTGAGAATAATTAAATTATATTCAATGTTGGTGAGAGTGCAGCAAAGCAGGAATAGACTTCTGGAGAGGATGACTAGACATCTGATAGTATAGATGTCTTAGTCAGTTTGGGCTACAATAACAGACTGCCATAGATTGGATGGCTTATAAACAACAGAAATTTATTTCATACAGTTCTAGTCCAAGATCAAGGTTCAGGCAGGTTCTGTCTGGCAAGGGCCTGCTTCCCGGCTAATAGACAGCTGTCTTCTCACTGTATCCTCACATGGTGGCAAGAAAGGGAGCTCTCTGGGCTCTTTTTTAAGGGCATTAATCCCATTCATGAGGGTTCTGCCATAGCTCAACCTCCTGATACAATCACATCAGGGGTTAGGACTTCAGAATATGAATTTGTGGGGAGGACAAACATTCAGTCTATAGCAACAGATGAGTATTATTTTTTTAGTTGGGAAGAGACCAGTATTATTTAGAAAGTGCTTGCTGGGGAATCCAGGCAATTGGAGGGGCTTATTGAGGGCAATTATGAAATACTGGGGCAGGGGGCATATTACATGTGGTTGAGGAGTGATGAAAGATGAAAAAATATGAGGCAGCATTTTGGGACTGAGCTTTTGAGAAAGTTGGGAACAAATGCAGAGATGAGTAGTTCTAGTTCTAAAGACTATTGGGATTATAAAAAGATTTTTAGGGAATGATCAAGTTTAGGATTAGAGGAAGAAGTGAAAGGAAAAGGCAAGGTTAATGCAGCAGTATTTGGAGGGGAATGGGAAGAAAGGGGATGAGATGGACCTCAAATAGAGCCTGTCTAAAGTAGAAATGAAGTTGAAGGACAAATTTTGGAAAGCCCACAGTTAATGTTCTAAGGAAAGAAACAAAATTATTTCCATTTTGCTCCCTGGTGCTGCTGACTGTTGTCATCTTCCAAGTTGCCATATTCTGTTGGATCCTGTGCCTTTTCCTTCTTCAGCATTTTCCATTTTTTTTTAAGTAAGGAACTGAGTGCTATAGGAACAACTAAGAAGAAACTGCAGGGTGTAGAAAAGCATGGTGTGATTAAAAGAATGCTGAGCTGGTGGACAAGACCTAGAATTTTATTCCACTACTGTCACTTTTTTTTTTTTTTGAGATGGAGTCTCGCTCTGTCGCCCAAACTGGAGTGCAGTGGCAAGAACTTGGCTCACCGCAACTTCCGTTTCCCGGGTTCGAGCAATTCTCCTGCCTCATCCTCCCGAGTAGCTGGAACTACAGGCACGTACCACCACACCCGGCTAATTTTTTGTGGTTTAGTAGAGACGGGGTTTCACTGTGTTGCCCAGGCTGGTTGCAAACTCCCAAGCTCAGGCAATCTGCCTGCTTCAGCCTCCCAAAGTGTTGGGATTACAGGTGTGAGCTACCGTGCCCAGCTGTCACTTTTAACCTTCATGTGATTGGTTATGTTCTCTACAGTGGCCTTGTATTAGGCACAGTGGGAATGGTGATTTTTTTTTTATCATTACTTTCATTGCTTTTCATTACTTTCATAATATTGACACCTATTCAACAGTACAGAAAGTGTATAAAGTAGGGAAGCAAGTCCACTAAACTTCCTATGCCAGTTTATTTAGTTTCTTATGGATTCTTCTAGAAGTTTTCTAGGTATGTACAAATATATATATCTGTCTTTTATATTTTTCTTTACACAGCTGAAAATCTATTCTATATACTGTTTTTTCAACTTGTTTTTCCATTTGATTGTATCTTGGATGTCTTTTTACGTCAGCATATATGGATTTATTGTATTCTTTTACTAGTTAGTTACAAATTACTTATCCCACCTTATGGAGAAACCCTATGTTTTTTGACCTAGTCTGGTGATTTTAAGGAGCCCCCTGATTATTATGGTCTTTTATAGCACAGTTCTCTTCTTTTTCCTAACATGGTTCTTACATGACATTTTATGTTTTCTGTTTTTTATAGTAGATATTCAGACTGACAATGATTTGACAAAGGAAATGTATGAAGGAAAAGAGAATGTATCATTTGAACTTCAAAGAGACTTTTCCCAGGAAACAGACTTTTCAGAAGCCTCTCTTCTAGAGAAACAACAGGAAGTCCACTCAGCAGGAAATATAAAGAAGGAGAAGAGCAACACCATTGATGGAACAGTGAAAGATGAGACAAGCCCCGTGGAGGAGTGTTTTTTTAGTCAAAGTTCAAACTCATATCAGTGTCATACCATCACTGGAGAGCAGCCCTCTGGGTGTACAGGATTGGGGAAATCCATCAGCTTTGATACAAAACTCGTGAAGCATGAAATAATTAATTCTGAGGAAAGACCTTTCAAATGTGAAGAATTAGTAGAGCCCTTTAGGTGTGACTCTCAACTTATTCAACATCAAGAGAACAACACTGAGGAAAAGCCTTATCAGTGTTCGGAGTGTGGCAAAGCTTTCAGCATTAATGAGAAATTAATTTGGCATCAGAGACTTCACAGTGGGGAGAAACCCTTCAAATGTGTGGAGTGTGGGAAAAGCTTCAGCTACAGTTCCCATTATATCACACATCAGACAATCCACAGTGGGGAGAAGCCCTATCAGTGTAAGATGTGTGGGAAGGCCTTCAGTGTTAATGGAAGCCTAAGTAGGCATCAGAGAATCCATACGGGAGAGAAGCCCTATCAGTGCAAGGAATGTGGAAATGGCTTCAGCTGTAGTTCTGCATATATTACACATCAGAGAGTCCACACTGGAGAGAAACCTTACGAGTGTAATGACTGTGGGAAAGCGTTCAATGTTAATGCAAAATTAATTCAACATCAGAGAATCCATACTGGAGAGAAACCTTATGAATGTAATGAATGTGGAAAAGGCTTCAGGTGCAGCTCCCAGCTTAGGCAGCATCAGAGCATCCACACAGGAGAAAAGCCCTATCAGTGTAAAGAGTGTGGAAAAGGCTTCAATAATAATACAAAACTCATTCAGCATCAGAGAATCCACACAGGTGAGAAACCCTATGAATGCACTGAATGTGGAAAAGCCTTCAGTGTCAAAGGGAAGTTAATCCAACACCAGAGAATTCACACAGGCGAGAAACCCTATGAGTGTAATGAATGCGGGAAAGCCTTCAGATGTAACTCCCAATTTCGGCAGCATCTGAGAATTCACACTGGGGAGAAGCCCTATGAGTGTAATGAGTGTGGAAAGGCCTTCAGCGTTAATGGGAAACTAATGCGGCATCAGAGAATTCACACTGGGGAGAAACCTTTTGAATGTAATGAGTGTGGGAGATGCTTTACTTCTAAAAGAAACCTACTTGATCATCACCGAATCCATACTGGAGAAAAGCCCTATCAATGTAAGGAATGTGGGAAAGCCTTCAGTATCAATGCCAAACTAACTAGGCATCAGAGGATACATACTGGGGAGAAACCTTTCAAATGTATGGAATGTGAGAAAGCATTCAGCTGTAGTTCTAACTATATTGTGCACCAGAGAATCCATACAGGAGAGAAACCCTTTCAGTGTAAGGAGTGTGGAAAAGCCTTCCATGTTAATGCCCATTTAATTCGGCATCAGAGAAGCCACACTGGGGAGAAACCCTTCAGATGTGTGGAATGTGGCAAAGGCTTCAGCTTTAGTTCTGACTACATTATACATCAGACAGTCCACACTTGGAAGAAACCCTATATGTGTAGTGTGTGTGGGAAAGCATTCAGGTTTAGCTTCCAGCTCAGTCAGCATCAGAGTGTCCATAGTGAAGGAAAATCCTAATAATGAGAAAGATATAGAAAACTCTTAAGGTTAATGCCAAAATGGATCAAGTATCATCAGATTCATCCATTGAAAAACCTCCAAGAGGGCATGAATATGGCAGAGTCTTCATATGGAAACAGTTTTTATTCTATTCAGTTTAAATCAGGAAAGGATGACCAGTTAAAGAGAAACATCCAAAAATAGCTTTGTTTTGTACCAACAGGAATTAGAAAATATAATGAAAAGATTTCGTTCCCAGCAGCATCAAGAAAAGTAGATTTTCTAGAAATAAACAGTTATGGAGGACTTGTATGGAGAAATTTAAGTCTTCACTGAGGGCCACTTTACAAAGGAAATTTGAATAAATGGAGAGAGAGAGAAGCCTTGTTGTTGGATAGGAAAACCCGTACTAAAGATACTCTACCTACATTAATTTATTTGTTTAATTTTTGACAACAAGCATGTATTACTTTTGAAAAGATGAAAAATAAAGATTTATTTAAAAAAGGAAAAAGGTATGAGTACATTTTTAATTTTCATGTAATTGAGAAAACCTTTCTAAGTATTAGATGAAAGCTAGAAACTATCCACAGGGTATGTACTGATAAATTGACTACTCAAAAACTAAATATTCCTGTATGTTTTTGTTTTAAAGTTTAAAAGATAAAGCGCAAAATGGGGAAATACTTTTGTAAAATTTGTGATATAAAAGTGTAGTATTTGGGCA
Organism: Homo sapiens; assembly: GCF_000001405.40. Classification (NCBI taxonomy): domain Eukaryota; kingdom Metazoa; phylum Chordata; class Mammalia; order Primates; family Hominidae; genus Homo; species Homo sapiens. Next base: position 71,447,383 of record NC_000016.10, on the reverse strand, counting down.
TGGTGGATCAGACCTGTAATCTCAGTGCTTTGGGAGGCTGAGACGGGAAGATTGCGTGAGGCCATGAGTTCCAGACCTGTATGGGCAACATAGCAAGATCCCATCGCTACAAAAAATAATAAAAGCCAGGCGTGGTGGTATGTGCCTGCAGTCCTTGCTGCTTGGGAGGCTGAGGCAAGAGGATCACCTGACTCCAGGAATTCGAGGCTGCAGTGAGCTATGACCACCACTGCACTCCAGCCTGGGTGGCAGTGAGACCCTGTCTCTTAAAACATTAATATCTAAAGATAAATAATTTAGACACACTAACAGGCAGCTTTTAAACAGATACTAAAAAATGACTGTTAAAGTAAGAAGAGGTATTCAATCTCAGTACTCTAAGGTGTGAAAATTAGTAAGTTTTTTTGCATATTACATTGTTATATATGCATACATGTGATACTATGCAGCTGTCAAAAATGACATTTACTATAGATGCCCTTTATATAAGTATAAAATGTAGTCAACAAGATAGCATGTTACAGGGTTTCTATTTTGTAATAACTGGAACTCTTGCATAAACACATGGCTTTTCAGGTCCTGAAGGAAGGTGGCTACCTTGGATTCCCAGTCTCATTGGTGGTTTTCAAGGTCTCTGATGAAGATCTTGGAAGCCTCAAGATACTCTTTGGAAGGGAATCTCTCAACACCTTAAAAAATTCTAAGCAATAGGCTGGGCGCAGTGGCTCACGCCTGTTATCCCAGCACTTTGGGAGGCCAAGGTGGGCGGATCATGAGGTCAGGAGATTGAGACCATCCTGGCCAACATGGTGAAACCCCGTGTCTTCCAAAAATATAAAAATTAGCCAGGCATGGTGGTGCGTGCCTATAGTCCCAGTTACTCAGGATGCTGAGGCAGGAGAATCACTTGAACCCAGGAGGCGGAGGCTGCAGTGAGCCAAGATCATGCCACTGCACTCCAGCCTGGGCGACAGAGTGAGACTCTGTCTTAAAAAAAAAAGATTCTAAGCACTAATAGGAGCAGGCAAGCTAACTATCAGGAAGCTGAAGAACAGCAGGCCCAATAGTAAGTAGTAAGAAAGGGACATGATAACTTCTGCCATCCCCCAAGTGCCACACACCATCTCCTTACCATGCCCACCTGTGAGCTCTGTAAGGCATATGCTGTCTCTGGCCCCCAGGCTCCTTAGAACAGAAGCTAGTCTGCATTTAGTTTAGAATGAGGTTCAAAACCACTGGAGGTTTTCTGAATGTGGGACAGTTATTTAAGATAATTGGACTGGGAGCATCACTCTTCCTTCAGATCCTCATGTTCCAGGACTTCTGACGTGCCACAGATAAAAACAGGAGAAAAGCAATCGCTAGTAAATGAGACTTAACGATCACCAGCAAACCCCAAATCCTCATAAACATCCCTGTAGGCCCACAGATACTCAAGTGTCCTCAAAGTCAGACAGACGAATGAGGCTACACAGAGTGACAAGGAGTAGGGAGGGTGGAGAATTGAAGAGTGCATCCCCTACCTAAAGAAGGCAGCCTCAACTCAGCTGTAGCAAATTCTGGGTAGGCAGCAAAGCAGTTCCAGTAATGCCAAATATTCTGGGTCTTCAAAAAGTTAGAAATCCGATTTTAAAAAATCCGAAATCTCTCTCTGTCCCTCTTTTTGCTTGTTAAGATGAAGGTTATTGTCCCAGAATCCTTGAACAATTTTTAGTAAAAGTCCATTTCTAGATGGTGGTTTTCTTCAATAAATCATACAGCAGAATCTATTTGTGTACACCAGGACAGTATAATAGTATGGAGAAAATAGGGTCATCACCTGTTAATGGTAGTAAAGAAACACTGCTTTTCACAAGACCTTTGATACCAAATGTGTCGGTTTTTCACACGATTCTCCAATTCTCTGCAGACACCAACTGGGTGTCCTACAATTTTTTTTTTTTTTTTGAGACAGTCGCTCTGTCACCCAGGCTGGAATGCAGTGGCCTGATCTCGGCTCACTGCAAGCTCCACCTCCCGGGTTCATGCCATTCTGCCTCAGCCTCCCAAGTAGCTGGGCCTACAGGCACCCGCCACCACGCCCGGCTAATTTTTTGTATTTTTAGTAGAGACGGGGTTTCACCGTGTTAGCCAGGATGGTCTTGATCTCCTGACCTCATGATCCGCCCACCTCAGCCTCCCAGAGTGCTGGGATTACAGGCGTGAGCCACCGCGCCCGGCCCTACAATTTTAACAATTGACACTTTCAGAGTAAGTGAAGACACCACAGGTTAAGGGCTCACTTCCACATGACTGCCCTGCACTTCAGACACAAGTTACAAGTAGAGGGTCCCCAGGTTACCCATGCTTCTGTGTGATAGGGCTACAAATTGGGGGTTCCCATGACCCCCTTTTCCAGCTCAGTAATTTGCTAAAACAGTGCACAGAACTCAGGAAAACATGTTACTATTACCATTTTGTTGTAAAGGATACAAATGAACAGCCAGATGAAGAATTACTTAGGGTAAGGACTGGAGGTTGGGTTATCTTCTCAGACAAATGACGTGGTCCCACCCTTAAGTTTGCTGTAAGTCTGCTCTACGTTCACAGGACTGTGAAAGGGTGGGGCCCCAATCAGAGGTAGTCAAACTGAATTTTATCCCCGGGAGAGTCCAAGGACAGCTGGGGGAGAAATGCCTAGAAAATGCATAATATATACTTTTAAAAGACACATAATCATCATTTTGCCCATTTCCAAGTTTTGGATATCTTTTTTTTTTTTTTTTTTTTTTTTGCACACAGATGAGAAAACAGGTCTGAAGTGTCTTCATATCTCTGGGCCTCCATTTGATCATCTGTAAAATGGGGTAACAGAGAACCTGCCTTCCAGATACGGTTGTGAGGCCTGAAATACTTGCTTCCAGGAAAGGCTCAGCCAGAGCCTGGCCCAGAGGTGGTGAAGGGGGTGGTGGTTTGAGTGTGTGCACATCTGATGTACAGTCATGCACAGGTGCACACATGCAGGAAGCCCCCAAATCCTTCTCCCATAGGCACAAGCGAGATGCACACACACACCCAGGGACACACACAGTGTACCCCATAGACCTCCACATACACAGACACACATGGACACACATGGACCCCCCACATACATAGACACACACACAGTGCACCCTGCGGACCCCCACATCCACAGACACGCATAGATCACAAACAGATACCCCATCACACATAGCCAACGCACAAGGACACACACAGACCCCCCCAACATACATAGACACATGCACACACATAGACATACACACAGACCCCCACACACATAGACACATACACACATAGACACACAGAGACTCCCCCCCACACCCATAGACACACATAAGACACACATGCACACATAGACAAAGACACAGACCCCTCACATACATAGACACACACACACGGTGTACCCCACAGACCCCCACATCCACAGACACACCTAGTGGTACACATGGTACACCCTACAGGCCACACCCTCACATAGACACTCCTGCACCAGCTCTCTGTAGCTCAAGGGCTGGTGTCGGCCAGGAGTGCTGCCTTGAGTATTGCAAAGGAGCCATTCCTGTCCGAAAGCTTGTCACGTGGCACGGGACCTTGGTAGAGTGTCCTAGGGATGCCATCGTGTAAGTCTGCCCCACCCCAGGCATCCTAGGAGCTGGGCATGGGAGGAGGCAGCCCCTGGAGCCCCCAGACCACACCTTGGGGAGAGGGGAGAGCAGGACCCTTCTTCTCCTTGACCAGCCAGCCCTGTTCCTCTGGGCTGTTCCAGACCAAGCACTGAGACCCTGGAGGGGTCCAAGTCCTGGATTTACATTTAGAGAAACTGAGGCCCAGAGATGGATGGGACGACCCCCTGGTCATGCAGCAAACCAGGGGCTGATGTGGTCTCTCACTGGGGCCAGAGGAGAGTTTAGAAGGCCAGGGCTCACCCCAGCCTTCCCAGTTGATGGACAGCCTCTGCAGGTCTCTGAGACATGGCAGTCCGTAGAGGGGGACAAGAAGTCCTGCAGCCCTGGCTTCCCGCAGGGTCCACAGTTTCTTTGCAGTGGCAGGATCAAGGCTCGGACTCATGGAAGATTGAGAATCCTAGAGGACATAACCTGATATCTCAGATCTGCCACCAATGTCCCATGTGACCCTGGGCCTCTCAGCCTCAGGCTCCTGGTCAGCATAGGGTGGGGATGGTCCCAGGACTCTGACGGTTTTCTCCCTCTCCGTAGGCTTGTTACTGTCCAGGGCAGGTCATCTGCTCAGACCTCAATGACTGGAGGGTGAAGAAGGCAGTCAGACACCTGCAAAGCCTCGTGAAGTCACATGACCCCACCACCCAGGAGACTGGGTAGCCTTGGTGTTCACCACACCAGTCTTGAGCCATGTGCGTGCAGTGGAGGCCTTACCAGGACAGCAAGAAACCTGAGCACAGGAGACTCCAGAACCCCGCACAGTAGCACTTCTGCTTGTCTTAACTGGAGCCCTGGGCCTGGAAGGGGGAGGATTAAAGTCTTTCTCCTTCAGTCGGGATCTGCATGTTCTGTCCCTGCAGTGCAAGGTGCACACACCCACCTTGGCCTGTCACATTGGAAGGGACCTCAGAGAACACCTGGGCCTGCTCTGGCTAGGTCAGGAGGGGAAATAGAAGCTCAAAGGAAAACATGGCTGTCCTGTCTCAAGGCACCCGCAGGTAGAGGGGAGAGCCTGGTGCGAGGCCTAAGCAGGGCGTCCATGCGCTGAGGAGCAGAGCTCCTGTGTCATCTGCACAGTCTCCCGGAGGCCTGGGGGCCCTCTCTCTGCAGGGGCTGGGGGTTCTGGGAAGAGGCTCTGGATTCTCTCCTGTTCTCTCTGCCTTTGAAATCTCCACTCCTGCACATCTGTTATCTTCTGGCCTGGAGAGGATGAGGACATCCTCCGACACATTCCATTGCACTCCATTCCATTCCAGCACTGTCCGCAGGCCCCTTCCACAGGCCAGGGGTTGACCACCTGCTGGGGAATCCTACATGGGTCAACCTTGGCCTTCTCCTGGGGAACGCCGCAGCCTGGGGGAAGGCGAGGACCCCTGTAGCCCCTTCCCCTAGCTCGCAGGCCCAGAGACCCACTACAGACCAGGTGGTCCTTTAGCACATCCTGTACCGGGCAGGGTCTCAGGGACCTCCCCTGCACGGTCTGGGCCACCTCTGCTCGCTTTCCGGCTTTCTCCTCCTTCTGGATCTCTCACTGTGCCGCCTGTTCCCCAAGTGGCTTCAGTGTTCCTGAGGCGTGGCCCCCACCCCCTGCCAGCCACCGAAATCCCACCCACCTTCGGCTCAAGCCCAGCCTCCAGGAAGCCTTCCCGACTGCCCTGCGGCACCAAGCCTCCGTCCTCTGGTTGCCCCGAGGGACCTCAGCGCCCCCGCCACGGTAAGGGGCTGTTCTGCCGTGGATCCCCGCGCGTCTGCTGGTCCCCACCCCGCCATCGGCCCGCAGCCCCGCGGCCCACGTGCTCCCAGGCTGGGGCCGCCCGCGGAGGTGCTGGCGCCGGCGACGCCGGCTGGAGTTGGAGACTGCGCGTGAGCGCCCGAGGGCCTGTCTGCCTATGCGTCGGCCGTGGGCCAGCGCTTCTGACCCTGGGCCTCGGCTCTGGCCTCGGTCTGGAAGGGGGCAGGGGAGCGGGGCCCTGCGTCCGGAAGTCTGCGCCCTGCGCGGTGGGCGGAGAAGCCACGAGGAGTCCTTGCTGCCCCCGGCCCTTGGTGCCCCCTGGCGGCCGGCGCGCTCGCTGCACCCCTGCCCGCTTTCCGGGAGCGCGGGAGGAAAATCCAAGAGCCAGGCCCTGGGGCGCCGGCCAAGCGAGGGCTGGACCCTGCCCGACCCAGAGGAGTAGCCCTGTCACAGCTGCCCACGGCCGGAGTCCTGGGGCAGCGGGTCCCTAACCTAGCAAGCCCGGCCGCGCACGCCGCGCCCTGCAGGCCAGAACCCCAAGGACGCTCTGAGTGGTTAGTGCAGCCATTGCAACGCGGTGGCGCACGCCTGTGATCCCAGCACTGTGGGAGGCCGAGGCGGGAGGATTGCTTGGGGCCAGCAGTTCAAGACCAGCCTGGGCAACAAAGTGAGACCCTTGTCTCTACCAACAACAAAAAAAAGTGAACTTTTCTTACAAAATAAATCGAGTGAAATCCTGCTGCGAGGCCCACATTGTAGAGTTGCTGTCGAGGACTGTGGGGGAGGCGGAAAGTTGCCGGCGGGCTCCTGAGAGTGACTGAGCAGGGGGCTTTGGTAACAGGTCCCTGGGGAGATAAGAGATGGACCCAGGACAGAAATCGGAATGCAGGACTTGGGAATGCAAACTTCCCATGGCAGGGACGGGACGCGAGGTGGGTGGGAAGAGCAATGTACGATGCGGGAGACGCCACCGTGCTTGTGGGAAGGGCAGCGTCACCATGCTAGGAGGAAGGGGCCTTGGCAAGGAATGGGGAGTTGGGGCTCCCCGTGACAGTGAGGGAGGAGGTGGGAGGAGGGGCCTGGCCGTGCATTGTCCCTTCCAGGTGCCCGCCAGAGGGCGCGTCAGCCCTCAAATAAAGATCTGGAGGCTCACAGTCGCAGTTCTGCCCAGATGACCCCATCTCTGACCTTTGTGTTGGCCCACTAGGTGTTGGGGTCCCACCAGCCATTTGACGACAGCTACCCATAGCCTCCGGGCTGGGACACCTGCAGCTGTGTGGCTCTTCTAGGGGAGCAAAGGGAAGAAAACCACCAGCTAAAGTGCCTGGAGTTTGCTGGCTAAAGGGGAAGAAGGAAAAATGCTGTTGGGATTTGCAGGACCCCTAACTCATGACCCCATGTCTGGTTTTGGGTCTTTCTTGTAAAATACACATAACATGAAATTTAACACTTTAGCTATTTTTTTTTTCTTTTGAGGCGCAGTCTCGCTCTGTTGCCCAGGCTGGAGTGCAGTCGCCCGATTTCGGTTCACTGCAACCTCTGCCTCCTGGGTTCAAGTGATTCTCCTGCCTCAGCCTCCCGAGTAGCTGGGATTACAGGTGCCCGGCTCATCTTAGCTATTTTAAAGTGTACAATTCCGTGGCATTAGGTACATCACAATGTTGCACAACCATCACCACCCTCTAGTTTCAGAACTTTTTTGTCATCCCAAAAGGAATTCCAGACCCATTAAGAAGTGGCGTCCCATTCCCCTTTGCCAGTCCCTGGCAACCACTAACCTGCTTTCTGTCTCTAAGGACTGGCCTTTTGTGGATATTTCATGTAGATAGAATCATGCAGTATTGGCCTTTTGTGTCTGGCTTATTTCACATAGCATAATATTTTCAGGTTCACCCATGTGGTAGTGTGTATCACAGCTTCATTCTTTTTATGGCTGAGTAATGCTCCGTTGTATATTTACACCACATTTTGATCCATTCTTCAATTGGGGGACACTTGGGTTGTTTCTTTTTGGCTACTGTGAATAATGCTTCTGTGAACACTGGTGTCCAAGAAATGTTTAAGTCCCTGTTTTCCATTTTTGGGGGCATATACTTAAGAGTGGAGCTGCTGGGTCACATGTTAACTCTGAGGAGTTGCCAAACTGTTTTTCACAGTGGCTGCTCCGTGGTATTCCTATCAGCAACGTAGGAGGGTTCCAATTTCCCCACATTCTCACCAACATTTGTTATTTTCTGTGGTTTTGGTGGCTGTCATAGCCATCCTAGGGTGTGTGAAGTGATCTATTACATGTGGCTTTGATTTCCATTTCCCGGATGACTGGTGATGTGGAGTGTCTTTTTCTTTTAGCTGGTTCCCAGCCTCCAGTCTTGTCCCTTCCCCCCATTCTATCCCTAGAAGAACAGCTACAGTCCTCCTTCTGAAACCCAACTCTGATTATGTCTCCCCCAGCTCAGAACCACCCCCAAATGCCTTCCAACTCTCTCTGGAAAGGAGGACACATTCCTGCCCTCCCTGCCTCCAAAACACACACCCTCTGTGCTCCAGCCCCTAGAAAATTCTCCCAATTGCTAAAATCCATTCCTTTGCCTCTGCCCTTCTGTCTGTCTGGAACATTCTCCTATGCTCTCTGCTACCCTGCTTCCCCCGCTGAGTCCTTCCATCCTTCTGACCTTACGTACTCCCTATCACCTTTCACTTCCAGGTTATGTGACTTTCTCTGGGCTCACACACCCCACCCCTTTACAGCCCTCCTCCTCCACCATGTCACTTTCCACTCTGACTTGTAATCTCCAGTTCAGTGGTCAGTTTCCCTTCAAAGAGGGAATTCCACACGGGTCATGGTCAGCTCTGTGGGCCCAGCCTCATCTCCTCAGTGCCCAGCACAGCGGGGGTCAGTAAGACTGTGCCAACTGGCCACGGGGATGGAAAGGTGGTGGGGAAGGGGCACAGGTGTGTTTGATTACTATCATTAGCCCTGTTTGCTTTCTCTGCGTGGAATCAACTTTACCCTGGTTGTGACAGTTTTGGTCAAGGGGGTCCCACCTGTTGCCCACATACACCTGAATTTCAACTATGGCACATCCTGAGCTCAAGCTGGGTCCCTCTATCCACGGCTGAGGGACAACAGGATGCACTCTCTGTCCATCTGGTTATTTCTAAAGCACCAATTGCCTTTAACTTGCCTCTGGGTATAAGAACCACGGCTCTCTTTGACTCTTGCAACTCCTCGGGCTGTCCCTATTTTCGCTTTTTTTTTTTTTTTTTTTGAGATGGAGTCTCACCCTGATACCCAGGCTGGAGTGCAGTGGTGCGATCTTGGCTCACGGCAACCTCTGTCTCCTGGGTTCAAGTGATTCTCCCTGCCTCAGCCTCCCGAATAGCTGGGATTACAGCCGCCCACCAATATCCCTTACCTTTAGCAAGCAATCTGCACATTCCAAGTTTAATTACAGCTCCTTATGGTTTCTTTTCTTTTCTTTTTTCTCTTTTCTTTCTTTCTCTCTCTCTTTTTTTTTTTTTTTTTGAGATGGAGTCTCGTTCTGTCACCCAGGCTGGAGTGGAGTGGCGCAATCTTGCTTCAGGGCTCTGCCTCCTGGGCTCAGGTGATTCTCCTGCCTCAGCCTCCTGAGTAGCTGGGATGATAGGCATGCCACCATGCCTGGCTAATTTTGTATTTTTATTAGAGACGGGTTTCACCACGTTGGCCAGGCTGGTCTCGAACTCGTGACCTCAGGTGATCCACCCGCCTCGGCCTCCCAAAGTGCTGGGATTACGGCTGTGAACCACTGTGTCCGGCCACTCCTTATGGTTTCTTATAAGTAGAGACACTAACAGAAGATGGTGTGTTCCTCCTCCTGCTTTCTGAGGATGCTCCACTCTACAACAGAGTAGTTTCTAATAAACTTGTTTCTTTCACGCTGCACTCTGTGACCTGCCTTTAATTCCTTCCTGCGTGAGATCCAAGACTCTTGGGGTCTGGATCAGGACCCTCTCTTTCCAGCAACATTATCTTGAAGGCAATAGGCAGCCACAGACGTTCTGGGGACAAGGGGTGTGTAAGTGAGGCAGAGGGGAGAAGGGAGAGACAGAGAGCTTTGGAGATTGGAGGTCAGGGGTGGTAAAAGATTCCTCTGTAAGTAGCAGCCATCTCAGGATTTCTTCAAAAGAAGGGAGCCAATGAATGAGAAAGAAGCCAGAGGAGAGGAGACAGTAGATTCAGTGGGGGAAAGGGGGTGATCAGGGAATGGAGGCAAAAGCAAGGAGTGAAGGAGGAAAGGGGTCCAGCTTCATCACCCCTTCCTCTCCTTCCAGAAAGGGATCCTCAGACCGAAGGGTTCCCCCAGTGCCTCTCAGATGCTGGTCCCCAGCCTGGTGGCAGCAGCAACAGCATCACCAACACATCGGGAACTTGTTAGAAACACAGTCTTGGGCCCCACCCATGCCTACTGAATCAAAATTTCTTTCTCTTCTCTTCTCTTCTCTTCTCCCTTCTCTTTCCTTTCTTCCTTCCTTCCTCTTTGTTTCTTCCTTCCTTTCTTTTCTTCTCTTCTCTCTCTCTCTCCTCCCTCCCTTTCTTTTCCTTTTTTTTTTTTTTTTTCTGAGACAGAGTCTCACTCTGTCACTCAGGCTGGAATGCAGTGGCGCAATCTCAGCTCACTGCAGCCTCCACCTCCCAGATTCAAGTAATTCTTGTGCCTCAGCCTCCCAAGTAGCTGGAATTACAGGCACGCACCATCATGCCCAGCTAATTTTTGTATTTCTAGTAGAGACAGGGTTTCACCATGTTGGCCAGGCTGGTCTCAAACATCTGACCTCAGGTGATCCACCTGCCTCGGCTTCCCAAAGTGCTGGGATTACAGGCGTGCACCACCATACCCAGTTAATTTTTGTATGTTTAGTATAGACAGGGTTTCACCATGTTGGACAGGCTGGTCCTGACTTCAAGTGATCTGCCCGCCTCGGCCTCCCCAAGTGCTGGGATTACAGGTGTGAGCCACTGTGCCCAGCCCTGAATCAGAATTTCTGGGAGTGGGTCCACCACACTTTTAACAAGGCCTCCAGGGGATTTGATGTGTGCTCCAATGTAAGAACCACTGGCTGAGACAGCCACGAAAAAGAGAGTGTTCCTCAGTCTTTGCTTTCAGGGACACTGGTAAAAGATTAGAGGCCCAGAGCCAGGCACGCTCAGGCCAGAGCAGGGGAGGAAGAGGAAAGCGGCCCCGTGTCCCTCCCACAGTCACCCACTGTTGGCTTCAGGCCAAGATCAGCCTTCTCAAGCAAAGGAGATTCACCTGGAGCTGAGACTCTGACTCTTGGCTCTGGCGAACAGCTCAACTCAACTCCCCATCTTTGCACAGACGCTGGCTCTTGTAGGGTGGTTTGAATCCAGTCCAAAGACGTATCCCCCTAAAAATGTCTCCCTCTATCTTAACTCCTACCATGAAAATACTTGGTGGGTCCCTGTCTTACTACCCCCAATTCAAGGGCTCATAGGTTAACCTGAGATACCGCCAGCAGCAGCTTGGCTCAGCGGGGTTGGTTGTGTGGCCACGTCTGGTGATTGATTGACAGCCATTCAGGGCCAGGATACCTGACCGAGATTCTGACCCAGGGCTTGACAACCCATTAGGCTCACGTTTAAAAGCAGCAGCACCGCAGGATAGGGGCAGCACCTGGGTGTGGAAGGGAGGGTCTGGGGCTGGGAGAGGATGTGGGGATTCTTATGCCTGGCTGGGTCTTAGCTTGGCTGACTTCCCATGTCTAGGGTTTGACCTTCTTCCTTCAGAGGTGAGTTTCCTGCCATGGGGGGTTTGAGTGAGCCCCCAGACCAGCATTCTGGGGGCTTTGGAAAGAGAGTTGTCTGGTAAGAGGGTGGGGAGCTCTGTGTTCCTAGCTCTGGGAGAGAGAAGAGAAGGGAATCGGTGATACTGACTCTTCCTCCTGCTCTTTCTAGAAAGCCTTGTTTTATTCTTAGGGTGAAATTCTGGCAAATTTGGAGGCTGAAGCCCTGGTTAAATAGTTTCACTGCTTTTAAACTTTATGTAGGCCCCAAAAGGGGGTCTGAGCAGTGGTGGTCTCTGCTGGGAGTTTCCATGCTCCAAGCTCAGCCCTGGTGTCTCCAATTAGAGGAGCCTGACGCAAGTCAAGGAGAGTGCGTTAAATTATTTAAACAACTAAGAATCAGGAGGATCAACATTTGGGGTGAGATGAGAAAGGCTCCAGATCCAACCATTTTTAACATAGGTTTGAATGTCCAGAAATATGCAGAAAAGGTACTGAGTTATGCAGTGACAAATCTCCCTCCCATTCTTCTTTCCTATTTGCCAATTTCCATCTCTGAAAGGCAACCACTGTTTCTAATTTCTTATATACAAAGATAAATTTAATTTCCATTTTTCTTTTACATAAAAGTTGCATATTTGGCACATTTTTCTGAACATTGCAGTTTTCACCCACTTATTAATACACCTTGGAATATTCCATATCAATGTATGCATCCTTGTTATTTTATTTTATTTTATTTTATTTATTTATTTTGAGACAGAGTTTCACTCTGCCACCCAGGCTGGAGTGCATTGGCACGATCTCGGCTCACTGCAACCTCCGCCTCCCGGGTTCAAGCAATTCTCCTGCCTCAGCCTCCTGAGTAGCTGGGATTACAGGTGCGTGGCACCACACCTGGCTAATTTTTGTAGTTTTAGTAGAGACAGCGTTTCACCTTGTTGGTCAGGCTGGTCTTGAACTCCTGACCTCATGATCTGCCTGCCTCGGCCTCCCAAAGTGCTGGGATTACAGGCGTGAGCTACCGTGCCTAGCCATGTCCTTGTTATTTTTAATAGCTGCATACCATTCTACCATATGGCTATACTCTAACTTATTGCACCAGTCTCCTCCCATGGCCATTTGGGCATTGGCCAGACATCTGCCAAATCCCAGGCTGGAATGCAGTGGTGCAATCTTGGCTCTGCAAAGGTTATAACAAACAATGTCCCAATATTGTCACAAACAGTGCTGCTGTTCTCCAGCTTGTACATCTATTATTTTGCATATATCCAAGTGCACCTCTAGGGTACATTTTTAGAAGTGGAAGTACTAGGTTAAAGGTCACTGCATCGGTAATAATGGCGGATATTGCCTTCCTTCTAATAGGGAGGTAGGAAAGGAGGTGGTTTAGAGCTATGCAGGACAGGGTTCGAACCTCCTCTCTGTGTTTTCTAGCAGTTTGATCATGGACCCAGTGCTCTCCAAGCTCCAGTTTTAAAAAATCTATAAAATGGGGCCCATATAGTTGTGAGCATAAAATGAGATCAGCTATGTAAAGCATTTAGTTCAGGGCCAAACACACAGAGAAGTAAAACTCTCCCCTGCATCTTCCCAAGGACAGGTAGCCTGGGCCCCCACCCTGGTGCTTGCCATAGAGTTCGTGGGTGTTTGAGAGCCAGCTATTGAGCCTGGCTGTCAAGCTGGTGGTTCTCACTTGAAGATCCTTTCCCCGCGCATTGTCTTGTCCCATCCCTAAGGCTCCTGATGTGCTCTGTTCATAGAACCCTGGGTCTCTCCAGGGCCTTCCTAGGGCTGGCTGTTGGGCAGGAGCCTTCCTGAAGGAGGGTATTTGGTCTACTTAAATCCTCAAAGCTCTGGTCCCTGACACAGGCCTCAAATAAGTGTACTATCTTCTATTGATTGTTTACCACTAGCCTTGTACAATGCCGAGTATTCTACTTGAGTGATTGCATCCAGTTCTCAGAATTATCCCATAGGGTAGGAAATAGTAATCACCTCCAAGCCAACTTCATCATTAGATAGCCTTGCCCCGTCCAAGTAGGACACCTTATATTCTTATGATCTCTTGGGGTTTCCTCCAACCCCTCTAGGTGAGAGACACATGTTGTATGTGGAATTTCCTGTTGCCTTATATTTTATTTAGCTTAGGTATGAGCCCTCATTTGAAATATGTACAGCCAGATGAAAAGGTGAGTTTGATTTTTTTGAGACGGAGTCTTGCTTTGTTGACCAGGCTGGAGTGCAGTGGCACGATCTCACCTCAGTGCAACCTCCGCCTCCTCTGTTCAAGTGATTCTCCTGCCTCAGCCTCCCAAGTAGCTGGGATTACAGGCACGTGCCATCATGCCCGGCTAATTTTTGTATTTTCAGTAGAGATTGGGTTTCACAATGTTGGCCAGGCTGGTCTCAAACTCCTGGCCTTGTGATCTGCCTGCCTCAGCCTCCCAAAGAGCTGGGATTACAGGTGTGAGCCACCGTGCCCGGCAGGTGAGTTTGATTTTTAAATGACCAGAAATACAGTCCATTTGCATAAAAGGAAAAATACAATGCCTGGCACTAACATCTCAAAGTGCTTGTGTGACGCTTTCACCCTTGACATCATTGCCGCCAACACCTAATGTGAAAAGCTAGTTGGCAACCACTCTTTTGAATCTTTTCACCAAAGGAGACATTCTCTGCCCCTTCTAAAGAGACCCTACAGAGCACATGTGCATAGCTGCGTCTCTTTTTTTTCACCTTACAGGGGATCAGGACACACTGGGAACCTGGTGTCTGTTTGGCGGGTCTATTTGTCAAGTCCTAGAACCGGGTGGTCCAGACACCTCACTGATCTAAGAACATGAGTGGAGAGAAGGAAGAGGCATCGCTCAGAATGTTCGGGGCTTATGGTGAGCCAGAGGAGAGGAGGGATGTGCTGGAAAGCTCTGGCGTTTCCTCTCAGCCTGAGCCACAAGTGCAGCAGCAACTGGGCAGTCTGTTGGGAGTGCCCTGGCAGCCCCCGGGCCCCCCAATACAGCACAGCCCTGCTGATCAAGAGACAAGCACGGTGACCCAGCAGCAGTGGCACCTCCAGGGCCTGGGTAGATCTGAGCTCCAGGCCGCTGGGCTCCCTGATGCACAACCAGGAGAAGCAGCAGAGTCCAGCCCAAGGCAGGTCTTGCTTGAACCTGACTCAGTGGGGGTGGCAAACTGGACTGGGGAGAGGGCATCCCAGCAGGAAGCTCTGTGGCTCACACTCTGTCTCCTCCCTCCCTCTCTCCATGTGTTGTAGCTTCCTACTGGGTTCTGAGGTTGGTGAGTACCAGTCATAGTGGTGCGTGTGGTTGCCCAAGCTGGGCCCCAGATGGGGGACTAGGAACGGGGGCCTGGTGTCAACAGAGCAGGCTTCTCCCTGAAGCGTGGGACTCTGTGAGCAGGTGGGCATTGCTCTTTCCCTGCAGGCCAGCCTTACTCTTCTTCCTCTCCCAGTGAAGAAGTCCTCTCATTGCTCAGAGCAATTGTAAGTGTCCAACTTCATACTCAGGATCCTTCCTTTCCCACCTACCCCCAATCAAGAAACCATGTGTCCACACTTTCACTCTCTCTCCCATAGGTAGGGGGGTGTCCTGGGCTCCTGCTCCTTTTGAGCTATGTTCCCTGTTCCCCCATCCTGAGAAGTAGGGTCTTCAGCTCACAGTGTCATTTCTTCAAGAGCTGTGACCCTGGGAACCAGGGGCCAGGTTCTGCGGTTGGGTGGGTGGATGGGTGGGTGGTTAAGAATCTAGCTGGAAGACGGGGTGGACTGTCCTATTAATGATAGCAGGTCAGGGCCACTGCTACCCACCCTCTCCTTGCCTAGCCCCCCATTCCAGATGAAGTTGTGGTCAGGCAGAAGAGGGCCCCACAGGGCTCCTGGAAGGTTGGCACACTCTTCCATGGAAAGAGAGTCTACGCTGTGGCCATCAGCGGCTCAACCCACCACGTGTACACGTGTGGCTCTGGCTACATCAGGGTATGGGATGAGAGTGCGCTGCATGCGGGGGAGAAGGCCCCTCGGGCCCAGCTGGACTTGCAGGTGAGGGAGATCCAAAGCAGGACTCAGGGAACTCTGACAGGGCCTCTGACGTGAGACCCAGGTTCGGTGCCCCAAGGGGATACCAGTGTGTGAACCCTTCCTTACAGCATCCCCAGGACCGTGTTGTTACCTGCAAGCTGTTCCCTGATGAGCGGAGCCTGATCACAGGGGGTGCGTCCCAGGCCGTGACTCTCTGGGACTTGGCACCCACCCCCCAGGTCAGGGCACAGCTGACCTCGACGGGCCCCACGTGCTATTCTCTGGCTGTCTCCTCTGATGCCCATATCTGTTTGGCTTGTTTCCATGGATTTGTTGAGATTTGGGATTTGCAGAACCAAATCTTGATCAGGTATGACCTCTCTCCAGAGCCACTCAGGTGTACCTGGGGGAGGGCTTGCCAGTGAGGCTCTTTCCCCTCTTTGCATTAGGGCTGGGCGAGTCAGTGTAGAAGATATATCTGGGGTACTCCTAGGGGCTTCCTGACCCTGAAACTTCCCGGGGGCCCAAACCATTCAGTGACCCTCTGAGTTGTTTTCCCACCCACCAGGAAGCACGAAGTTCCTGTATACGGGTCCCGATGTGTGGACATCACCGGCAATATATTCTGGACAGGAGGTGAAGACACCATCCTGTATTCCTGGGACCTGAGGAGCTACCAGAGGCTGCACCAACACAACTTACAGAATGAGGTGCCCGGCTGGCCACCACTGGCAGAATGCCACCTGTAGTGGAGCCATGCATGGAGGCAGGGGTGGGAGTGTGAGCTTGAGAGGTGGGCACAAAGGATGGCGTTGGCAACTTTGAGTGCTGACCTCAAACCTGCTTCCACGAACAGATCCTCAGCATTACCCACGACCCCGGTGAAGAATGGGTATTGGCGGGCCTGAGAACGAGTGATATCGTGTTCCTTCACACTCGTCGGAATGAGCAGTTTAAGGCTCTCATGAAAAAATACACCCGCCACCACAGCCTCAAGTTTGCCTCCTGTGGTGAGTGAGAAGCCAGGTGACACCTCTGGGTGTCCGATTTTGAACTTGCTGTCGTCTCTTCTTTCTCTGTTCACCCCCCTTTCCTTTTCTGGCTCCCTCCGTAATGGGAGATCCTGCACAGAATGACAGCCTGAAGACTCAGGCAGACTGAAGAGGCGTGAACCCTATCTGATTGTCCTTCTGTTGTTCCGTGATAACCATGATCTTGTGTGTGGTAGGAGGGTGGGGGAAGATAAGGGAATGGCTTGGGTTGTGTGTCTGATTTTCATAGATAGGGAAACAGGCAGAGAAAGACTTGCCCTTAGTCTGGTTGGGGACAGTGCTGGAACTAGAATGCAGGATTGGTCTCTGGCCTCTCACCTGTTCGTTCCTTCACCAGGGAGCTATTTTGTGACCGCGATAGATACGCGCCTCAGTGGCTTGGAGGCACCTTCTCTGCAAAAGTTGTTTCAGGTACTGGACACAGAGGGATGCCCGAACCCAGGCACTGGGAGCTTGTAGCTCCAGGTCCCAGTTGGTTGGATTCCAGTGGGTGTTGGAAAACACCTCTGAGATGGCAGCCAGGGCCATTTTACAGAGTAGGGGAAATGAAGACTTCACATCCTATGAACTCCCAAGTCACCTTGATCCCTGAGACCTGGCCCTGTCCTCCACCTGAGCCTTAGGTCTACACTGAGCCTTGAAACAGCCCTAAATGAAGCCTTCATGTCTGGCCCCAAATGTGATCCCTGTTTTGGCCCTTCCATCCATCTAGATAGAGGAGTCTTCAGGTATCCTGTGCTGTGACGTGTCCTCTGACAACCAGTATCTGGTCATGGGCTCTAGCAGCAGTGCCACCATCTACCAGCTCTTGTATTAAAGGTGGCATGCCATGGTCCTGCCAGTGAAGACCCAGTCTTTGGGCTGGTGTGGCTGTGAGGATGGCTTCAGAGTGCTGGACACCTCTAACACCTGCCATCTCCTCTGCCTTAGCTTGGGTCATCCCTCCCCTCCAGTAGCCCGCTCTCAGCCTGCACTCCCAGATTTTAATCAGATGGCTTGGAGCTTTTTCCTTTGTTATCTTCCTACCACTGATTTCTGGGTTTTGGCAGGAAACTTGAGATCCCTTTGTAATGAATAAAATAGCAAAGCAGAAAGCAAAGTGGCTTGGATATGTGTCCCTTTCTTTCAAGTCACAAACTCATTGTGATAGATTGCTTATGCCTTCAGCAAATTTCAAGGTGGGGAAGGAGTTTTAGACCAGACTTAGTTTTGTTTGTAAACTTTTTTTTTTTTTTAAGCGGGAATTTTTGGAATCTTAAAGCTCAAGAAATGTAAGTCCACGTACCAACTTTCAGATTGTATCAGGGAGTTGATAGATAGACCAATAATGCTCAACTCTTGACTCAGGTAGAACTCCTAGAGCTGGTCTAGCCATGTTCTGAGGACAGGTTCCCTTTTTGTGCCTAACTTCAGTGATGAAGAAGCTCCCTGCTTCACGCTACATCATTTTATTTGACTCTTTAAAAGTCCTGATGCTAATTCTGGTGTTTGGTGCTAATCAAAGCTACCTAGCTCACTGTTTCAGGACAGTTTCCTCACGTTTGAAAATGTGACAATGTAGTATTATATATCTGGGCTTCACCAGGCTGGAAAGGGCCCAGCTCCTGGAAAAAAAGCCATATAGGCCTGCTTTCTAGTCTTCTTCCATCAGGGTCCTCTTTTTGGCTTGGTGTTTGTATAGCTGAGACTGCCAGCTGCCCACTGAAGTTCATGGCTCGGAGTTTTCCCTGGGAGGAAGCTGCAATGCCAAGGGCCAAGTATGCCATCCTTTGCAACATGTAGACGTTGTCAGGAACTTAGTTCTTGCCAGTGGATCATGAGTGAATAATATGTGTCAGCTCTGGGCTAGGCCTAAAGAAGTAGGACTGTTCCCTCCAGGGTCTCCTTCCACTTCTACCAGCTCAAGGCAAATGATGTGGAGGCCCCAGGGCATTGCAGAACCACAGGATAGAAGCATCCTGTGTGCATGAGTCAGACATCGAGATAAGCTGTTCACTTTGGACTATTGCATGGAAGAAAACAAACCCAAAGGAGTTATCACTTATCTGTTAGGATGGCTAGAGTAAAAAAAACAATAACAAGTGTTGACAAGGATGTGGAGAGATTGGAATCCTCATATATTGCTGGTGGGATTGCAAAATGTTGCCGTCACTTTGAAAATGTTTGGAAGTTCTTCAAAATGCTTAACAGAGTTACCATATGATTCAGTAATTCCACTCCTAAGTATGTGTCCAACAGAATTAAAAATAAAGACATACAAGTTGGAAGGGTAATAATTGGGAGTGGGAGTACAAGAATTTTAAAATGCTTTCTGGAAATAAGAGTCCTAATTAATAGCAGTGTTGATAAATCAAGGAGTAGCATTGTAATCTCTAGGTTAATTGCTAAAAGAATATTAAACAAGTATACAGCTTCCAAGCAAAGAGGGAAAATACTGGAATAATATATAGTAATAATCCAAGAAAAGAGGGAAAAGGAAAAAAAGAACAAAGAAGAAGCAGAAAAGGAAAAGCTTACTGAAATGATAGATTTAAAACCAAATATAGCAGTAATTATATTAAATGTAAGTGGACTAAATATTCCTATTAATCTGTAGAGATCATATAACAATTCAAAAAATCATAACTGTGTTTGAAAGATACATTAAAACATAAGGGTACAGAAAGTACAGCATAATAGAAGAAGATACTTTCTGCACAAATCAAAGAAAGTTGATGTTATATTAATATTAGACAACATACTAGAAAACAAAAAATATTTGAGATAAAGGGGAACATTTCATAAGTGTTCAGTTCAGGTTCAATTCATCAGGAAGCACAAGAATTCTGTTTTTATGTAGTTGTTATTGTAGCCTCAAAATACAAAAAGAAAAATCAACAAATTAGACAAATTTATATCTCACAGTAACCAGCAGTTCAAACAGATAAAAAATTTATAAGGGTACAGAAGCTTTGAATAACATGATTAGAAAACTTAGAACAAGGCGCCAGGCGCAGTGGCTCACGCCTGTAATCCCAGCACTTTTGGGAGGCCAAGGCGGGTGGATCACGAGGTCAGGAGATCGAGACCATCCTGGCTAACATGGTGAAACCCCGTCTCTACTAAAAATACAAAAAATTAGCCGGGCGTGGTGGCAGGCGCCTGTAGTCCCAGCTACTCGGGAGGCTGAAGCAGGAGAATGGCGTGAACCCGGGAGGCGGAGCTTGCAGTGAGCCGAGATCGCACCACTGCACTCCAGCCTGGGCGACAGGGCGAGACTCAGTCTCAAAAAAAAAAAAAGAAAACTTAGAACAAGGCACACAACCACTACAGAACACACCCCCACCCCACCCACATACACAGCATTTACAACGACCATATACCTGAGCCATAAATTTCAAAGGATTTAACTTTTACAGAATATATTATTTGACCACAATGCAATTAAGATATAAATAATAAAAATAAAACTAGAATTTTCCTATTTTGGAAATTAAATATGCTTCTAAATAACTAATAGAGAATAAACTACAAAATAAATAGAAGGTATTGTAATGAAAAATATGGAAGGATTCAGCTAGAGCTAGAATCAGAGCTTGTCATTCAAGCCACGCCTCATCCCCCTCTCCTAGATCTCTTGAGGCTGGGTGCTGACTGCCTCGGTCTTCCTGGCTCTTGGAAGCTGGGTCTGGGATGGAGGCGAGGGTGGAGACAAGGCCTTTCTCCTAGCAGAGGAAGGTCGAGGAAAAAAGAGATTGGAAGTGGTCTAGGAGGCTGATTTTCATAGATGTTGCAAGAGGAATTGACTCAATTTAGCTCTCACCAGCAACGCTTAGTGTCCGTTTGCCTACATTCATGCCAACAGTGCGTGTTTTCTCATTTGTGGAGGTTTTTGTTTTGTTTTGTTTTAAAACTGCTGGAGTGCAATGGTGTGATGAGGGCTCACTGCAGCTCCGACCTAAGCGATCCTCCCACCTCAGAGGTGCTGGGACTAGAGGTACTTGCCACCACGCCTGGCTATTTTTATTTTTTGTAGAAACAGGGTCCCATTATGTTGCCCAGGCTGGTCTCTAAATTCCCGGGCTTAAGCTATTCTCCTATCTTGGCTCTCCAAAGTGTTGGGATTACAGATGTGAGCCAATGCACCCGGCCTCATTTGTGGATTTTAATTCCTGGGAGAGGGGACAATAGCAGTTCCTGTGGCTGTGATCTGAGTTTCTTTTCGTTATGAGCAAGGGTGATTCATTCGCGAGTTGACCTTACCATGTATTTTATTTACGCGGCCCTGTGGCAGGGTCCCCTGCTCCTGTACACCTGGCTGTCAGGTGATGGCACATCCTTACCCTCTGGTCCTCGAGGGGCACATCTACTCTTTACCCATAGTTCAGAGCACTTTGCTGGGTGACATCCGCATATTTGCTGCAATTGTTACTCTCTGGTCCTTGAGGGACACACCTACTCTTTGCCCATAGTTCAGAGTGCTTTGCTGGGTTACATCCGAACATTTGCTGCATTCGTAGCACAACAAAACAGCTGCCCTCTCTGAGGCTCGAACTCAGGACCTTCAGATTATGAGACTGACGCGCTGCCCACTGCGCTAAGAGGGCCTCTGCTTAGACAAGCTTGCTACCTCCTGTAAGAAAATGCCTGCAGCCCCTTGCACTCGCGGAGTCATCTACGCAAGGTCGGGCTCTGCAGGCAGCAGCTTCTGGTCTCACCCCGGGCTTGTGCGCACACCTGGGGACATGTGGGAAGGTCGCTCTTGCGGCCACTGAGCGGCCTGGCCTCAGGGAACGAGCCCCGCGCCGGGAAGAAAGCTGCCTGCCGGGAGCGCAGCCTATTGGGGACCCGGGACCCGAGCCACCGCGGCTCACCAAGAGGCGGTGGGGCCCTGCGGTGCGTGTGGGACGCCGGGCAGGCAGACTCTGAGCACGGCCAGGTGGGGACAAGCTCCGAGGCGTGACCGGGCTGGGGCGCGGGGGAAGCGGGGGATGAGCGCCTGGGTCCGGTGCAAGCGGCGGAGGGTGGCAAGAACCGGCAAGCACGGGAGAGGAGGCTGCAAGGGGTGACCCCAGCTGGGGTCCTCCGTCTCCAGGGCGACGGCCTCTTGATTGGGCGGGAGATGGGCTCTCGTGGCTGCCAAATGCAGGGTTCCAGGGTGGACTGAGGCTGGAGCGTGCGACCTCAGCCGCGGGTGGGCGTCAGGGGCGACCCCGGAGCGAGGGGTGAGTAGGGCCCTGGGGAGCAGGAGAGCGCGGCAGGAGGGCAGGAGGGCAGAGAAGGGGTGTGGGGTGTGAAATCTCCAGGCCCAGGTCTAGGTCCTGGAGTCGAGGTGGGGGTGAGGTGGAAGCAGGGAGGGAAGGTTCCAGAAGATTCTTGGACGTGAATTCAGTCGGAAAATGGAGGGAAGAAATTATGGTTGCCTTGGACTTGCCAATTCATTTATTTATTTATTTGTTTATTTTGCATCCCGCGTTTTTCTTTTTCTCTCTTCTTTCTCAAATAATCTTGCTTCCTGGTTACACATAGGCCCAGAGGGTCTATGAAGGGCAGCAGAGTCGCACTGCTGGCTCCAAGCAGGGCTGTCCAATTTATTGTCACATGAAAAGATGACAGGAATAAAGGGTGCGGGGAGGGATGGGCGAGTGGATGGGTGGGTGGAGGGAGCTCTCCCCATCTCAAGATTCCCTTCTCACTGTTTCAGGGATGTTACTGCCCCAGGGAGTCTTCACCCCATCCCATTGCCCAAAAACCATTTTGGGTAAGATGACGACCTTGAACTTGCCAGCTTACTCATTCTCTAAGACCTTGTGGCATTTTTGCTTGTTTTTACCAGATAACCAATCATATATTTCACTACCTGATAGGACTAGTCTCTTCTACCCCCCCCCCCCCCCCAACACACACACACCTGCTCTTCTGATCGGGGTTTCGGTGCTCCTTTGGGAACTGGTTTCCGGTGATTTCTTGCACAGTGGTCACTCTGATTCTTTCTTCTCTGATCTCCTAGGGCACTTGGTGACTAGCACATCCCAGGGTTTGAGGGGGTTCTCAGTTGTTCTCTGTGTGTTAGTCCTGCCTTCTCCATTAGGCTGGGGCCTCTGCGATCCAGAGACAGGATCTGAGCCACCCCTGGGTGGGCCACATTCCACGTGCCCAGAGGTGTGGGGAAAGGGGGGCTCAGGATCCCACCCCCAAGCTGCCCTCAGCTGCTCTCACCATTCCAGGTTCAAAGCAGGAGGGAGAGTGTGAAGGGAGGAAGGAGCACTGCCCGAAGTCTGTGTCCTGGGTGCGTTTCTCTCTGCCACCAGCCAGCCTTGAATTTGGGGCTCCCCTCATGTTCATCTTGGGGCCATACACACTCGGCCCCGGGGAGCTGATGGTCAGGCAGCATCCCCAGTTGGGGTGGTTCCCAGATGCTTTGAAGAGCTGCTCAGCCAGAGAAGCTATAGAGGGAAGGAACATGGTTTGTTCTAGCAATCACTTTAAACATATTTTTCAAGATGTCCCGCTCCTAACCTTGAGTGGCTTCTCCCAGCCTTTGGGGAAATACTCCACAGGGCCCTGCAAGGACAAGGCCAACCCACACTCTCCCACCTGGATGAAACGGGCCACCCACTTCCACGGACCCGTGCAGAACCTTCCTGCCATCCTCCCACTTACCCAGTCCTACCCCAGCATCCGTGGTCCACAAGACCCCTTCCTTCTGCGATCCCCTTGCCACAGTGGCCCAGAACTAGCAGGGAATGTTCTTTCTCTGCTACCTCTTTGTGCCTTTCCTCTTTCCGTGAGCTGACTTCTCTTTCTTAGGGGCAGAGGCTGGTATGGAGTTTTCTGAATTCCTTGCAGCAGGTATGCAGGAAGATTGTAGACAGTTCTACGTAGGAAGCAGAGATCCAAGCGTTCAGTGTTAGGGGTGGGTGTGTGAGGCTGGGTGCATGGTGAGAACAAGAGACATGGACAATGCCAGGGGCAGGGGTGGCTATGAGATGAGGCTGGCATGACCAGCGGGGAGGAGAAAGCAATAGAAGATTGGAAGGAGTCGGCCATTGGAGCAGCCCCAGGACTTTGGTGCGCAGGGAGGGAGGAGCGGAGGGGAGGCAGCAGGACCAGGGACCAGTGAGAAAGGCACCAGCCAAGCCTTCTCTGTCTCCCCAGGCATTTCTTACTGTCTTCTTTATGCCTGAAGCCATTCACCTTTCACACTCAGCTCAGATATGATCCCGACTGTGAGGAGTCCCCTCACTTCTTTGGCTGGCATTTGTGTGTTTGTTTTTAGACAGAGTCTTGCTCTGTTGTCCAGGCTGGAGTGCAGTGGCATGATCTCAGCTCACTGCAACCTCCGCCTCCCAGGTTCAAGTGGTTCTTGTGCCTCAGCCTCCTGAGGAGCTGGGATTACAGGCATGTGCCACCACTCCTGGCTAATTTTTGTATTTTTAGTAGAGATGGGGTTTCACCACATTGGCCACGCTGGTCTCGAAGTCCTGACCTCAAGCGATTTGCCCGCCTCAGCCTCCCAAAGTGCTGGGATTAGAGGTGGCCACTGCGCCCGTCTTTGGCTGGCATTTGGTCCTTTCCCTGGCCTACCCCAGCTCTCTGCTCACCAGACTGTGCATCTGAGACATCCAAGAAGTCATCACTTTTGTGAGGACAGACAGCGCCATCCACTCAGGTTTTGTCTCTACTGTATCCATCCCAGTGTCTCTGACATGGAAAGCCATCTCTCTCTAGGTGTGGTTTTTTTTTGTTTTTTTTTTTTTTTTTTGGTTTGAGAGACAGGCTCTCAAGCTCTCTCACCCAGGCTGGAGTGCAGCAGAGTGATCACTGCTCATGGCAGCCTTGAACTCCTGGGCAATCCTCAGCCTTGAACTCCTGGCCTCAAGCAATCCTCCTGCCTCAGTCTCCGGAGTAGTTGGAACTACGGGTGCACACCACCACATCTGGCTAATTAAAAACATTTTTTTTTGTAGCAACAGGGGGTCTCAAAGTGCTGAGATTACAGGCATGAGCCATGGCACTTGGCCCTTTCTTTCTTTCTTCTTTTTTGTTAGGGGCTTCCTGGAACTTGAATCTTGAGAGAGTCAATGATTTCATCATGCAGTGAGAGGAAAAATTCCCTTGTGTATACGGGGCCCCTGATATGACTTCACCAACAGGGTCCAGAAGATTCCACAGTGGGGCACTAATAAGAGAGGAGCCCAACACAGTGGCTCACACCTGTAGTCCCAGTACTTTGGGAGGCCAAAGCAGGAGGATTGCTTGAGCCCAGGAGTTTGAGACCAGCCTGGGCGACCAAGTGAAACGCCTATCTCTACGAAAAAAAAAGTTAGCTGGATGTGGTGTCATGCACGTGTAGTCCCAGCTACTTGGGAGGCTGAGGCAGGAGGATCACTTGTGCCCAGGAGTTTGAGGCAGCAGTGAGCTAAGATCATGCCACTGCACTCCTGCTTGAGTGACAGAGACCCTGTTTCAAAAAATAAAGGCTGGGCGCAGTGGTTCACACCTGTAATCCCAGCACTTTGGGAGGCCGAGGTGGGAGGATCACCTGAGGTCAGGAGTTCGAGACCAGTCTGGCCCACATGGTGAAACTTGTCTCTACTAAAAATACAAAGAAATTAGCTGGGGTGTGGTGATGCATGCCTGTAATCCCAGCTACTCAGGAGGCCAAGGAGGGAGAATCACTTAAACCCAGGAGGTGGAGGTTGCAGTGAGCTGAGATGGTGCCACTGCACTCTAGCCTGGGCGATAAAATAAAATAATAAAATAAAATAAAAAAGAAGAAGAAAGGAGAACCTCCTGGGGCAGGTCACTAAATCCACCATCATGCAGAGTGAAGCTGCCCAGGGCCTCTGGTAGGGTTGTCTGCAATTTCTGGCCCTTCCTCCAGGGGGAAGCCTTGCATTGCATCTTACACCCCAGTACGTGGCCATGGATGCAAAGGGCCCTGTGCAGGAGACCTGGACTGGCTGCGTGACCTTGAGAATGTCTCTTCCCCCTCTGGGCTTGTTTCTCCTCTGTGAATGATGGGGTCAGTCCTGGAAACCACTGTGCGCGGTTGCTGGAGTGATCTATTTATCCCCAGGTCTGCCATGCTTGGCTGTGAGACCTTTGACAAGTATCTTAACCTCTCTGTTCCCATAAGATGGTGATCATACCTGAATCTACTTCACTGGGCTGCTGAAGGGAGGTTATATTATAGAGTGGACAGAATGTGCCTAGCACGGGAAGGCAGTGGCTGGCTGATCACTGATTGTCACTGATCACTGACTTGCGGCCACTTAGAGATGGAGGATCCCTCCTGGCCTGGCTGAGCCCTCTCTCCTCACCACCTGGTGTGGAATGGGTCCAGTTATTCTCAAGACCCTCTGCTAGGAAGTAGGAGTGGCTTCCAGAGCTGCCAAATTTCAGGCCTGTCTGTTATATTCCCCCGGTTCCCACCGGGATAACTGAGGAATGCCTGCCACTCACCCACAAAAAAGGATTTATTTACAGTATAAAATTTATCATACATTTCTTTTCTTTGAAGTGAACATAACCTCAAGATTTTATTGTCTTCATAATAAAACAAAAGATGAAATTTAGAACTGAATCACTTGGCCCTTTCTCTTCTTATCTCCTCCCAGTTCAAAATGCTTGCATGTCCTCATAGCCCGCATCGTCTTAGATCTGTAGCTGGGCTCAGCGCTCAAGCCTCAGCACCATCTCCTTTGTAGTTTTAGCCTTTTTCTGGAAAATCGGCTTACAGAAATCAGTGGCCTTGATATACACAAACAATACTTAGGTTAGAGGACTTAAGAAAACCCCATGTATAATAGCAACAAAGAAGATTAAATACTTAGAGATAAACTTAATAAGAAATGTGCAAAGTCTATAAAAGGAAAATTTTACAACACTTCTGGAAAACACAAAAGCACGTGGAGTGGGAAGACTACCTTGTTTTTGGCTATCACAACTCATCATCAAGATGCCCATTCCTTCCAAGTTGATTTATAAATTGAATGCCATTCCTATAAAAATACCAACAAGCTTTGTTTCATGGAGTTGGTAAGTCGATACTAAAGTTTCTATGGAAAATAAACGTGCTGGAATAGCCAGGGAAAAACTGACACAAAATGGGGGCTTAGCCCTATGGGCTATTAAAACAAACTATAAAGCCTCTGTAATTAGAACAGTGTGGCATTGGCCACATGAACAGGCAGACAGACCAATGGAATAGGATAGAAAGTACAGAATAGACCTAAGTACAAATGGGAATTTAGTATATGATAAAGGTGGCATGTCAAATCTCAGAGGCAGTGATGGACTTTTTATACTTATTTATTTATATTTTTTATTTATTGAGATGGAGTCTCGCTCTGTCGCCAAGGCTGGAGTGCAGTGGCGTGATCTCGGCTCACTGCGACCTCCGCCTGCTGGGCTTAAGCAATTCTCATGCCTCAGCCTCCTGAGTACTCAGCCCAAGATTGCTGCTCTGCTTCCTGTCATGACGCCACTTTCCCCGCGTATACATGGCATCCTTGCCCTTCTTGTCCTGTGCCACTTTGTGGGGTTGGTGCTTGCCACACTTCTTATAGAAAGTCTGGAAGGCTTTAGGAACGTGCACCACATTGTGGGAGCCCTATTGCATGGAAAGCTATTGTTAATTTCTAAGTCATTTATGCTTACAAAGCTGATAGGAGCTAAACTAAGATGCAGGTTATTCCGTAGGAGCAAATAGTTTGGGGAGTAGTCTACATAGTGGTCAAGAGTTTTTTAAAACTCCAAACCTTAGATTGTTGTCTACATATACCCTCTTGGGCAAAAGGTAGTTCTTACTTGGAGAAAACATAGATTGTATTATCTTGAGGGGGTCTAAAGGGAACCACAGAGGGGAGGAAGAGGAGACATGGGAAGTCTTTCTGGTTAGGGCAGTGGTCTCCCTGGTGGGGTGGACACCCTTGTCTTGGTGTGATCATTGAACTCATGGAAATGACAGGCGGCCTGTGACACCAACTTTTCAAAGGGGAAGGATTTCTTGCATGTATTGATGGGGCCTCAGCTCTATCTAATAGGAGGTACGTACTGCACTGGAGGCCTCAGATGGCCCTAGGAACTATTCTTGAGGCCTCTAATGTACACTGGGCTCCTCCAGCAAGAAAGACCCCCATGGGTTGACTGGTTGTTGGTGGTGGGAAGAAGACCTCACCTGGTGTGGGAATGGGGGTGGGGCCAAAACTCCAGTGGTTGAGGGTATCTTGCAGGAAGTCTCTGATGACTGTTGCTTCTCAGGGCTGTTTTGAGGAACACAGTTGATTGAAGACTCTCCCTTCCTCTGTATGTTTACCCTGAAATGTGTCTCAAGTTGGTAGCACCTACTTTCTCTGTGGCAAGAGCTCCTTTTTTTTTTTTTTTTTTTGATAGGGAGTTTTGCTCTTATGCCCCAGGCTGGAGTGCAATGGCGTGATCTCGGCTCACTGCAACCTCCGCCTCCTGAGTTCAAGCGATTCTCCTGCCTCAGCCTCCCAAGTAGCTGGGATTATAGGCATGTGCCACCACACCTGGCTAATTTTATGTTTTTAGTAGAGACAGGGTTTCTCCATGTTGGTCAGGCTGGTCTTGAACTCCCGACCTCAGGTGATCTGCCTGCCTTGGCCTCCCAAAGTGCTGGGATTACAGGCGTGAGCCACCGCACCGGGCTGGCAAGAGCTCTTTTAACATACTATGCCATGAAGGAGAGTTCATGGGTGTTCTTGTTCAGAATGCAACTCTGGATCGTATAAGGCCTTTCTTGTTTTTCTCATTTTTAATCCAGGTCTTGGAGTTTTGGTTATTTTCTTCTGGGGGAAAGATTTTGCCACTTCCCTTCCTGTTCTTTTCCTTGCTAAGCAAACTGGTTTTTGAGATTCCGTTTGCTAACAGCTTTCATTCAGGCTCTGTGGTTTTTAGATTGATGTTCCAGAAGAGGCTTGGTCCCATGAAGTAAGTCAATGTTACTTTTCACTATGGCAGTTGCTCTCCCAGCCCCTGTCTTGCGGATGCTCTTCCGAAGTGCATTTGGAAGGCTGCGTCTCGCTTCCATTTCTTTCTCTTCCAGAGTCACCTTGCTTAAGGGCTGTGATTTTCTGCTAATGCTCTGCATGAGTGGGCTGTGCAGATGCACGTTGATCTTTTCAGGAGAGTGTTGGCCTTATGCAGTGGATAGTCACCTTCTTTCAGCGGATTTACTGTTCTTCCAGATGTTGCTTGTCTGATACAACCTCCCTCTGTGTTGCCTGGAAGTAGTCTGTGCTTTTCCCCATCATGGTTAACGAAGACTCTGTCGAAGTCATCTGCCGTCTGACTTGTCCGAAACTGTGTCTCATCGCTCTACTGGCCTGCCGGCGCTTCTCATGGTGTAATGTGATCTTTTAGATGGGCGTTTTCTTGTGTCTTGCAAAAAAGGACATGGAGGACTCTCTGAGATTGCTCATGGCATTTGATGAAGTCATTAAAGGCAGCATGTTGGTTTCTCTGTTTCTCTTTTTCCTGTAGGAATTCTGAAGCCTCATGTGTTCTTCCCGAGCCAGACAGAAGTTAGATCCACGTGTCTCCTTTGCATTTAAATTCTTTAAAGCTCTTCTTACCTTAGAAAGTGTTATTAAATCTCACATATGGTTTTGTTATATTTCACATTGTCTCTGTTTTCTCTTGTTAACTGGCTCCAAATTAACAAGCAGTTTCCTCACTAGAATTTAATTTGATATGTTGAAGCCCAGACTCTTCCTTTGACTGATTTCTGTTTTGTACTCTGATGGCCTCAAAGAATGTCCCTGAACTTTTGATCTTTTTGTTCAGAGTCAAACAGTATATTTAGAATGTCTCCCATTCCTTCAGATACATTTTGAGGATTCAGTTGACAGTCTCTGGGGCAGGAAGGAAAACATCCCCCCAGCCTCTCAGCTGAAGCCCAGGCACTAGGCTGGGTCTGCAAAAGCTGGGGGTGAGGTCTTTGGGGAAGCCTCTTAGATTGGTGAGGAGGATATGGTCCCCCTCTGCCTCAGGTTTGGATGGCCTCTGTTCTGGGGGCTCCCTTCCAACAGAGAGGGCTGTTCCTTGGCCTGAGGGGCAGCAGCTGCAGGAGAGGAGTCTGAAGTGGGGGTCTCCTGTGTCCCTAGCCTTTTTCCGGGTGAGCTGCAGCCTCCAGAGGGAAGTGGCAAAGGCTGTGGTCCCTGCAGCACCCTACTACATATAGTAGCAACAAAGATGATTAAATACTTAGGGATAAACTTAATAAGAAATGTGCAAAATCTATAAAGGGAAAATTTTACAACACTTCTGGAAAACACTAAAGCACGTGGAGTGGGAAGACATCCCTTGTTTTTGGCTATCATAACTCAACATCAAGATGCCCTTTTCCCCCCAAGTTGACTTATAAATTGAATGCCATTCCTATAAAAATACCAATAAGCTTTGTTTCATGGAGTTGATAAGCTGATACTAAAGTTTCTATGGAAAATAAACATGCTGAAATAGCCAGGGAAAAACTGACCAAAATGGGGGCCTCACCCTATGGGCTGTTAAAACAAACTATAAAGCCTCTGTAATTAGAACAGTGTGGCATTGACCACATGAACAGACAGACAGACCAATGGAATAGAATAGAAAGTACAGAACAGACCTAAGTACGAATGGGAATTTAGTATATGATAAAGGTGGCATGTGAAATCTCAGAGGCAATGATAGACTATTTATTTATTTATTTATTTATTTTTTGAGATGGAGTCTTGCTCTGTCATCCAGACTGGAGTGCAGTGGCACGATCTCAGCTCACTGAAACCTCCACCTCCTGGGCTTAAGCGATTCTTGTGCCGCATCCTCCCAAGTAGCTGGGATTACAGGTGTGCACCACCATACCTGGCTAATTTTTGTATTATTTATTTATTTATTCTGGTAGAGATGGGGTTTCCCCATGTTGGCCAGGCTGGTCTGAAACTCCTGACCTCAAGTGATTCACTCATCTTGACCTTCCAAAGTGCTGGGATTACAGACATGAGCCACTGTGCTTGGCCCAGACTTTTTAATAAATGGTACTGGGATAATGGGGTAGTCTTTTTTTTTTTAAAAAAAGATAAAATTAGATCTATTGTTCACAGCATATATAAGAATAAACTCAAATGGATCATGAATTTAAGTGTAAAAAATGAAAACATGTAAGTACTAGGGGGAAAAAGTCCGTGGGTGAATTCCTCTTAACCTCAGTGTAAGGAAAGGATTTGAAAGCATCACTCAGAATCCAGAAGCAATGAAATAAAATTCTGGCAAATTGGACATGGCAAACCAAACCAAACCAAACCAGACAAAACAAAAAACCCAAACCACAGAAACCAAAGTAACTGAAAAATTGAGAGAAAATATTTGTAACACATACCACAGACAAAGGGCTAATCTCCCTTATATATACAGAACTCTTAAAAATTGAGGGACAGAGGATGAAATACTCCACAGAAAAAAGAGAAAAGACTTGGACAATTCACACACACATTAAAATGGTCCTCAAACATATGCCAGTTACTGGGACAGTGTTGTGGGGACAAAAATAAGTAGACACAGTTCCTTCCCCCAAGGAGTTTCCAGTTCACTGGGAAAGTCACAGAAACTAACTTGAATGGGGACAGAGTATGGTTAAATTTCAAGGGGTAGGCTGGGTGCGGTGGCTCATGCCTATAATCCAAGCACTTTGGAAGCTGAACCAGGAGGATCACTTGAGCCCAGGAGTTTGAGACCAGCCTGGGCAACATGATAAGACCGCATCTCTACAAAAAATTAAAAAACTAGCCAGGTGTGGTAGTGCGTGTCTCTAGTTCCAGCTACTTGTGGGGGGGTGAGGTGGGAGGATCACTTGACCCAGGGAGGTTGAGGCTGTAGTGAGCCATGATCGTGCCACTGCACTCCAGCCTGGATGACAGAGGGAGACCCTGTCTCAAAAAATAAATAAAAACGGGTGGGGTTGGATTTCACCTGAGCCTGCTGGAGGGCAGGGAGGAGCAGTTGGTGGGGTGGAATGTCAGGGAGTGAACAATCTAAGAGGCAGGTGAAAGTGGTTCTGAGCAGAGAGGACCATTGGGGGATGAGGCAGCTGTTGGAGAGGGATGGGTCAAGGGATGGAGGGTAGCACTGTGAGCTGAAATAGGTGAATTGGGAGGGATGCTGGCTAGAGAAGAGGTAAGTCCAGCACTTACTGTGCTTGGGGCTGTGAGAGGCACCTGAGGACAGA
Source organism: Homo sapiens (assembly GCF_000001405.40). Classification (NCBI taxonomy): domain Eukaryota; kingdom Metazoa; phylum Chordata; class Mammalia; order Primates; family Hominidae; genus Homo; species Homo sapiens. The sequence continues at coordinate 71,415,867 of NC_000016.10, read as the reverse complement.
TGCCTGTCCTCCAGGATCCCACAGTCCTGGGTGGAAACCAGCAGGGCCTTGATGAACTAGACTTCCGGAGAGAATGAACTCAGTACTGTAGTGGAGGGACCAAGGGCAAGCTGCCCAAGGCTCAGACTAGAGTTGGGGCTGGTTGGGTTTCAGGTGAAGACAGATGTCCATGTGGATCTAGCCCACTGGTCTCTGGACATGTGGTTATGTTGGTCAAAGGAGAAGACCAAGGCTCAGAACAAAGACTTGAGATTTGCCCCCTCAACTGTCAGAGAAGGAGTTATGGAGGGAGATCGTGGCCTGAGGGTCATGGAGTGGCCAGGGGAGAGTCTTGGTCAGTCACACATTGGAGGCCATGAGAAAGAGTAGTTAGGAGAGGGGTGCTTGAGCCAGTAATCAGATTCAAGTCCCTGTTATGCTCATGTGCCAGCTCTGCCCTTGAGTTTTCTCATCTTTCAATTGGGGAATGGGGCCGGGTGCGGTGGCTCACACCTATAATCCCAGCATTTTGGGAGGCCAAGGCGGGTGGATCATGAGGTCAGGAGTTTGAGACCAGCCTGGCCAATGTGGTGAAACCCCATCTCTACTAAAAATACAAAAATTAGCCAGGCATGGTGGCGGGCGCCTGTAATCCTTGGGAGGCTGAGGCAGGAGAATCGCTTGAAACCAGAAGGTGGGGAGGTTGCAGTGAGCCAAGATCATGCCACTGCACTCCAGCCTGGGTAACAAGAGCAAAACTCTGTCTCAAAAAATAAATAAATAAATAAAAATTTAGAGAATGAATCAAGGCATGACTGTAGGACCAAACGAGTTCACATATGCAAAGTGTTTTAATATGGTCAAAGCATTCAATAAATGCTGCTGTTAATTAGGAGGCAAGAAGAGATTGAAGGGAAATCTCAAGGGGCTCCAGAGACTACTACGATGGTGCAAAGTCACAGAAGCCCTGGGAAAAGCAGGTAGAATGGAGTTGCCATGACATTGAGCCTCACCTAGATGCCAGGTAGGTAACACGCATTATCACAGGTGAGTCTCACTGTAATCTCACAAGGGAATTTCTATGGTCATCCCCACCCCACAGTGTAACAAGCTCAAGGTCCCAAGAGTATGACCTACGTTTCCTGTTCTGGACCTTAAGTTTTATTTATTTATTAATTATTTTACTTTTTTTGAGATGAGGTCTTGCTCTGTCACACAGCCCAAAGTGCAGTGGCACGATCCTGACTTACTGCAACCTCCGCCTTCCAGGCTCAAGCAATCTTTCTACCTCAGCCCCCCAAGTATCTGTGAGTACAGGCATGTGCCACCACACTCGGATATATATATATATATATATATATATATATTTGTGTGTGTGGAGATAGGGTTTCACTAGGTTGCCCAGGCTGGTCTCAAACCCCTGGTCTCAAGTGATCCGCCTGCCTCGGCCTCCCAAACTGTTGGGATTCCAGGCGTGAGCCACCGTGCCCAGCCTGGACCTTAAGAATGAAATCATCCTTGGGTTAAAGGCTGGTCTCCCTTAGAGATGGTTGTTTGCAGGTCACCTTCCAGGGGCTAATACTCTGGCAAATGCTGGTGACCTTGAGATGAATGAGCCTTGATCCGTGTACTCAGTGAGCTCTCAGGATGAGGGTTCCTGTAGCCTCTCTCTTCATTGCATCATCTCCAAAACCTGACAGGACTGATGCTGGAAGGTCTTTCCAAGGCCCAGACTCCTCTCCTGGCTCAAACACTTTCCATGGCTCTCTGTGGCCTCCAGCCCAGGGTCTGAATTGGTTCTACCTGGCCAAGTGCTCTGCCTGCTTTTAGGGTCTGGTCTGTGCCGCGAGCCCCTGTCCCATCCCAGCTTTATCTCCCACAACTTCCCAGCCCTTACCTATGCCCTGGTCATGTGGATCCTTTCCTGTATATCTATACCCTTCATTCATCTTGGTCTTTTGGTCTGAAATGCAGCCCCCTCCTCCACTGGCCCCTGAAACCTAACCCACCCTCCTCCTGCACTGCCTGGACTGCAGGAAACCTTTCCAGGCTACGTATCCAAACTAGTCTTTTTCTCCCTCCTCTGTTTTGCTAGATTTAGAGATGGTTCTAGTACGTGACTCAAGGTAAGAGGTTGTGTTTGACTGATACCAAGTGCGTCTGTCCAGAGTTAGATATGAGGATAGAAGTTCCTTGAGCCAGGGATGGTATCTTAGCTATCCCTGGGATCCCCACAGGACACGTGCTAACAGGGAAATTCAAAGACCCCACCAAACTCCTGCCACCATTTCCTGCCCTCTTGTGCCCAGGCCCACCTCTGGGTTGGAGGAGCAGGGTGCTGTGGGAGAAGGTGCACTGGTCCTGGAGTCAGGGCCTTCAGGTTTGTGCCATCCCACTGAATACATGGCCAATGACCTTGGGCAAAGGGACTCCTGCCTCGGGGCTTTAATCTGTGCATCCACAGACTGTACATATGGCATTGGACCAGGACCTCCCTAGTGCCTTTTTGGTAAAGAGGACCGTAAGTTTCTTAGACTTTTAATATGCAGATGAATTCTCTGGAGAATCTGTTAAATTGCAGATTCTGACTCAGTAGGTTTGGGGCAGGTCCTTATTTCTAACAAGCTCCCAGGTGACCTTGATGCTGGTGGTCCGTGAGCCACGCTTTGCATTAACAAGGGTCTAACCCAGTGATCCTCAGCCCTAGCCCGATAGAAGAATGGCCTGAAAGGTCGCTCTTTCCCTCCTCCACTGCCTTCTGCATTTTAAATTAAAGTTTCCCTTGGGAGATTGTAAAAAGATGTTAGGATGGCACCCCAGGGCCATTAACTCAGCATTTGTAGGGGTGGGAACTTGGCATCGGTAGTGTTTAAAGCTCACCAGGTGAATCCAGTGTGCAGCCAGGACTGGGAACTGATTTACCTCGTGGGTGGAGAACTTTAGCAAATGGTTTTCAGGCGAAGCTTTTTGTCTCTGCTGCCCCCTTGTGGTCATCTTGTTCACTCACAGTCAGAGCGCAAGCCCTGTTCCCAAGAGAGATGGGAATCGCAGAACAATTGGGAAAATAATGTCGCTGCCCATGGTGGACGGGCTTCCCTGAGACCCCAGCACTCACCCTGACATGGGTGGGCTCCTCCTCTGCCGTGATGCTGAAGACGATTCCTTAAACAAGGGCCTCGCTCCCAGTGTCCTGGGGGTAGCCCACATGAGTAGGAAAAACTCTGGGTGGGCCAGGAACTGGAAACAGCAGGGGGCCCTGTAGTCGGCAGCTGAGATAGAGGTTGGATAGAGCAGGTCCAGGAGAAACTTCCTAGGAGAAGGTGGGCGCTGAACCCAACCCTCAGCTCTCCTGGGCGGGAGTCAAGAGAAGTCTTAGATGCAGACGTGAGGTTTGGGTTGCTTGGCGGTCAGCCAGCAGGGGGCACTCTGGCGCCACGTAGAGTTCCCAGGTCGGGTCTCCTAGTCTTCGTCGTCTTGACTGGGAACTGTCCACCCCGGTGCAGGATGCCCCAGGTGCAGTGGAGCAGCTCAGAGCCCCAGGGCGTGACTGTCCGCAGCTGGCTGGCTTCCCTCTGTGCCAGGTGCAGGGTCAAGGATATCCCCATGCACAGAGCCTGCCGTCAGTGGTATGAGGAGTATGAAGGTTCTGATGCTGCTGCCCATTCAGAAATGCAAAATGGCCCAGTACCTTGAGCACAGGTCTAGTCCCTACTGTGCCCTGCCTGGCTGTGTGATCTTGACACATTCATCTCCCCTTTGTGGGCCTGCTTCTCCCTCATCCAATGCATCCCCCAAGCCATCCTGGGCTGTGGTGCTGCTCCCCAGACAACAGGGAGTTGGACTCATGGTTTTGGGGGGCTCACATTGCCCTTAGGGGGCCAGAGTCAAGGGAATCACCTTTTTTTTTTTTTTTTTTTTTTTTTTTTTGCCTTCTGCTGTAGGGCCTGGTTCTGGGCTGGACTTTCCCCATCCTCTTCCTGAAAGCCACCCTTGTTCAATCATGGGGACAAGATACAGTCCAGGAAAGGAGCTAGGGCCCTCCTAAGAGATGATCCCGAATAGGGCCCAGCTGTGGACAGGATGATCTCTTTTCCAGCCGGGCGCCATGGTTCATGCCTGTAATCCCAGCACTTTGGGAGGCCGAGGTGGGAGGATCACTTGAGGTCAGGAGTTCGAGATCAGCCTGGCCAACACAGTGAAACTCCTTCTCTACTAAAAATACAAAAAATTAGCTGGATGTGGTGGTGCATGCCTAGAATCCCAGCTACTTGGGAGGCTGAGGCAGGAGAATCACTTGAGCCTCTGGGAGGTGGAGGTTGCAGTGAGCCAAGATTGCGCCTGGGTGATAGAGTGAGATTCAGTCTCAAAATAAAATAAAAACGCCAAATCCCTTTTCTGTTAGTTGTCAAACACACTAGACATCAGGACACGGTGGTCCTGGCTACATGACTGCCTTGTAACAGTGAGAAATATCCAGAGATGGGATGCATGTTAGAGTTGAATGGGGTTTGTCCCGGGGAGAGAGGGGAACCAAAGGAATAGCAAGAGGGTGGGGAGCTTAGCTTTAAAATAATGTTTTGGCTGGACATGGTGGCTCATGCCTGTAATCCCAGCACTTTGGGAGGCCGAGGTCAGGAGTTTGAAACCAGCCTAGCCAACATAGTGAAACCCCATCTCTACTAAAACTACAAAAATTAGCTGGGCATGGCGGCACATGCTGTAATTCTAGCTACTTGGGAGGCTGAGGTACGAGAATCGCTTGAACCCAGGAGGCAGAGGTTGCAGTGAGCTGAGATCGTGCCACTGCATTCCAGCCTGGGCGATGGAGTGAGACTCAGTCTCAAAAAAAAAAAAAATGTTTTACTCATTTAAAAAATTGGTCTGGTGTACCTACGGCAAATGGGTGGGACTTGCTAAATCTGGTTGGCTGTTGCTTTCTGAAACACAGATTTTAGACTTGAATATATGCATTTGCAAACTCTAAGACATATGCGCCTCTGAACACAGTCTGGGTGAATGCAGTTTGATTGTCACAGGCTTCCGACAGAGTTGCAGGTGTTGTATTGCGTGGTTTTCAACAGCAATCAGACCAAAAGGGTGACTACTAGCATGTGAAAACAGAGGATAAGCTTCCTGGGCTCAAACTCCTGAGCTGGAAGTCAGTTCCAGGCCATAGTGTCCAGCCAGAGGAGGACAGCAAGATCGACTCCTGCGTGACCAGTAGCTCACCTGGTCCAAATGTAGCCTCTTACTATAAAACAAAGGCAGAGAGAGACTGAGGGAACTGGAAAGAGGTTCAATGGAGGAAAAATAAGGCAACCTCAGGGATTCACTTTTACTCTCATTTCATTAAGTTCCAGATATTGGCAGACTGCTGGCCTCCTGAGGAGCACAGGAAGGGGCCTGGCAGACTGGTGATCCTGGTTGGAGATGAAGAGGGGCTGATTAAGAGGAGCTGACTGAGGCTGGGAGGTTTCCTGCCCGGGAGTGGCGAGCCTGTCAGAGCTGCACCTGGGCCTACCTGTACCTAGGAGAGATTCAGGGTATGGTTGGCTTCCCACAAACACCTGGGGCTCGAGGAGTGCGCTGCCTCTGTTCCACACCTGATGTGATCCACATCCACGCCCATGCACCTGGCCAGGAGAGTGACTGTCACTGATGAGGCAGTGTGATAGTACCTCTGATGGTTTCTCTGAGATCAGCCTTTGCACTTCACCTGTGTGGGCCAGATGGAAAGCCAGGGTGGAGACGGAGCACCCTGGGTCAGCTGGGATCCCACCGTGCGATTCCACGGCATGGGGTGTCAGAACCTGGAGTGCCGGTGGTGGCCAGAGCAGGGGTGGGGTGGCATTCCTGTGTCTCTGCCACTCACTGGCTGTGTCACCACAGAAAAGTCATCTAAACCTCTCGGTGCCCCAGTCTTGTTCTCTGTCCATGGCAATTCGGGTAGACCTGACCCGGTTGGATGGCTCTGAGGTTTCAATGAGGTATCATACATGCAAATGGTTTTTTTGGAGCCAGGTTCTTTTTATTTAAAAAGATTTTTTAAAATGGGAATACTCGCTAAAAAGAGTACCTGACCTCAGCTGGGCACAATGGCTCACACCTGTAATCCCAGCACTTTGGGAGGCCAAGGCGGGTGGATCACGAGGTCAGGAGATGGAGACCTGTAGTCCCAGCTACTCGGGAGGCTGAAGCAGGAGAATCGCTTGAACCCAGGAGGTGAGATTGCAGTGAGCTGAGATCACGCCACCGCTCTCCAGCCTGAGTGACAGAGCGAGACAAAAAAAAAAGAAAAAGGAAAAGAACCTGACTTCAGTATCTTTGGGTGTCTGGGATTGAGGAGTGTTCCTGAATGGGCATCAGGGATTGATGAACACTTGTGTAAGAGTTAAAGAAAGAGGAAAAAAACATGAAATTTTTAAAGACAGGTTTACTTTAGATAAAACCTGGAGGGGCTTCTGGCCGATTTTGGTCAGGGGCGCTTTCTGTTACAGACTAAAAGTATATATTGGTTTTAGGGTGAGGGTCTTATCACAAGCTTGGAATGTTTTTGGGTCAGGGAGAAGTCTATAGCCGGGTCGGAATGTTTCTGGGCAGAGAGGAGGTTATCTTGGGGCTGACGTCTTTCCGGCAGGAGGGAGGTTAGTTATCTTGGGGCTGGCATCTTCCCAGCCAGAGGGGGGTTATCTTGGGGCTAGCATGTCTCTGGTTGGGGAGGAGTTTGGAATGTTTCTGGTCGGAGATGTTATTTGTAGTTTCTGGTCATGCCGACCTTAGCCATTAGGCTGATGCCTTTTGGCTTTAGGCGGTTTTTGATTAAGATGAATTTTAAAATAAGGTGCTTGTCCACAATGGCAAGGCCCCTGCTCTGTCACCTTGCCCCCCAAAATTGCAAAGCTTTGTTTCTGTGTATGCATGTATAAATATTTTTTTTTCCCTTAGGAGCAAAGGCAATAGCTTAACTAAGATGTTCAGAGGGATCATGACATAAAGACTGGATGCCTGGGGTTGGGGTCAGGGGCGTGTTTCAGGTGCCTTTATTTTATACCAGAGTTTCCCAACCTGGGGAATCTTGCCATGTGGGGCCAAATCATTCCTTGTTGTTGTGGACTGACTTGTGCATTGCAGGGTGATTAGCAGCATCTCTGGCTCTACCCACTAGATACCAGTAGCACCCTCCACCCCATCCCCACCTCGTTTCACCAATAAAAAATGTCTTCAGACATTGCTCAATGTCTTTGGGGAGGTGAGAGTGGGACAAAATTGCCCCCAACTGAGAACTGCTGCTTTGTGATGTTCCTAGTGGAGTTGAGCCCTCGATAAGTGGTTGTTATTTGCTGTGTTGAAGTTTGGCAAGATTTCTCTTCTGGGCTTTATTGATCTCTTCCTATTTCTGTGCACTGCTTAAAGGGAAAGTCGACGACTACAGGGCTTCCAAACTGCAGCCCCATTGGATATAAAGTACGAGTTCCTTAATCTGGTAGGGCAGCCTGATCAACTGGAACTTGGTTCTTACTGTGTTTCTCGTTATGCAAACCTTAAGGATTCCAGCCTGGACAACATAGTGAGACCCTGTCTCTACAAAAAAAAAAAAAAAAAAAAGAGAGGAAAAAAAAAAAGAAACGAAATTCAGCAGAGCCCAGTGGCATGCCCCTGTAGTCTCAGCTATGCAGGAAGCTGAGGTGGGAGGATCACTTGAGCCCAGGAGTTCAAGGTTGCAGTGAGCTATAATTGTGCCACTGCACTCCAGCCTGGGTGACAGAGTGAGATCCTGTCTCTAAACAAACAAACAAACAAACACCCTAAAGGTTTTTGAGAGCATTAAGTGCAACATAAACCTTTCAGTCCTTTACTATTAAAATATGAGCTACAATTAAAATGAAACAGTTAATTTTGTGGGGAGCAAGATCTTGAGATAATCTTCATTTGTGGTGAATACATTTCTGTTTAACCACAAGCCTCAGAATTAGTAGTTCCTCATTCAGAGGAAAGATCAGAGAAGGGTCTTATGGAGAAGGACCAGCAGGAGACAGAGGTGGAAGAGTTGGATGCATTTGAAGTCTCCACTATTTAGGAGGTGGCCTAAAAGATCCTGGGGAGTGGGTGGGCACCTCCTTTTGGCACCCCGGATGTGAGGAGGGTCTCCAACACTGATTTTGGCTGCTGCTTTGTTGCACCATCCTCTATGGATGGTTCGGCTCTTCTCTTGTTTGGCTTCTTATACACCTGCTCTAAAATCTCCCCAGGAATTCCATACAATTCACAGAAGTGTTGCTGCTCTGGAGTGAGAAATGTTCCTCCAGATTTTGGAGAAACTTTCTTTCTGAATGTCTCCAGAGCTTGCTTCGGAGCAGCCCTTCAGTCACAAGTTTAGCAGCATAATAATTCCTCCTTGCTGAGGTTGTCCCAGGAATGACACAGAGCACCAGAAGCAAGCTTTGGAAACACAGCTGGTACAACAAGGAGCGCCTCTATGCCTTGGCGTAGAGAAGCAGGTTCTAGTTTTGCCCTGAGTTGGTTGATGGCCCCAGGTATCACATGGAATATCTTTCTATTACAAGAATCAGCATGGAGTTGAGCTCTAGGACAAACGTCTCAATGGTGTTGGGCATGGCCATTGGAGCCTCCTTTCTGATCATGTAGACCTGGGCCATCATTTGTGCAGCTGGTCCTGTGAACTCGGTGCTTAAGATTCCAATTAGCACCTTGCGATAGCATGGTTGTGCCACAGAAAAAGGTAACATAGGTGGAGATGTCCAGAATTGGGCGAGGTGTGTGCACCGTAGAAATGCTGCTGGCTGTTTTCAAGGCATTGAAGAAGCTCTCTGCAGAGGTGGCTATTATCCCCGGACTCTCTAAATAATGATACTAGAATGTCGGTTGCAGCATGATGAGACCAAATCAGTGTGGAAAGTCATCACCGTTTCAGATATTCTGGTTTCCTGTGAGTGTTGTGGTCACAGTGCTGGGGTTTCAGATTTGGAGTCAATTGCAAACACGCCTCCAAGGATACCTCTCTTAAAGCCAGGCACGCTGCACAGAGGATTGTGGTGCAGATTATCCTAGCAGTGTTGAGTCCTCTCATTTGCTATGTATACAGACAGCATAGCCAATGTTGAAGCACGTCCAGCCTCCAGCCTCCACAGATGGGACCCCAGTCTCCTGAATCTAACTCAGGAGAACCAGGGAGGGAGGCTGAGGAGCTGTTGATTGGGCTGACACTGGATTCGCCATCATTTTGGGAACCGGGTTGGTTCCTCTTTGATACTTTGACACGGTACCTTTTGTGTACTTACCTGCAGAAGTGAAGGTTGCAGCAAAGCACAGATGCAAGGTCAGGAGAGACCCCAGGTGAGCCCTGGGACAAAGTGGAGGGGCTTCCCCAGCAGGCGCAGTCCCCAGTTGAGGTTGAGCTCCCCAGTGAGGGATGAGGACTTTGTGGCTTGGCTCGTGATTGGTGGTGGGAGGAAATAGTTTGGTGGCAGTCTTTTACAGTGGTCAAAAAGATTTTTTTTTTAATCTCAAACCTCAGATTATTGTCTGCATATACCTGCTCAGGCAAAAGGAAGTCCTTATTTAGGGAAAGCACAGATTGTGTTTTTTTCAAGAAGGTTTAAGAAGAACCCTAAGTGGGAAGAAGAAGAGGCTTAGGAATTCCTCCTGGTGGGTGGTGGTCTCCCTTGTCATGGTGTGATCATGGAAATCATGGAAACCATGGGCAGCCTCTGATGCCCAGCTCTTTAGAGGAGAAGGGTCTCTTGTATGTATTGGTGGGGCCTCAGCTGTATCTAATAGGAGGTAGGTACTGCACTGGAGGCCTCAGATGGCCCTAGGAACTAGTCTTGAGGCCTCCAGTCTACACTGGGCCCCTTCAGCAAAAAGAGAAAGACCTCACAGGTTGGCTGTTGGTGGTGGGAGGAAGACCTCACCCATGTGGGTGTAGGGCCAGAACTCTGGTGGTCGAGGGTATCTTCTGGGAAGTCTCTGATGACTGTTACTTCTCAGGGCTGTTTGGAGGGACACAGTTGGTTGAAGAGTCTCTCTTCCTTTGTGTATTTGCCCAGAAATGTGTCTCAAGTGACTCTGTGGCAAGAGCTCTTTTTTTTTTTGTTTTTTTTTTTTGTTTTTTTTTTTGAGACGGAGTCTCGCTCTGTCGCCCAGGCTGGAGTGCAGTGGCGGGATCTCGGCTCACTGCAAGCTCCGCCTCCCAGGTTCACGCCATTCTCCTGCCTCAGCCTCCCAAGTAGCTGGGACTACAGGCGCCTGCCACTACGCCCGGCTAATTTTTTGTATTTTTAGTAGAGACGGGGTTTCACCGTTTTAGCCGGGATGGTCTCGATCTCCTGACCTCGTGATCCGCCCGCCTCGGCCTCCCAAAGTGCTGGGATTACAGGCGTGAGCCACTGCGCCCGGCTGGCAAGAGCTCTTTTAACACCCTGTGCCATGAAAAGGGGTTTGTGGTGTTCTTGTTCAGAATGCAACTTGGAATTGTGTCAGGCCTTTCTTGTATTTCTCACTTTTTATCCAGGTCTTGGATTTTCTGTTTGTTTGCTTTAGATTCTTCAAGCAGCCTCTGCTCTTGCCCCTTGCTGATCAGGTGTCTGTCCACCAGTGGGACGTTTTGCCAGTGACCTTCTTGGAGGCCTGTGAGGGTGTACTTTCATTATCCAGATGAGCATTGATTTGATGCAGGGAGCACTCAGCCTCCTTTGCTGCGATACTTACACGGTCACTCCTGCCCGGCTGACCCATCCTCTCACTCGGGCCTGGAAGGCCGCATTGTTTTCAAACCTCCCTCTTTCTTCCTGACTTTGTTTGCATTGCAGAACCATGACTTGCTGTAGACGGCGTCCTGAAGGCTTGTGTGAGGTTCCTCTTGAATTTTCAGGAGAGCGTTGGCTGTACCTGGGCCTCCCTTGTTCTCCCGGCTGTGGCTCAGTGACACCTCTTCTTTCCATCTGGAAGGGAAGAGGACTGCCTCTTTTAAACCACGGTGGACAGTGTTTTGCCCTCTGGGTTCATCATGAATGGATGTGTCAGACTTTGTTCTCACCCTGAGATTCAACTGCTTTCTGACTTGTGCTTTGGATGCTGGGGAGGGTGAGGCAGGCAAGATGAGGGCAGTGAGTGATAGCAAATGGCACCAAAAATTAGGGTATTGACCCACCAGCTCCTGTCTCTCATTGGTTGTGTTGGATATAAAATACTCCAGGAATAAATGCTCAGTGCCGGGAAGTAAAACCACACGCAGGCAAAAGTTTAATCCTCTCAGCAAGGCAATTTACTTCTGCAGAAGGGTGTCACTTGTGTCAATCAAGATCCCAAGTGCACACAGAACAAAGGAGACCAGGGGGTTTTTATCTTTAACACAGTCCCTATCTCTGTGTCACTCCCCCAGGAGCTGGGGTTGGACCACACAATCTGAGCTGACCCGACTGGCTACTTGTACATATTTTCCTAAATATAGCAGAGGAGGGGGACATGAGGTACAGAGGTGGAGCTTGTGAGACGTGCAGTTTCTGGGGAACAACTGGTACAGGTAACCAAGGGAACAGATGTGAGTTATTGATTAGAGCTGATGGGAAGGATTAGGCTGTTTACGGTAACTAGGGCCAAGGAAAAACAAAGTTGAGTTTGAGAACAAAGGATAAGGAAGTTAACAGGCTAAACCTTTTGAAGAGAAACTCAGAAAGATTTATTGTATCTTACAGTTGAGACATGCTCTGGGTGAGGGGGCCTCCTCTCCAGGATGTGTGGCCTCCCTGCCCTCTTGGGCCATCTCTTTCCCCTGCCATACTTTTGCCTGTGTCTCTGCAGCTTCTTAACAATGACTGTGGCCATGCTTTGAACTACTTGGTTCTTGATTAAATATCCTGTTTTCTGAGCAAATATCCTGACTTCCGTGATTTTCATAAAACCAGAGGTTAAGGAAAGTCACAGTGGAAAGGGAGTCCATTGCGGCCTCCTCCTCCAGGACTCCCAGGGCCGCCTGGTGAGTGAGGCGTCTCTCCCCAAGGTGGTGTCTCTGGGCACAGCTCACAGCCCTTAGGCCTCTGCCCTCTGGGTGCCCACAGCAAGCCCTGGCTGACCCTCCATCCTATCCCACCGTCCCTGCCTTGAGTGACCAAGGACAACTGCAGCAGGGCCAAGGGCTCTTGGGATTTAGGGTATAGCTCTGTGGTCAGGCAGGACTCTTTAAAACTTTAATTTTTAAAACTCATATCTAAAACCCTTGCTTTTCCTTCACCTTGCATTTCAGTTTGCAATTTCTGTTCTGATGAATTTCAGCAAGCTCTTCGGGGAAGCTGATGAGATTCTAGGTTGCTTTCAGAGCAGTTAGTGATGAGGCTGACGACGTCCCCTGCTCACAACAGGACATGTTAATGGGTCCCAGGTTGGAGATAAACTCTTGTCTCCACATTCAAGATGGGGCAGGGCTGGCTTCAGGCCCTGAGCTTGGTTTAATGCTCTGCTGCTGCCTTAATTATTAATTAAATGATTATTAATCATTTAATGTCTAATGACTTTTGAAGAAGAAGGCCCCACATCTTCTCTCAGCACTGGGACTTGCAAATCATTTCCCTGGTCCCAAAGAGGACAGTCCCAAGGCAGAAGCCTGTCCTGGGCCAATTGCTGGGGGCCATGAAGGCCACGGGGACCAGCTTGGCTGAGACAGAGGCTGGGCTTGAGGAGAGAGCAGAGGGGGATAGAGGGAAGATGACAAAGTGGAGACAGAGGGGCTTGCTTACCAAAGGGGATGGATAGGATGAGAGGCCGGCGTTTTGGGTGGGATTCCAGAGGGCAGGAGCATTGCTGTGATTTTTTGCCATCTCGCCAGACGGGGCTCATGTGTGCGGGCAGGGGTTGGGCTGCCTTTGTTCCTCACCTTACCCCTGGGTGTGAGTACAGCACAATGCACAGCCTGTACTAACGCTCAAAAAAAAAAAAGAAGTTGTCATATGACAGCTCGTGACAAAAAAATGTCATCTGAGCAATGTCACAGCTGCACCGTATGACAGTAAGGTGTGTTTCTTTGACAAGCAGCAAGTTTCCGGACAGGAGTGCTGGTTACACAGAAACCAGGGAAGTCGTTTGGTGTTGATGACGAGTGTTTATCTCCATTGCTGGCTTAAAGTGAAGGAGCATGTGCCCTTCGGTCAGTGTCGGTGGGATTGGACCCTGTGACTGCTCTGTGCCTTTGGAGAACCTTCTTCTCTGGGCTCCTGGCCCCTCATGCTGGCTTCTTCGTGTGTCGCTGCTGGGTTCATTGTTCCTCCCTCCCCATCACCCTGGGTACAGGGCTGTCTAATGCATGCACCTTGAACATGTGCCCTTACCAGGAAGAGGGTGTTGTGAGTCCTGCCATCCACTTCTGTCTCCTTCTGCCTGCGTCTGCATTGCTTGTCGTGCTTCCCATTTGGCCAGCGCTCCCGCTCTGTGCCTGCAACTGACCCAGTCCTTTAGTCAATGTCAGTGGCCTCTGATCAGTGTGCTCGCCTCGCCACTGGCCTTCCCTATCCTGCAATGCTGCTCCTTTGGTGACAGACTCACCCCTGCTCCTCACCTTGTGTGGGTTTGCTGGAGAAAATCCTCCCAGATGATGCTGGGAGCCCAGGGGAGGGTCTCTGGATGGCGTCAGCTCTGTCCTGGGGAACTGCAGCTGCAGCAGGGCAGGGGACCAAGGGGGCTGTTGTTCTGTGGGAGGGAGGGTGGAAGCCTCTGATGCAGAGGGTGAGTTAAGCACACTCCGCAGTACATGGTAGGTCACGATCAGGGGGTCTCTGTGAGGTCCCTCTCTTGTTTTATTCCCTTTGAATGAGATTTCTCACTCCTAGGCCTCCCTCTCCCACTGCAGGCATCGTTCCTCTTTGTCTTGGGTGCCTTTAGAAAAATGCTCTAACAAAGCACTGTGGCTGTTTTGCATGTAGGCACTTTTAATTCACATAGATGGTATCATTCTGTATTTCTTCTCCTCCTTCCTTTCTCAATCAATGCTACATTTTAAGGTATGACCTTCCTTTCTACGGTCTTAAAAACTTACTGAGATTTCCCAAAGAGCTTTTGTTTATGTGGGCTAATGCTATTGATGTTTACTGCATTAGAAATTGAAAGGAGACACTTAAAAGAATTCATTTGAAAATAGCAGTGATGGGCCCGGTGCGGTGGCTCATGCCTATAATCCCAGCACTTTGGGAGGCCGAGGCGGGTGGATCACCTGAGGTCAGGAGTTCGAGACCAGCCTGGCCAACATGGAGAAACCCCATCTCTACTAAAAATACAAAATACAAAATTAGCCGGGGGTGGTGGTGCATGCCTGTAATCCCAGCTACTCAGAAGGCTGAGGCAGGAGAATGGCGTGAACCGGGGAGGTGGAGCTTGCAGTGAGCCGAGATCACGCCACTGCACTCCAGCCTGGGTGACAGATTGAGACTCCGTCTCAAAAAAAAAAAAAAAAAAAAAAAAGGAAAGCAGTGATGGACTCATTGCATGTTAACATAAGTAACATTTTGGCATTATTATGAAAATTGTTTTGACCTCACAGAATTCCTGTCCTAGTTAACTGTTTGTTTTAGAATATGAAAGGGCACTGTGAAGGACAAAAATTGGAAAGTGAATTTTATTCTTTTTGTTTTATAATACCTGATTCTGGAAAGAAACTATGAAATGTATTACATTTTAGTAAAATCTGCTGTGGTTTCATGAGCTTGCCTCCTTGGTTACTGATGGATACCACTGCCTAGAACAGGAACGGTTATTCTGGATAGCAAAGATTCTGTGTCATACCAGAATACTTTATAGTGTTTTATGTTTAATTTGTAATGCCCTAGAATAGGACACAACAAAACTTCCTTGCTCATGAACAAGCTATACGTATGCTTCTTTGTTTATTTTACTTATTTTGCAGTTCATGCGTGCATAGGCTTTTTAAGAAATTGAGATCTTGTTCGCCTTTTTAAAGAGTACAGGTCAATGGTTTTTAGTATATCGCTAGGGTTTGCAAACAGCACCACCATTTACTTCTAGAACATTACAAAAGGAAAGCCCACGCTCATTAGCACACACTTCCTGTTACTCTCTCGCCACCCCTAACCCCTTGACAACCCCTGATCTACTTTCTGTTTCTGTAGATTTTCCCATTCTGGCCATTTCATATAAATGGAATTGTACAGTACGTGGTCTTTTATGTCTGGCTTCTTTCACTCAGCATAATGCTTTCAAGGTTCATCCATGTTGGAGCATGTATCAGGGCTTCGTTCCACTTAGGGCTGATTGACACTCCATTGTACGGGTATACCACATTTTGTTTTTCCATTCATCAGGTGATTAGCATTTAGATTGCTCCCACTTGTAGCTATCATGAATGATGCTAGGAACATTTGTGTGTGAGTTTTTATGGGGACGTATATCTTCAATACTCTTGGGTCTGTTCATTTTTAAATGCTTTCTTATCACTTAATTAAATGAGTCACCAAAGATTGTTTCTCAGCCACCCATGAGCACATATTAATCAAGCATCTAAATCTCTGACAACTCTTTAGATGTTGCCTTGCGAAATTAGACAGGAAAAAAAAAATGAAAAGGAATTTTCGGGATATCTTTTACACCTACAATAATTTCCCAGAGGAGCGTTGGAAAATCGCCGAGATTTGTTCTTCCACCTTATGAGAAGAGAGATGCTAGGTTTCTTTGATTGCGTTCCTATTATAAGATTTACATGAGAAGAATTGTCAGATTGGAAGAGATGCTCAGCCTTCCCCAGGTTAAAGTTATGTAGACAAAATGTTATTAATGAATTATTAAATATTTTAGAAAATGTGTGTTTTATGGGAAGTCCCTGGCGATTTGTCAATGCCCTCACCACGCAGAACTTCACCCTCAGGAAAAACACAGATCCAGACTGTTGTGAAATAGTTTAAAAGAATTCTTTTGAAAATAGCAGTGATGGACCCATTGCATGGTAACATAAGTAATATTTTGGCATTATTATGAAAATTGTTTCGACCTCGCAGAATTCCTGTCTTAATTGTCAGTTTGTTTTAGAATATGAAAGGGCACTGTGAAGGACAAAATTTGGAAAGTGAATTTTATTGATGTTGTTTTATGATACCTGATTCTGGAAAGAAACTATGAAATGTATTACATTTTAGTAAAATCTGCTTGCCTCCTTGTTTACTGATGGATACCACCTGAGAGAGAAGTTTACTCTCCTCCATTCTGACATTATTGGTTATAGTAATCAATTAACCACAGCTGCGGGGCGCGGTGGCTCACGCCTGTAATCCCAGCACTTTGGGAGGCTGATGCAGGCGAATCACAAGGTCAGGAGATCGAGACCATCCTGGCTAACACGGTGAAACCCTGTCTCTACTAAAAATACAAAAGATTAGCCAGGCATGATGGCGGGCGCCTGTAACCCAGCTACTCGGGAGGCTGGGGCAGAGAGTGGTGTGAACCCAGGAGGCGGAGCTTGCAGTGAGCCGAGATCGCACCACTGCACTCCAGCCTGGGCGACAGAGACAGACTCCATCTCAAAAAAAAAAAAAAAAACCACAGCTATGAAGTCTCTGTCATCTACAGATAGTGTTTGCTTTTCTCTGATGCTTGCTTGAAGGTTCTCCTCTAAGCTACAGGCTGCAGTTGGTGTCATCAACGAAAAAGAACAGTTTTAGAGCCTGGTGGTAAATGACTGGACCAGATACTTCCAACTGTCTGCATTTTATAGACTCGTGAGCAAGGCATCTGAACTGATATCACTTAAGCAGCTCTCAGATTGTAACAGTGGACTGAATCAGGATTTCTAGGACTCTTTTTTTTTTTTTTTTGACAATGATGTCGTTTATTTAAAATGTTTACTCCAAGAAATATATATAATAAGACAATTACAGCACTAAACCAGGCACCTTCGACCAAATCACAACCTCCTGTTTGATTCCCCTTCATGCTAAGCCTCTTTCAAATTCTTTTTCCTGAGCTGGAAGACCAGTTGGATGCCCACAGGGTCAGCGCCAAGCACATTCCCAGCTGGGCAACTGTGTACCTTTCTCTAGGAGTGCACGACACCCTTCCCCCACAACTCCTTGTTTTAAAGGATTTAACCCATTAGGAAGCCCATTTTTCAATCTAAGCCAGAAGGAGGTGCAGGACAAGGCAGTCTTCACTTTGAAGGTCCCTTTCCTGCTCCAGTCCCTGGGCTGGGGTTCTAGAAGAGGCTGGCTGCTGGGTTTACATGAGGCCACCGAAGATCTAAGTTCTAGGACTCTTTTTTAATCCACAAGCAGACGACTTCATGAAAGCAGAGAATGCGGATCCAAGATCCAGTGGAACAAGAATTTATTTCATGGGACTGCATGAGGTGCTGTGGGAATTTCATCATAGTTATTTCTTTAAACTCTTGTTAATGTTGTTTCAATGTTCTATTTTCAGGCTCTAAGAGGAAACCTTTTCTCTTCTTTGGCTCTCTGTAACCCACCACAATTTAGTGGACTCTGCTTTTATATACTGCAATACAGCATTTTAAAATGAGACTTGGCTCTGGCTGGTATGCAGGGGTACCTCATTGCGGTTTTAATTTGCATTTCCCTAATGGCTGTTGATGTTCATCATATTTTATGTGTTTGTTTGCCACTCATGTATCTTCTTCATCAAAGGGTTAGGAAGTAAGATTCTTTTTTTTTTTTTTTTTTTTTGAGACAGAGTCTTGCTCTATTGCCTAGGCTGGAGCGCAGTGGTGTGATGTTGGCTCGCTGCAGCCTCCACCTCCCAGGCTCAAGTGATCCTCCTGTTTCAGCCTCCTGAATAGCTGGGACTACGGGCACGAGCCACCACACCCGGCTAATTTTTTGTATTTTTAGTAGAGAGAGGATTTCGCCATGTTGGCCAGGCTGGTCTCGAACTCCTGACCTCGGGTTATCCACGCCTTGGACTCCCAAAGTGCTGGGATTACAGGCGTGAGCCACCGTGCACGGCTTAGGAAGTAAGATTCTGAAGGGCACTTTGATGCCATCTGTTCCAAGCTCCCCATTCTACAGATGGGGGACTTGAGATCCAAAATGAGATGTCTGGCCATTTTCCCACAGCCAACTGTGGTCTCTGAGTGGAAACCAAGGACAGATGTGGGGAGGACGGAGCACATTGAGCCAGGCCTCTGGGCAGTCTCTGGAGCCCCCGTCTCTTCGGCTTTTCTTCTGCCTCACTGTGGGATTGGTATGTGCAGGTCAGCTCAGCACAGCTGCTCCCTTGGCATACAGTTCGGAGGATTCACACCTGCTAAGCAGGAAAGAGTGTACCTAGTAGGCACCTTGTCTAAGGACTTCCAAACATGGAAGTACCTGAGTTCCTGTGAGCCCTGGGGCAGCTGCAGAACATACACCCAGAAGTAGAGGCAGCATCTTCTGATCCGGAGGTCAGAAGTCCAAACTGGATCTCACTTGGCTAAAATCAAGGTCTTGGCAGGGCTGTGTTCCCTCTGGCGGCTCCAGAGGAGGATCTCTTTCCCTGCCTTTTCCAGCTTCTAGACGCCACCTCTTCCATCTTCAAAGCCTGTTATGGCCGGTGGAGGATTTCTTCCATTGCGTCACTCTGACCCTGACAATTCTGCCTCCCTCCCTCACACAGAAGGGCCCCTGTGGTTACATTGGCCCACCCAAACAAGCCAGGATATCCCCCTATTTTATGGTCATCTGATTAGCAACCTTAATTCCCTTCTGCCACGTGAGATCATGTATTCACCATGCCCCAGGATTAGGACACGGACAGCTTTGGTGGGGATTATTCAGCCCTCCACAGCTTGCTTGGCCCCTGAGACTTGATTGTTCTGGAGAGGAGAGGGGTACTCGGTGAGGGGGAGCCCTGAAAGGGGCAGGTACCCCTAGGTGTGTGGGTTCAGTGGATGTAGGCAGGAAGAGCAATACATGAGTCAGCCACCCTTGTGGGCTTCTACTGGGGGAGCCGCCAAAACCTGTCTCACATGGTCAACGTCCTGTGGAGAAAAATATGGCCGGGGAGGTTGTAGAGTGTAGGGTGGTGGAAGGCTGCGGCCTAATCGGGTTTCAGTGAGAGAGGTGACATTTGAGCCAAGCCTGGAAGGAGAAAAGGAGCCACGCTGCAGGCTGGGAAAAGAGTAAAGTCCAAAGACCCAGCAGGCCTGCAGGGCCCTTCGTGAGCTGGTCCTGGCTACCCTTTGAGTTTTATTTCTTGCTTCTCCCTCCGAGCTTCCTCTCGGTTGAGTGGCTTGCAGTTCCCCGACATGAGCCAGGCTACCTCTGGCCTTGGTGCCACTGTTGATGCTATTTTTTTTTCCTGCTTGTATTTAGTCTGTTCTCACGCTGCTAGCAAAGACATACCTGAGAGACTGGGTAATTTATAAAGGAAAGAGATTTAATTGACTCACAGTTCATCGTGGCTGGGGAGGCCTCAGGAAACTTAGAATCATGGCAGAAGGGGAAGCAAACGTGTCCTTCTTCACCTGGCAGAATCAAGAAGTGCTGAGCAAAAGGGGGAAAGCCCCTTGTAAAATAACAGATCTTGGGAGAACTCACTATTGTCAGAACAGCATGAGGGTGACCGCTCCCATGATTCAATTACCTCCCATTGGGTCCCTCCCACGACACATGGGGATTATAGGAACTACAATTCAAGATGAGATTTGGGTGGCAACATTGCCAAACCATATCACTGCCTGAGATGGTTTTCTTTCCTTTTACCCCTTCTCCTGACCAAATCCTACATTACTTCCAGGTCTCTGCTTATTCCTCACCTCGTCCAGACTTCAGCCCAACTCCAAATCTAGGTTAGGGCTCTCTTCCTGGGCTTTCTTTGAACCCACTAGTATCATCACACTGAGTTTCTAGTTTCCTCTTCTCAGCCTTTAAGCTTCCAGCAGCCAGAGATTGTTGCATTCACTACTGTGTCCCTAGCATCTAGCCTGGGGCCTAGATGGTGGCAGATGTTCAATGAATATCTGAGGTGAATGAACACTCTCTACTATTTATTCAGCCCCTGTACTGAAAAGTATAGCCATTGTGAACACAAGTCATGGGATCAAACTGCTTCTGGTTGAATTCTGACTCTACCACTGACTTGCTGTGTTACTTTAGGTAAGTTGCTTTGCTGATCTGTGCCACTGTTTCTATAAAGAGGAGACAATAGTAGTACCTTTCCCACAGGACTGGTATGAGGATCAAGCTAGCTAACCCCAGGAATATGCTTAGGAGAGAACCCAACACAGGGTATGTGACCCCAAAACCTGTTCTAATGGTATCACCTTGTACTGGTCTTTAATATTTTTTGTGTGTGCTTTTACCTGCTCAACTTTTAGCCACCAATTACCCTGAAACAAAACAAAACAGGGCATGAAGTCAAGGTCCAAAATACTTTGATCATCAGAAGAGGAGCCCTGTTGAGGGATTCCATGGTTCTCTGTGCTGGGCCATTTTCTATTTCCTGACCAGTTTTCCTGATACGACACTTGGAGACGCCGTCACCCCACATATTCTTCTTGGCTTTAGCTAGGAACTACATCTAGCCACTATACCTTTAAAACAACAAGAGCCCCTGCCTATATGTGTGTGTGGCTCCTGACCCAAAGCCCACCCGAAAATGTGATGGCCACTCCCTCTCTGGTCTGTCTTCTCCATCAGATCTAGTCAGTGCAGTGCTCAGCACCCAGGCCACTTTAAGGAACACACAAAAATGTCCTAATTTCTTTTTAAAAGCTGAGGAAAGATGACATCTTAGGTTGAATAAAATGTTTTAGTAAAGAATATCAACATATTCGTCTTTATACCAATGCAGTCATACAGTATATGTTACAATACTTTTTATGGAGGAAGGTGTTCACCAAAGCAAAAGTGCCCAGGGCCCACAAGAGTGAAAACACAGCCCCGTTCCCTCTGTTTCTCTCTTAACCCTTACCCAGAACTAGAAGAAGGAGGGCTGAGAAGTTTCTAATTTGTTATGACTCCAACAGGATGCAAATATGCCTTGGGAAGAAGGGTTTCTTCTGGATGAAGTTCCAGTCTCACTCTATGTGTCACACCCAATCCCGTGCCCCTCCACATCCACCGTCAGTCCTGCGTGGTCTCCCAGACCCCTTGTTGGCTACTTGTGTACCTGTGCACGCATTGACATATGCATCCCAGGCCCTCTTGCAGGTTCGTTTACATATATGCCCACGTGTTGACATATGCATCCTGTCCTTTCTTGCAGGTTCACTTACATACATGCCAACATGTTGACATAGGCATCCTGTCCCTTCCTGCAGGTTCATTAACATACATGTCCATGTGTTGACATATGCACCCCATCTTCCATATGCATCCAACATCCCTTCCCCCAAGTTTTCAAGTTCTAACATGTTAATTCCTGTTGTCTTGCCCTTTCTTCCTTCAATCCTTTCCTACTGTCAGTGGGCCAAGAGTGAAGAAGACCTGGGCTCCAGTGCTTGAGCTAAACATGTGGCATTCTCTGTACAACTCTTTCCTTCTGGGTGGTCTTGTGATCTGGGGAAAGATACTTTCCCCAGAACTTGATGGCCTCGATTTTTTTCAGTTGTAAAATGGGGATTTCTTGGGTGACCACTGTTCCCTGCTGGGGACTGGATCACTCATCTACTCTTTGGAATTCCCATCCCCTGTCCCACATGTCTGATTCTAAGAGGGTCACCCCACCTGCTGGCCATGAGTGATTGGTCAGAGGTGAGCATGTGACCAAAGGTGGGTCAATTACAGCTCCTCCTCTGTGGCATTTTGAACTAGAACTAAGGGAAGAGAAACAGTCCTTTGCCAAATGTGTAGCTTTGAGCCAATGAATTCATGTGACAAATGTTTACTGAGCACCTACTGTGTGCTTGGCATCGTTCTAGATGGTGGGGATATAGCCAGCTAAGGTCATGTTTCCTGCCATATGGAAGACATCAGTCTGAGAAAATAAAGCCATCAGTTACAGCAAAGCAGAAATAAGAGAGAGAAGACTCCTGGCAGTATGTGTGTTCCCAGTTCAGGTTGTCCAGGAGGCCCTTCCAGACATATGAGATAGTCCAGCTTCTATCCACTAATTCTCTGTTTTGCCTGAGCCAGTCGTACCTGGATTTCTGTCACTTTCCAAAGACCTGACTACTGCAAAGGTAACACATTCTGACTGGCTCATGTCCTGAGGTTCTTGGAGCTGTTATTATTTTATCATTCCCTAAAGGGTTTCTCAAGTTAAGTTCAGACTCACACCCGCCCTCTTTCCCTGAAGGTGGAGTCACTCATTCATTCATTTGTGCACTCTTGTGGCCATGCACTCCTCAAAAAACACAGCCCCCACCTCTAGGAGTTCCCATTATCCTTTTGGAGGACTTGGATAAGGAGATAAGCAGGCATTGAAATCTCAGCCCTCATACATCTCAGCAGTATCTGATACCTTTGATCACTTACCTCATCTTCAGACACCACTTTTCACTTGTCTTTCAGGAAACCATACCCTCCTGGTTTCTCTCTGCCTGCCTGGCCGTGCCCTCTTCCCTTCCAGAGCTCTCACTATGGGAGGGCCCAGAGATCCTATCTCAGACCTCCTTTCTAGTATCTCCTGGGGGAATCTCATGCCATTCCCACCACCTTAAAACCCATCTTTGCACAGATGTTTTACAAATTCATATTTCTAGCCCCGACATCTTCCAGAACTTCAGGTTCACATATTCAGTGCCCACTGGTGTCTCTAGTTTCTGAGTGTGTTGGGTGTGTCCTCGCTATACCTCTTCATCACTCCCCACCCTTCCCCGCTTGTTTTCTGCCCTTGAGTCTGGCCTGTGTGGATTCCATTAGTAGGCTCCTGGCCCTCTGGCTTCAGGCAATGTGGAACCCTAGAAGGAGATAGGAAGGAAGCAGGGAGGAGGGGGCATGTGTTTACTCCATAAGAGCTAATCTGGGCTTGGCTGTGTGCTTGAACAGAACATGTGACATTCCCTGCACAACTCTTCCTTTCTGGGTTCCTCTCATTCCTTTGGGCCTAAGTGTGGTAACAGCAACTTCCCTGTCACTAGTCCCTGGTTCACCACTATCCCTTATGAGTCCCTTGTATTTCACTCACATGCATATAAAAGATGTTTGTGAACAAATCCTCCTTGAATGATATGAATGGAAGGTGCTGTCTGTTTTCTATTGGGATCTATACTGAATTAGTAACTTGTACTGGAGATGGCCCTAGGAAACAAGATCTGGATATTCTGGGGTTGGGTTGATAAATTATTCAAGAAAGACAGGGATGGCCTCTTTGTCAGAGGGAAACAGAACATGGATTTTTTTCATCACAGGTGGTGGCATCACAAATCCTCAAATGATCACTGGTAGGGACAGGGACAATAGGTGGGTAGAGGATAAAGCACCGACCGAGGCTTCAGATGGTTGTGGTACTTAGTTCCTATGGCAAGCAAAAGGAATGTAAAGATTTTGGGGTCATCTGGATCATTCTTGTGGCTCTAGAGAGTACGCATAAGGAAAAACATTTTTTGAAATAGGGTCTCACTCTGTCACCCAGGCTGAGTGCAATGGCGTGATCTTGGCTCACTGCAGCGTCTCGACCTCCCAGGTCAAGCAATCCTCCCACCCTCAACCTCCTGAGTAGCTGGGAGCACATGCGCATGCCATCATACCCAGCTAATTTTTTGTATATTTTGTAGAGATGGGGTTTCACTATGTTTCCCAGGCTGGTCTCAAACTCCTGAGCTCAAGCCATCTACCCACCTCGGCCTCCCAAAGTGCTGGGATTACAGATGTGAGACACCTTGACCAACTGAGAATTTTTAAAACTACAAATATACAATTAAGAGCATACATGAAGATTAAGAAGACCTCTAGGATGGCCTGGAAGGAGTTCCTCGTCTCCTGTGGTCCAACGGCAGATATGGCTGAACTGAAAAGGGCTGCAAGTTTGCAGAGGCAAAGCTCCTGCCCCAAGGTAAGGGTGCCAGTGGGGGAAAGCACAGGGCCCTGAGACATGAGGGAGGCAAGTAAATTTGAGTCCCTAATTTCCCCCGACCCCATCCCCTAATGTCTTTGAGCCTTAGTTGCTTTATCTGAAAATAGTATCCGTCTGGTAGGATTGTTGTGAGATTAAATGAGGTAGTGTTGTTAAAATACATCTTGTAGACAATCAATATGTGACAGCATGAAAAAAAATCTGTCATCTCTCTATTGTAGGATCTAAGAGCTCTGTGAACCCAAAGGCCAAGCTGGCCCTACACCAAGAGGCATGCGATCGGGTGTTGGGTAACTTGCACTTTGAGGAGGAGAAGTTAAGTTCTGGTGGTCTAGAGCTTCTGGCTGGAGGTCCTTCCTGCTTGGTGGAGATCACTTAGTCCCAGTGGTAGGGACCCCATTGGTATAAAGTGGATCCAATCTGCTGGATTCATACCCTGGCTCTGCCCCAACTGGCCAGGGCTCGTTACTAAACCTTTTTATTTATGTATTTATTTACTTATCTGTTTTGTTTAAATTACTTTTTGAGACAGAGTCTCAGTCTGTTGCCCAGGCTGGAGTGCAGTGGTGCAGTCTTGGCTCACTGCAACCTCTGCCTCGCGGGTTCAAGCGATTCTCATGCCTCAGCCTCCCAAGTAGCTGGGATTGCAGGTGCGTGCTACCACACCTGGCTAATTTTTGCTTTTTTTTTTTTTTTTTTTTTTTTTGAGACGCAGTCTCACTCTGTCGCCCAGGCTGGAGTGCAGTGGTGCGATCTCGGCTCACTGCAAGCTTCGCCTCCCGGGTTCACGCCATTCTCCTGCCTCAGCCTCCCGAGTAGCTGGGACTACAGGCGCCTGCCACCACGCCTGGCTAATTTTTCATATTTTTAGTAGAGACGGGGTTTCACTGTGTTAGCCAGGATGGTCTTGATCTCCTGACCTTTTGATCCGCCCACCTCAGCCTCCCAAGTGCTGGGATTACAGGTGTGAGCCACCGCACCCAGCCTAATTTTTGTATTTTTAATAGAGATGGCGATTCACCATGTTGGCCAAACTGGTCTTGAACTCTTGACCTCAGGTGAGCCACCCACCTTGGCCTCCCAAAGTGTTGGAATTACAGGCATGAACCACCATGCCAGGCCCAAAACCTTTTTAATCTTCAGTTTTCTTTCCTGGACAGTGGAGACAATCACAGCACCTCTCAAAGGATTAAGAAAGATGCTCCAGGTCAACTGTTGAGCACAATACTAATACTACCCTTAGTAAGACTTCATTGAACTTGTCAGCTATGTTATAATCTCAGAGATATAGAAAGAAACATGAAACTAAGAAGTGACTCAGGTTGGTGAAGAGATAGGCAATGAATGGTGAGTGAAAGCCATAGAGTCTTGGGGGTCCTATGCCCCACTTGGGTGGGTCCCATTACCCTCCTCCATCCACGTGAGAATAGGCCCTCCCTTTGTCAGGCAGAGCTGCTAACTGTAGAGAGAAGTTGACCACTAGACAAGATTGGGTAAGTTTCCACAGCAGGACCTTTCCATTTTATTGTCTGTAAACTCTTCTTTGGTAAACAAGAAACCCAAAGAGAAAAGGAGCACGCCGAGTAAAGAAGGCAAGGAAAGGGCGGGTGCCTTCCACACACAGGAGTTCTGAGAGGACAGCTACACCATTGGCAAGGTGGTGGATGGAACCTGGAAGTTTGGGGTGGGTGGTGGCATGGGGGACCGGCAGAGGGGAGCGAGAGGGAAGAGTCCACTCTGTTGGACATAGAAGCCTAAATCATACAGCGAGGGAGCTCATGCATCACAGCGAAGAGAATTAGGGACCCTCCACCCATGCCCCCATCACCTTCCATGTGTGTGATCCACTGAGCAAAGACTGCCTGGGCAGGGGTGGGTGCAGGGGGCTCAGGACAGCCCCCCAGCTGCCCATCCTCTATCTCTCATTTCCTGCTCTGCAGGCAGGTGTGTGCAGGCTGTAGGGGTGGGGGCGGGGCGCTCACGGTCTCTGAGTCTGGGTAGACGCATCAGGGCAGCAGAAGCAGGGTTTGGGGGAGGTGGAGAAGCAGCCCCCGTCCCCACTTTACATGGGGGGCTCGCTGCAGAGCACAATCTCCAGGTCCTTGCGGTAGAGCTTCCCTGCCTCTGCCAAGGACATGACGCTCTTTCTGTAGTTGGTGAGCTGTTGAATATTCATTTCCTAGGAAATACAGGGAGAGGGTAAGAGCAGGTTCAGGGGATGGTCCCGACGCAAGGAGCCCACGTCCACATTCACAAACACAAACACCCACACCTTTCTCTCATCTCATCCCAGGATAAGTGGCTTAGATGAATGCAAAGCATGGATTTTGGAGTCAGACAGATGGAGGTTAAAGCCTCTCTTTCACTTACTGGCTGCATTGCTTTGGGGAAGGTAGTCAACCTTCCTGAGACTCAGCTGCCTCACCTGTAAAATGGGTACACTAAAAGTTCATGCCTCATGGAGGTGTTGCGATGATTACGTGAGGGAATGAATATAAGCCACATCAGCAAGCACTTGAAAAATAAAAGGTAGCTATTGTGACAGTCATGATCTATGTATGACTTGTATATATTTCCTCGACCTCACTGGGCCTCGGTTAACTCAAGGCCAAACTGGCTCACTGCAGGTGATGAAGAGAATGCCAGGAAAGCTCCCTGGTCTTGCCTTCTAGCCTCCTGGACCACTCTTTCCTAAGTCTCATCTATTTAAGCAAGGAATTTTTTTTATTTTTTTTATTTTGAGGCGGAGTCTTGCTCTGTGGCCTAGACGGGAGTGAAGTGACACGATCTCGGCTCACTGCAACCTCTGCCTCCCGGGTTCAAGCGATTCTCCTGCCTCAGCCTCCTAAGTAGCTGGGATTACAGGTGTGAGTCACCGCACCTGGCCCCTATTTAAGCAAGGAAGTCTGCTTTTTTTTTTTTTTTTTTTTGAGATGGAGTCTTGCTCTGTGGCCCAGGCTGGAGGGAAGTGACGTGATCTTGGCTCACTGCAACCTCTGCCTCCCGGGTTCAAGCTATTCTCATGCCTTAGCCTCCCGAATAGCTGGGCTGGGATTACAGGCACCTGTCACTATGCCCAGCTAATGTTTGCACTTTTTTTTTTTTTTTAGTAGAGACGGGGGTTTCACCATGTTGGCCAGGCTGGTTTCGAACTCCTGACCTCAGGTGATCTGCCCGCCTCCACCTCCCAAAGTGCTGTGATTACAGGTGTGAACCACTGCACCCAGCCCCTATTTAAGCAAGGAATTCTAAATCCCAGCTTCTCCAGCAATAAAGCTCGCCAGCCTACTTCTTGTTCACTGGCTTCTTGTGTTCAGGGGCCACTGAGACAGGTGAGCCATGAACATATGCCCATTGTCTCATATAAATGGAGACCCATATTAAATACCAACACCTGATATGCCTGATGTTAAATACATGCTTTACAATGATTGCTTCGGATACAAATAACCAATGGGTCTGAAATATAGCAAGGTCATCATCAACACTGGAAAATGACTTAAACAACCTTTTCTTTCTTTCCTTCTCCCCCACTCTATCCCTCTTTTTTCTTTTTTCTTTTTCTTTTTCTTTTTCTTTTTTTTTTTTTTTTTGAGATAAGGTCTTGCTCTTGTCACCCAGGCTGGAATGCAATGGCGTGATCACAGCTCACTGCACCCTTGACCTCCTGGGCTCAAGCGATCCTTTTGCCTCAGCCTCCCAAGTAGCTACGACTATAGGTGGGCGCCACTACATCCAGTTCTTCTTTTATTCTTTTGTATTGAAAATGTTAGCAGATACTTAAAATTTTTTTCCCTCCTAGGCTGATGGGTCATTATCTCCATTCTGCTAATAAGAAAACTGAGGTACAGTCATGCTCATGAATATCTGTAATCTAATCATGAATATCTGTAATCCAAGCATGAGCCCTGAAGTCTAATGATTTCACTGGTGCACTATTCTGTCACCTCTTTCTCAGGGCTCAAGGGCCAGTCTTTTTTTCCCATTGTGCCGGGGCTTCTCTTTTTATGCCATTAATTTCTGGTTTGGTGCCATGAAAACCCAAGGGCACTTTGCAAGCATGTCTAGCTTTGAGAGGCACCTTCCCTAAGTTGTGATGTTCTTGGAAATGTCACATAACACTGGCGTGCACCTGAGATATCTGCCACTTAATCAGAAGCCAAGGAAGGGACCTCATCTATCAACCCCAAGCTTGGGACAACTTCCGCAGTGAACTGTGGCAGCGAGAGACTTAGCAGCATGGGGGAGGGGCTGCTTACTTCCTATAAGTTTCACTTAAAACTGGGGAAGGCTCTAGTGAGTTGCCATGGCCTTGGGAGTGCTAAGAAATACTGAAGTTCAATCCCATCAGCCTGTCCCCTCGAGGAGCCTCAAACATTAATCTGCTCAGAAACCTTATCACACTCCATGCAGGCACCATCCAAATGGAATGCGTGCATCTATGTGGGTTTACAAAAAAAAAAAAAGGCCCTTCCGTTCCAGCACAGGTGCTGTGATTTAGAGTCACGCGGCTCTCTCTTTCTACTCATTCACTCTCTCAATCCTCAGGCGCCAAATCTGAAACTTGGTCCAGGTGGAAGGCTCTCAGGTAAACAGCTTTGTTAATATTCTTGCTCTCTGACCTTCAGAGTGGCTTCTGAATCCCAACAGCAGAATCTTTACTTTTGTTTCCATACTTGGAGTCAAGCTGTGCAGCACCACAAGCTGTCCTTTGTGTGAACCAAGGAAGAGCTTAGTGAGTTGATGACCAGGAAATTCAGGTCACTCTGAGATTTAATGCATGTCTTCAGGGTTTATCCACCTCAGGTATAAGACAGAGTCTCATGAAGACAAACTATGCCTCATTCATACAATTACACATAAAGGTATTTTCCACTATGGTGCCCAACATTCCTTGGATACATACGGGCACATACATAATTTTCTCCTAGAATTTAGTGCCAAGAAAAAAGTTCAAACACCTGGTGAGTACTTCCTTCTTCCCAGGAAGTATTTGCTTCCTTATCATTTATTTTCTGCCTCTTTCAAGAGTAATTGTAGGTAACATTTAAATAAAAAAGATGAAATAAATGAAGGATGATATTTAAGATAAAGAGATCAGAAAGCACTTGGAAAGGGAGATGAATAGAGACTGCAGATAATTTTTTCCTGAAATTGAGCATTAAATTTAGCTCTTGCTTGTCAGCCAAGGCGGTGAGACAACTCAAGGAATTGTAGAGCTTTCATTGTCTAATTAAAGAAAGCAGCAAAACCAGTTGCTCAGAGAAAGACATTTTCCAGGCGGTGAACGAAGACAGCTGCAAAGGTTTGGCTCCTGGCTGCCGTTCCACCTGACTCCTCCACCCAGTGCACCAAACTGAGCCCATGGGAGGGTCTCCCAGGGTATTCCCAGGAGGCAACATCAGGCAAAATAATGGAGTTCACTTCTTTGCCTTTTCTTTGAGAGGAACAAACTCTTCAGTGGCTCCTTTTAACCCCTCCCCCAGCTCCCGATTCTGCAGTTCATCAATCCAGAATAGCCCTTCACCTCTCACTGGCCTCTGTCCTCCAGAATCTCTCTTTGTGTGGAAAGTGTTTTTTTGGTTGGCAATTTGGCTAACACTTTCACACGTCAACACTGTCATGGCCTCACAGCAGCATCCCCCACAACAGCCAGCAGATGGGTGCAACCCAAGCGTCCACAGAAGAGAATGGGTAAACAAAATGTGGTATATTTATACGATGCAGCATTATTCAGCTTTAAAAAGGAAGGGAATTCTGACACATGCCACAACATGGATAAGCTTGCAAGGACATTATGCAAAGTGAAATAAGCCAGGCACAGAAAGATTATACTATTTTCTTTACATGAGGTACCTAGAGCAGTCAAATTTACAGAGGCAGAAAGTAGAGTGGTTGGCAGGAGATGGGGGACAGGGGAATGGAGAGTTATTTTTTAATGGGTACAGGTTTTGGCGCTGCAGGATGAGAAGGTGGCCACGCATGTGCAATATTATGAATATGTTCAATGCCACTGGACTGTACACTAAAAATGTGAAGATGGTAAGCTTTCTGTCCTGTGTTTTTTGCCACAATTAAATTTTAAAAAGAAACATCAATTAATCAACCAACCAACCAGAAATCAAAAAACCAAAAGCAAACCCACAAAATGTCTATTGCCTTGCTGTGGCAGATCAGAGGGGAGTAGAGAGCAGGACCAGGCACCTTTCCCCTCCTCTCCTGCAGAAGCCTCTCCTGTGCCCTGGGGACAGTGGCCGGGCCTCAGGCTTGGCTGCTCACCTTTTTGTTTTTCTCGTACAGATCCTTCAAAAGGGCATCCAGCTCATGCTCGTCAATGTAGCCGCTTCTATCCTGGGGATGGGAGCAGAGTCAACCCAGAGCTCTAAAGCCTGGGCCCCTGCTGTCCCGACCCATTCCAGGGATGTCTAAGAGTCTAGCCTCTCCATTACTCTGTGCAAAAGGGGGTGTTCAGATCGTGTAATGACAAAATAATGTGTCCCTTCTGCCTTAACCAGTCATGGCAGGAAGGTGGCAGTGGGTGCAAGCTTTGGGTAGCCTTTCATTGTGGTGCTTTTCATGTGCGTTGAAAATTTAAGTGAGATTCAAGAAGCATTTGGTTAACTCCCTGAGTCCGGGGGCTATTTAAAGTTTACCTCCAACACTGGTTATGAAGAAAACCACCGGAGTCATGTGGGCAGGGGACAGCCCAGGGAGGGGTGGGTATGGAGATCATCTAACTTCCAACTTCCCAGAGAAAGACTTGGCCCTGGGCAGAATTGTGATCTGGCACCAGGGCAGTTCTGAGTGTCTCTTCCCTTTGGCTCCCGACAGCGTGGTCACACCCTAGTTCTAAGCATAGTCCTCCCCCAACGATTCTCGGCTGCACTCTGCAGAAACCAACCCCTTGGGCTCCATAGGCCACCGGTGGAGAATGACATTTGCCTTCTCATACAGCAGAAGATGCGGCAGGAAGAAACCACACGGCCCAGGCCACCCCTGGAAAGCTGTCTCTTCCCAGGGATGAAGCTGAGCCCTTCTGGACGGGCTGATGGGCTTCTGATTTTCCCTGCCATGCCAACTCCCTCTCTTACCTTGTCGTAAAATGTGAAGATCGCGTTAAACTCCTCTGAGGTCAGCTTCATGCCCTGCAAGAACCAGGGTATTAAAGACAGAAGCAGAAGCGCAGTGGTGTGTGTGTGGGTGTGCGTTTGTGTGTGTGTGTTTATGTGTGTGGTGTGTGCATGTGTGATGTGTGTGTTGTGTGTGTGGTGTGTGGTCTGTGTGGTGTGTGTGATGTCTCTGTGTATGTGGGGTGTGTGCGTGTGATATGTAGTGTGTGTGGTCTGCGTGTGTTGTGTATGTGGTGTGTGTGGTCTGTGTGTGTTTTGTGTGTGTGATCTGTGTGTGTTGTGTGTGTGGTGTGTTTTGTGTGTGTGTGGTGTGTGTGGGTGTGTGTAGTGTGTTGTGTGTGGTGCGTTGGGGGAAGGAGGGTGCAGGGCCAGGCTCAGAGGGATGAGGGAAGGGGGAAGGAAGGAAAGCAAAGTTTTACCTGAAATTTAAGCAGGAAGTTTTCCTGGACAGGCAGGAGTCTGGGGAGAAAATGTTAGAGCAGAGATGAGGAGACTGCACAGGCAAGGGCAAGCGGGAGAGGGGAAGGCAGAGGCGGTGCCTGCAGTTACAGAAATGATTTCTGAGCACTTCACACATAATGAATCAGTGGGAAGTTCAAAAACGAGGGAGACAGACAAGGTGAGGTGTTGACGGTCACAATTCTATCTTGCTTTGTCTTGAGCTTCTTGACACCCGCACCTGTCACTTTCCCACCAATGGATCTCAGAGACGGATAACACAGGAATGACCTGTGGGAGCCAGTATCAGTGACCCCGGGGGTGAGGTGCTTACCGGGACATCTCTGAGAGGCCCAATTTGCCATCCCCGTTCAAGTCAAACATCCGTAGCTGTTGGGGACAGAAAGGTGCCTGGGTTATTTGCTGTGAATTTCTCTGACCTGACATCCCCTTTTACTGGAGAGGATGGGAAGGAGGACGGGTGACACGTGCTCATGCTTCCTCTGAGGTCCGTAGGGGCCAAGAACCAACATGGGCTAAATCAGTCACGGGGGTCCCCTGGGTGGACCACAGGGACTCGTTCACTGCTCCTCTCTCCCCTCCTCAGGGACAGGGGCAGCTGAGGCACAGCAGGCCGGCACTAAAGGCCCACTCTCTCCAAGATCATCCTCTCCTAGAGCTGCAGAGGTTGCCATGGAGACAGACAATCACATTGGCCCACGAGTCAGCTCACACCCAGGACCTCAAAGGGTATGTGAAGCCACGAAGTAGCATCCCTTTTTGCCAGCTGCCACTGTGAATCACTTCCCTTGGGCCTGAAGAATCAGCAAACAAGGGACCCTGCACACCAGAGCCCAAGTGGCTTGGGGCACAAGTCCTGCACCCTGGGGGAGAGGGACACTTCTGTTCACTCACTATGGTTTGGGTGTATTCCTGGAGCTTGGGCTCATCGTACGGCCGGTTCGCCTTCTTCAGCAGGTCTGACAGGAATCCCTGCAACACAAAAGGCCTCTTTAGTACTCCTGACTCGTGCATTCGGTCCCTCATTCATTTCCTTACTTGCTCATTCAGACAGTCTCTCAATGTGTGTGTGTGTGTTTTTCAGGTCTACCAGTTCTATGACTCAGGGCCCTCATAATTCCTAACTCTTGGGGAGTGACTTTT
Organism: Homo sapiens; assembly: GCF_000001405.40. Lineage (NCBI taxonomy): Eukaryota > Metazoa > Chordata > Mammalia > Primates > Hominidae > Homo > Homo sapiens. Next base: position 71,383,195 of record NC_000016.10, on the reverse strand, counting down.
AAGGCTGTACTAGCTGGTGGTGCAACCCTGCCTCACAGAATAGGCGCTAGAGATTGGCTCTGCCTCCTGGGAGACCAGTATACGGAGCTAAGCAGTGCCTGGGGAATCACTGGGTGATAGCCAGAGGAATTTGGAGGTGGACCTAGGAGCCAGAGGCCAATCTTCTGGAATTGCCTGGAGGACTCCTGTCCCGAGCATGGAGGTGCAGAAGAGCTGGGTTTCGTTGAAATCTACAGCCTGGCAGCTCTATGTTACTGATTTCCCCTGACTTCTCTAAACAAGTCCAACAATTCAGTGCCAGGTCTGAGTATTCCTAAGCAGCCCGCAAACTCATGCCCCTCATCCAACATCTCCTCCCTCCTCAGGCACCTTAAGCCCACCGCCACTCTGGCCTCACACCCTCCCCAAGGCCCATCCTACCTTGAGCTCATTGGCTTCGATGTAGCCACTCCTGTCTGTGTCGTACTTCCGCCAAGCCTGCAACAACAGGAATGTCAACCTCTTTGCAAAGACGTATCAAAATCTACCCACCTCCCTTCCATTCCCCTTTAATGGGCCACCCAGGGTCTTGATCTTCAAGAATATCGGAATGGGATGGAGACATGGAGATGATGTAGCCCAGACCCTTCAAGGTCACAGAGAAGGAAATGAAGGGAAGTATCTCGACAGTGATCTCATGAGCGCCTGGGCCAGAACCACGCAGCTAAGCTGTTTCCAAATTCTTGACCATCGAAAGTGGGATGTAATCAATGTTTGTTGCTTCAGGCTGCTAAGTTTTAGGGGCAGTTTATTATACAGCAATAAGTAACTCATCCAATGGTCCTGTATACAACTGCTCTGACTTCCCTGCCTTTTACCACATCATCTGGTGGAGAAGAGAGAAAGCCACAGGAGGGGCAGTGGTGCAGGGGAGGGGACTGCCCACATCTGGGGCAAAGATGCCCGGAGAACCATGTTCCGCTATATCTTTGGTCTATTTGGCGCCACATATTTCTAATTTTTTTTTCTTTTTTCTTTCGTTCCTTCCTTCCTTTATTTTCTTTCCTTCCTTCCTTCTTTCCTTCCTTCCTTTTTCTTCCTTTCTTCCCTTCCTTCCTTCCTTTCTCTTTCTTTCTTCCTCCCCCTCCCCCTCCCCCTCTCCTCCTCCTCCTACTCCTCCTCCTCCTCCTCCTCCTCCTCTTTTGAGACAGGGTCTCACTCTGTCACCCAGGCTGTGGTGCAGTGGCGTCCAAAGCTTACTGTAGCCTCTACCTCCCAAGCTCAAGTGATCCTCCCAGCTTAACCTCCCAAGTGCCTCGGACTACAGGCGTGCACCACCACACGCAACTAATTTTTTATTTTTTTGTAGAGATGGGGTCTCACTATGTTGCCCAGACTGATCTCCAAACTCCTGAGTTCAAGTGATCCTCCTACCTCAGCCTCCCATAGTGCTGGGATTACAGGCATGAGCCACCATGCCTGGCTCCTAGATTTTCTTTCAAGTTTTGTTCTCCTGACTTTTCTTCGCTTCTCCCCCAGCTCCAAACTACACACCTGAAGACCAGCAACACTTGATTTTCTGGGAGCCAGCAACCACTAATCCTTTTCCTACATCTTATCCCCTGCCTCCCCCCACTTCTCCACTGCATGTGCCCCTTTATTGTCAGGAGTGTTAGAGTTTATGGACATTTAGAGTTTAGTTATATTTTACGGAAAATGTCTCTTTTTAAACACCAGCAAACAATGTTATGTAATTTTCATGGTGACAGGGCTCAGAAATTTTGGTCCTGATTTTTTTTTTTTTTTTGTCACAAGACAGGAGCAAATCCCAAGAAAAGGGTAGATTTGTACTATATGCAACTTAGGTCGATGGTATTTGATTACAAGAGTGTCTTTTCTCTGCAGAAAAATGCCTTAGACTCTTTGAAATACTCCTTCCCATAGCCAGAAAGTCTGCCCTTGAAAAGGCACTAAAATATATGTGAGGATTTCCAAATATGACTTCACCAACAACTCGCAGGCACTTAGTGCATTACAGTTTAGTTTGTCTAAGTTGAGTCTTTACTGAGAAGAGGAAGACACCCCCTCCAAGTTGCCTAAAAGGGCAATAACCTGAAGGAACCCCAGTCCCTGCACAGAGCAAAGCACCAGCGGCTGCTTTCCCAAGCCATCTTGCCAGCGGGTCCACTTCCGACCATGCACCCCGCCAGGATGCCAGCTCTGGGCTCCCCCACGTGCCTCCTCTCCCCATCCAGCACTTGTGCTCATCATCATCAGTGCATCCTTTCTCTTCTCATTCAAGGAAAAGAGTTCAAGAGACCTGGGCTTTGTGAAATCTCAAAGAAATCCTGAGGCATCACTAAAATTAGGAGTTGTTGTGCTGAGTGCTGGGATGGGAGCTACCTGAGAGCACAAGCCTTTCAGGGCTACTGAGGGACCATTTCAGGCTTCTGGCTGGTAAAAATGGAACAAATGGAACAGACCCCAGGAGGGGACAGTGGGACAGTACTGTGGGAGGGTGGGGTCCCAGAAACCGTGGCGGGCATGTCTCCTCTGCAGTTATGCTGGGACTTAGAAGGACAAATACATGTAAGAATATGAAATCCTGAGGCTGGGCATGGTGGCTCATGCCTGTAATCCCAGCACTTTGGGAGGCCAAGGTGGGCAGACCACCTGAGGTCGGGAGTTTGAGACCAGCCTGACCAGCATGGAGAAACCCCGTCTCTATTAAAAATACAAAATTCACCGGAAGTGGTGGTGCCTGCCTGTAATCCGAGCTCGGCGGGAGGCTGAGGCAGGAGAATCGCTTGAACCCGGGAGGCGGAGGTTGTAGTGAGCTGAGATCGCACCATTGCACTCCAGGCTGGGCAACGAGCGAAACTCCGTCTCAAAAAAAAAAAAAAAAAAAAAAAAAAAAAAAAAAAGAAAAGGAAGGAAAGAAGAAAGAAAGAAAAGAAAGAAATCCTGTCAGCTGCACAGAGAGAAGCCACTAATGATTTTGAGAAAGAGAAAAGGGTCCGGGGAGATGCTTTTAGCTCCTCTGTAAGCATCCCTGCCCCCCCTACAAGGTGCCACCATCCCTGTTTCCAGACCAGAGGTGGAATAGAGGCCAATTTTTGGCTGTCTCTCTATCAGGAAAGGAGTCAGGCATGATGCTCCCTTTTCTATAGTTGGAAAACTTGATACAAAAGCAACACCCTGACAAGTTATAAGGATACGCAGAACTTTTTTTCTCCCAGGCAGGCTAGAGAAGGACTAAGAACAGAAGCTAGAATGTCAATTATCAGCTTGTGGAATCTTGCCATCTTGAAAAAACTGGAGAAAAATCTTTTAAGGCACCATAAAATTAAATCCATCTCTGATGCTCAGGCAAGCTGTCACTTAAAAAATGACTGTTCCACCCTGAGAACTGGTTCTTTCTCACTGACTGTCTGCCCAGGAGGGGAGCTTGCTGCCACACAGGCTTCTGGGCCAGCTCTCCAGTTGTTACAGGCAGTGGATCACAGAGAGGGGATTACCGGTGGCTGGAAATGGATTTAACCCCAATGAATGGCAGAGAGTCACGTCGAAGGCCAGTTATTATTTATCAGAGCAGGCAGTTCGTGAGGTGGGTATGGGTTGAATTTCACTCTGAGGGATGCATATGCTGAATGGTTAGAGTGTGGAGTCCCAGAAAGAGAGCAAGAAATAATTGGTAGTTTGCTGGACATCAGGATTAGTAATATATTTGGTTGAACCACATAGAATTTCCACTTTTTGTAAGTAAAAAATCGTTAAATATCAGCAATTTCATATGGTTCAATTTATCAGATGAATATTACTCAAGAGACATGAATTTGAACATCATATTTTACATGAAGATCTCAAGGAAATTATATTGCCAAGAGGGGAATGCTAATTTTATTTATTTATTTATTTATTTATTTATTTATTTATTTATTTATTAGACAGAGTCTTTGTCGCCCAGGCTGGAGTGCAGTGGCACGATCTTGGCTCACTGCAACCTCTGCCTGCCTGGTTCAAGCGATTCTCCTGCCTCAGCCTCCTGAGTAGCTGGGATTACAGGCATGCACCACCATGCCCAGCTAATTTTTGCATCTGTAGTAAAGATGGGGTTTTTCCATGTTGCCCAGGCTGGCCTCAAACTCCTGATCTCAAGTGATCCACCTGCCTTGGCCTCCCAAAGTGCTGGGATTACAGGCATAGGGCACAGTGACCAGCCAGGAATGCTAATTTTAAAAAGGAAAACCGAAACCTTATCATAGTCAAAGATGAAACGTGGAAGATACCAAAAACTGGAATCCTCACTGGACTTTTGTAGCTATAGAATCGTACATAAGTCCATCCTTCTCTAGCCTGCTTCTTGGAACTCTGACTTCGAGAGACACAACATTATTATTGAGTGGCATGAGATCCTGGAGCCAAACTGAGTGGCACGGTTTTCTTTATTGCTTGATTTCTCAGAGCCTGTGATATGCAAATGACCACAACAAATCCCCACATGAGAGATGCATGTACACAGTGTTTCCCAAGCGTACTTGACCCAAGCTTACTTCTCATCTTATTCCCTACATTTTAATGTGCATACACATCATCTGGGGATCTTGTTAAAATGGAGCTTCTGAGTCACTGGATCAGGGAGTCTGTCTACCTTTTTTTTGTTTTTGTTTTTAATTTGAGATAGGGTCTTGCTCTGTGGCCCAGCCTGGAGGGCAGTGGTGTGATCTTCAGCCTCAAACTCCTGATCTTCCTGCCTTAGCCTTCCTGAGAAGCTGGGACTACAGGTGTGCACCACCATATCCCACTAAGTTTTTTATCTTTTTTTTTTTTTTTAAATTCCTGTTCACTATGGTAGCTTTTTATTTTTGTAGAGACAAGGTCTCACTATGTTGCCCAGGCTGGTCTTGAAACCCTGGCCTCAAAAGATCCTCCTGCCTTAGCCTCCTTGAGTAGGGATTACAGGCCTTTCTCCCTTTCTTTCTTTCTTTTTTTGAGACGGAGTCTCTCTCTGTCACCCAAGCTGAGAGTGCAGTGGTGCTATGTCGGCTCACTGCAACCTCTGCCTCTCGAGTTCAAGTGATTCTCCTGCCTCAGCTTCCCGAATAGCTGGGATTACAGGTGCCCGCCACCACGCCAGGCTAACTTTTTTGTATTTTGGTAGAGATGGGGTTTTGCCATGTTGGCCAGGCTGGTCTCGAACCCCTGACCTCAGGTGATCCGCCTGCCTCGGCCTCCCAAAGTGCTGGGGTTACAAGGCGTGAGCCACCACTCCTGGCCCCTTTCTGTTTTCTAACAGGCACCCAGGTGATACTGATGCTGCCGGTCCACGGACCACACTTTGAGTAGCAGAGCTCTAAGGGGTTTAGCATCTCCCAGGGACCATTACCAGGCAGGAGGGTGGGCCTGGCTCTGAACACAGGAGGAAGGCAGGTCCCAGTGCTTAGAAAGAAGGTGGTGCCTTGGCCTCACCTCCATAAACTCGGCGCTGGAGCCCACGTGCTGCCTGAAGCACAGAAGGAAGTTCTCTTCGGTTGGCAGGATCTGCGCCAGCTGTGAAGATACAGAGAGCGACACTAACGTTATGGAGGGACTTGACAGGGAGCAGAGCAGATTTTCCCCTAAGAAGGATGGAAAGGGCCAGTGGCGAGGCAGTGTGGGAATTGCGTTTTCTTCCTTCCTTCCTTGAGAACGGGTGCTGGCAGTCCTTCAAAGGGAAAGAAGGATGTTCAGAGAAGTGCTTTTGAGTCGTCCCAACCTTAAGGGATGAGCAATTGGAGGGGAAAAAGTGGTGCTGCTTTAAAATGCAAGCACCCAGACTCAAAAGAATACTTAACAGATGATTCCATGTATGTAAAATTCTGAAAAATGCAAACTAATCTAAGTAGATGGGTGGTTGCCTGGGGTAAGAGGGCCTGCACCAGGCTAGAGGAACCTTTTGGAGGGGGTAATAGAAAAGCTATATTTCCATTGGGGTGGCAATTTCATGGCCTAAAATCTAAACTCAAGGAATTTTACACTTCAAATGGATGCAGTTATTGCATGTAAATTGATACTGCAATAATTCGATTTTTGAAAAATGCAGGTACCCTCTTGCAGTAAGCACTGCTGGCTGCCCACCCAACCGCCCTTACCCCCTTTTTTGCTCCTGGAACTCTTGTGTCACAGGCCAATCCTGATGAGTCTACGTTGGTGAAGTGTGAGCCTCCCATTCTCCTTGCCAGTGATTGGCTTACAGGTAGGCACGTGACCCAGTTTTGCCCAATGCAATGTCGGGGAAGGGCTGCTGTGGGTACTTCTGGGAACATTTCCTTGCACTTAAGAGGGGTCCTTTCTGCAGCTGGACAGTGGTTGTATATGGATGTATGTAGTTGGATATGGTTGTATTTGGGTGCATGTGGTTGTATGTGGATGTTTGTGGGTGTATGTGGGTGCATGTGGTTGCATGTAGATATATGTGGTTGTATGGGGGTGTGTGTGGTTGAATGTGGATGTATGTGGTTGTATGTGGGTGCATGTGGTTGTATGTGAATGTATGTGGTTGTATGTGGGTGTATATGGCTGTATGTGGGCACATGTGGTTGCATGTGGGTGCATGTGGATGGATGTGGGTACATGTGATTGGATGTGGATGTATGTGGGTGCATGTAGATGTATGTGGGTGTGTGTGGTTGAATGTGGATGCATGTGGTTGTATGTGGATGTATGTGGGTATATGTGGATGTATGTGGATGCATGTGGGTGTATGTGGATGTGATGCCTGGCGCTGTGGCAGCCATCTTGCTAGCCGCCTGAGGATGAAGGTATTTTGAGGGCAGAGAACAGAACCAAGAGAACTGCAGGGAGGCAGAGCGGGAGCCCTGGCTTCCACCTGGAACAAACCCTAACCCTGGCCTTTCTGTTAGAAGCCTCTCATGGTAAGCTATGGCCCTCAGGCCAAGTATGGCTCAGGAGTTGTTTGTAAAGTTTTATAAGACGTGGCCACACCCACTCATTGACATACCACCCGTGGCTGCTTTTGTGCTACAGTGGCAGAGCTGAAGAGCTGTGGCAGAGACTGGATGGCCCACAAACCCTAACACACTTACCTTAATCTGTATTTTTAGAGAAAAAGCCTGTCAACCCTTGGTTTAAGCCCCTTTGAATCAGCATGGGCATCTATAGTGGCCATTCTTGGTGCCTCTCCCTGCTCCTCTATAACTAGGCTGTTGGCCATCCCTCAGCTGCTATGAAGTCAGACTGCTAACAGCTCAGCCCTGCCCCTGCACAAGAACTGCCCTCAGCCAGACCAGAGCTGCCCCGCTGGGGAAGTTCCACAGGTCCCCTCCTTGCCCAAAGAGGGGCAGCCTGCATCCACTGACTGATTGACACAGGGGTACAACAGACCAGCCCCCTTGCCTCAAAGTGGGACCCACTCTGTGGCACAGTCCACACTCCAGAGTCCCTATAAGCCTAGCCAAGGCGAGGCTCCAGTTGAGACCGCATCCTTGCACAGCACTATCCCCTGCCTTTTCCTGCTGCCCTTCTCTGGAGAGTTCTGCCTCAGTAAGCCACTTCCACTCAAATCTCTGTCTCAGGCACCCAACCTAAGGCAGCATCCCAACAATATACCCTGGGTGGAGCTGTGCCCTAATGCCTGTGCCACCATCATCATTCTTATTTATTTATTTATATGGTTTGTAAAGATGGGGTTTTGTTATATTGCCCAGGCTGGTCTCAAACTCCTGACCTCAAGGATCCTCCGCCTCAGCCTCCCAAAGTGCTGGGATTACAGACATGGGCCACGGAGTCCGGCCAGCACTCTTGAGCCCTTGACTGTGGTCACTGATTACCAGAGGTGTTTGACATGCACCTGTATATGAGTATGTGTGAGTGTATGTGTGTATGTGTATATACGTGTGCATATATGAATGTATATATGTATACATGGATACGTGTAAATTATGTTATATGCAAATTATGTATATATATGTAAATTACTGATGTGAATTATAAATGTATATATGTGTGTAAATTATGTATATAACTTTTAAAAATTATGCCTTTGGATGGCTTTAGGTGGGGCATAGAGTCTCCTGTTCACCTGTCTTCAGCCTCCCTAGTGTCTTCAGCTGGCCTTGCCACTTGGTTACAATACCTGTTGGCCCCTGTGGGCATTTAAGGTCTCCACCCCTATCTTTGGCCATTGTTTGTCACTTCCTTCTTCCTTGGGTGACACACAAGAAAAGTCCCTGCTGTTCTCTTTGGTCAGCCCAAGTGCTGGGGGTGCAGGAGCTTTGAGGCCCCCACCTCACTCCAATCCTCAGCAGGATGCTCATGCCTGGGAGAGGCACAGGGACCCAGGGCCCCTCCCACACAGCTCTTTACCAGCGAGGCAGGGCTCACCTCTGCCATCTCGATTTTCCCATCTGAGTTTTTATCATACTTCTGCATGAACTCCTTCATCTTTTCTCCAAAGTTGTCACTCTTTGACATCTGTGGAAAGACAAAGGGGGCTGATTTTTGCTGCTGTATCTCATGTGAACCATGATCTCAGAGCAGGAAGCTTGGAAATCATTTGCATCCTGGGTAAGTGGGTGCAGAACCAAGTTGTGCTGATGCTCTGATTGATCAGAGCTGTGTTGTTTTCCTTTCCAGGTTCCCTTCAAATTAAGTCATCTCTTCTTCAAGGCTCAGTCATATAAATTTCAAAGGACACGTGGCCATGCTCCATACCAGGTAATCAAACATGCCCTGCTGCCTTTGAGATGGATTAAGCTACAACTCTATAGGAAGGGTTTGGACTTGTTCCCATCACTCAGATGTGAGAATTAAGGCCTCAACATTTTACTGAAGCAGGTTGTAATCAAACTGAACTTAATCCAGTGCCCCCTAATAGGTTCTAAGCACTTCATTACAGCAAGGTAGATTGCTCATTTTCTTTAAAGACTAACTGGCAATTCCACAATATTTTCACTCTTGATTTTCATATCAGGAGGAACATGAGGAGGAGGTCATCATGTAGCCGAAGGGTAATTTAAACAGTCCACCCAATTATTCTGACTACTAGAAAGCAAAGAACTTAAAACATTCCTTCAAGCCCACAGCTGTCTATCTTAAATATAGACTTGAAGCTCTTGAACCTTCCCCTGATTTGAGATAGTGCTGATTAATTATTTGCATTAAGGAGCTCTTCCTTCTCCCTAATCAATGATGAGCCCACCTTGCACGGCTGATGTTTCTGCCTCACTCAGCTGATGACTTCCACATGAATTGTGTGCTCCCCAGGATTGGGCCAAGGGAAATCCTACCACTTCTGAGAGTTTCCTGAATCCCTCTGATTGCTTTTTACTTTTGGAATTAGTATCAATTTGTCAATATTTATTTGTTTATCAGTATTTATTTATATTTACAAAGGTACATAGTCTGATCCCAGGCACTTGTCACAAATGTGGCCATCTTATTTAAGTTGTACAGTAGCTCCTGTGAAGTTAGTAGCCCTTCCATTTGACACACTAATGGAGGCCGAGATGACTTCTCTAGAGGGCACCCAGTAAGTAAAGCCAGAATTTGAACTCATGGCTTTTGCTTCCAAGGCCAATATTCTTTCTACTATATAACAGCTGCTCTGAGAACCAGTCCTGGATGGCATCAGTTGGGATTGTTGACAGACTTGAAAATTACCCGGATGACATCTGAGGAAGGGAATGACTAAGAGAAGGATTCTAGATGCAAAGCACTTCATAAAAACACATTTCTCCGACTAGCCCATGATCCCAGAGTCAGTCCTGAAGCCCATGCTTTCTGTGATCGAGGCTTCATTATCCTAGGAATTGATGGGACAACTGTTGATAAACAAACCCATGAATCGCCTCCAACCCTTTAAGCCCATCACTTTGACCTCCTCATTGGGGCGCTCTGCCAAGCTTTGAACCAGGAGCTCACCGGTGGATTTGTGACTCATCTCCCAAATGCTCCCTGAAGAGCTGCAAATAAACAGTGGATTGGCCAACAGACACGCAGCAGGGGAGAGTAGAGACGCCTCCAGAGGACCCGAGGGAGCTGATGGGAGGGTGTGGGGCTGACTCCATGTACTCCAGAACCAGACACGGCAATCACAGCAGACTAGTTCCAATCACCTGAGCTTTGCAGTATTTCAAATACCTCCCCCAAAAGGCTTTAGCAAACTCAGTAGTGCCACGTTGGCACCAGGGAAAGCAACACTCCTGTCACTAAGGGGCTGGGATGTGATCTGGAGTCACTTTGGGCAGGCTCAGAAGGTCGTGACACCACCACAAATGAGGCCAGCCAGTGCCGTCTGGTTCAGATACTGGCTGAGAGCAATCCTCAATTTTCCTCTAGTTCCTTGCTGGGGATTCTAGCCCGTGTTGCTCTAGAACAGTGGTTCTCTTCTGAGGACGATTCTGCCCCCAGTCTCCCACCAGGGGGACATTTGGCAATGTTTGGAGACATTTTTGATGGTCACAGCTTGAAGGAGGATGATAGTGGCATCTCATGGGTAGATCCCGGGATGCTGCTAGTCTCCTACAGCGCACAGGGCAGCCCCTGCAACAAATTATTCAGCCTCAAATGCCAACAGCGCTGAGGCTGAGAAACTCTGGTCTAGAATCAGGGCACTTGAAACCTCCTGGGCATCCAATCTGGAATCATGACCCCTAAGCACCTGAGGGAAGCTATGGACTCTGTCCCTAGGGACAAAAAAATACTACATATATATTAATATACGCATACGCAGACAAAGCTTTGCAGCTTTGCAGGAGGATTCATCAACCCCTGGTGTCCACTCATGAATACCCCTCAATCCCAGACACCCAAGGATATTGAGATAGGGTACTCTTAGGGGACAGTCTATTTTTTATCCTTACAAATAAAATGCTGTGTCAAGACCAGCGATATGAGGCCTGCTTATGGCATACATAACTGGGACACAGCATGCTCAAAGGCATAGGTCAGGAAAATCCCACACAATCGGAGACAGGGCTGGGCTTACCATGCCAGAGCCTTTCCTTGCCTTCTCCAGCTCTTGGAAAAAGTTTTCTAGCTCTTTACCTTCAATATACCCATTTCCTGTAAAAAGAGAGAGAAAAAATCAATCTCAGCACTAAATAGTAAGGGGGGCACGGGGTGGGCATGTCGGGGGCTTCGTGGAGAATGTCTTCTCCCAGCTGGCCAACAGGCAGGTGTCTAGGCCAGTGGAGCTAGGGGTGTGGGTCCAGCCCTCAGGGCATTTGCACCTAGAGATCCAAGATGAACAACATACATTCAGCAGCTAGAAAATACTGGGAGGAACTAGCACAGGGTCCGAGAGGACAGAGGAGAGCAGAAGTTGGCAGCTTCCGAATCTGTCCTTAATGTCTGGGCAAGCACGAGGTGGCAGAGGTGTGACAGGTCATCAGCAAGTGGCGGGACCTGGTCAGAGGCAGAACTGGGGTCCCTGGAGTTCAGAAGGTGTAGCGGGTTGGAGTGCTCCCCCAGAATGGGACCTTATTTGGAAACAGGGTCATTGCAGATGTCATTAGTTAAGATGAGTCATACTGGATTGGGGTGGGCCCTAAATCCAGTGGTCGGTGTCCTTGTAAGAAGGCTTCATGGAGACACAGAGACCCAGGAAGAAGACCATGTGAAGATGGAGGCAGAGGCCAGTGTGATGTGTGTACAAGCCAAGGAACGCTGTGGGCTGCCAGCAACCACTAGAAGCCAGGAGGGAGGCAGGGAGCAGATTCACCCTCAGAGCTCTAGCAGAGCCTGCCGACACATTTATTTCACACTTCTAGCCTCTAGAAATGTGAGAGAATACATTTCTGTTGTGTTAAGTCACCCAGTTTGTAGTGCCTTGCTATAACAGTCCTAGGAAACAAAAACAGAAGGGCCCAGAAAAGAGAGAACCACAGGGCATCTGTCCTATGGGATGTCACCTCCCACCCCCTGCCCTACCTGAGACTTGGTCACAGGGATCAAGGGTAGGAGAGGCATCCCACCTGGTAATGAAGAGAGGAGGCTCTGAGGCCTGTGGATGCAGATTTAAAGACTGGTTCTGCTGTGCTTACCAACAGTGTGACTTTGAGACAGTTATTGAACCCATCTCATCTGCAAAGTGGGTTATTATAATTAAACAGGATTTTGTGTGGAAAGCCCATCCTCTAGTCATTATGAGTGCAGCATAAATGTTGTTACTGAGTTCCATTACCAGAACCCGTGCCTAAGGTGGGAATGAATCTGTGGGAAAAGTGCAGTGATCAGAACCAGGTCCCGAGGTCACAGCCTGACTTGCGAGATCACATAAGTAGTGAGAGGTCCTTTAGGCTCTCACGCCTTGAGCCTGGATGGTCTACTAGAGACCAGGACTGAGCTGAATGCATGGTCAAGGTCACTGGTCAGTGCTGTGATGGGGAAGGAGGCATTTGTGGGTGGGAAATCAGGCAGGGCTCAGGCCGTGCCTCCTAGACTTTGCTGTGGCAAAGAATCTCCTGGGGATTTTTCCTTTTTTTTGAGACAGGGTCTTGCTGTGTTGCCCAGGCTAGAGTTCAGCACTATTCATAAGTGTGATCATAACATACTACCGCCCCAAAATCCTGGGCTCAAGTGATCCTCCTGCCTCAGCCTCCCAAGTAGCTGGGATTACAGGTACCTGGCACCCAGGGATCTTAAAAAAAATATGGATATCTGGCCCCCACCTCTAGACTTTCTGATGCAATTTGTTTGGGGTGTGAACTAAGCACCATGATTTTTTTTTTTTTAACACTCCCAGGTGATTTCCTGTGCAGCAAAGTTTGAAAACCACTGACCTAACATCAAGTTCCAAATTTGATCTAAAGCCCTTGAGCAAGATTCCCGTAGAGGAGATTCAACTCGAATGGGAAGGGAGGTGGTAGCTTTCACCAAGGGCAAATGGAATTACAAACGCAACAGAGAAAATAAAGGAGCATTTACCCCAGCCTCTGTGAGGGGTTGTGGGGGGAGGCTTTTCCCAGCCTCTCCTCCTAGGGCCCCCTGAGAATTTAAATTCTTAATAAACTTAGAGGCACTCTCGAGTGAAGAATATGCCACAATAAATATTGTATGGCACGAATCACATGAGATAAATTATGTATTTTTGTCTGCAGGGAAAAGACATGATTGCAATGGGCTCGCAGAATGAGATTTGAGTTCCCTTTTATCCTAGGATGGGGTGGTTATCTTCCTTCTAGGATGTTTGTAAAGCTTCTTAGGAGAACTGGAATTTCAGAAGAGTGTGGTTCCTGTGAGGCCGGCTAAAGTAGGGGAGTGAGGGACAGGGAGATGGGCTTTCTAGGCAAAAAGACATCGTCTAGTTGATGATGCTCTGAGTTGGAAGAATGAGTAATTTTTCTCTTCCTGGTTACTCCCTGCAGCGATCTGGCTATTCTCCTATCACTGAGGTGCAATTTCTTCTCAACTGAGAAGGCAAAGTCACATTCTTCTCGGAGGCTTTGTAGAGTCAGACGGGGAGGTGGAAAGCTGAGCTCAGCCCTGGGTGCATCTGCAGCTTCCAGAAGCCCGAGGCTAGGGCAGGAGGTGGGGGCTCAGAGCTGGCACCACGAGTGCGTGTCATGGTTCAGTGAAGCAGAGGCCACAGGAGCCAGGGCTGGGCGGACACAGGAGCGAGTATATGTTTCATGAGTGTATCGGGAGGTGGCTGAAAGGAACTGGGTAGGGGAAGCCCGCAGAGCAGCATGGTATGTTTCCAAGAGCCGCCTCCACTTAGCTCTGAACAGGGTCCGTCATCCCTCTGTGGAGCCCTGTTTTGCACCAGGTCCTTCATGTTCTGCCATTTCTTCTCTGGCCCCTTCACCTACCATTTGGGGGGCGGCAGAGTGACTGGCCTTTCTTGCTGAGGCACCGACACCTGGTTCTTCTCCTCCCTCTGTCGTACCCAGATTAGAGGACACCACCTCTGTGAACCTCAGTTTCTTCTCCTGTGAAATGGGGACAATGATAGCACCCTCCTCATGCAGCTGCCATGAAGATTAAAGAGGATAATAATACACTCGCAGCGCTGGCCTGCAGCGAGCCTCAAACATGCCGGCGGACACTGCCATTATGGCTGCTGTTTGTGCTTCCCGCCCATGCTGCAAACACCTTGGCCCTGGGCTGCTTTCTTCAGGTTGGAAAGATTTAGGGGAGCAGAGGGAGGCTAGAGCAGGCAAGGCTAGCACGGAGCCCCGCCCCACTGAACGCTCTGAACCCAAAGAAGTAAAGTACAGATCTCTAGGGGCCATCTTTTCCTTGGAGTTTTTCTGGAACTTAGAATAAGTATTTATTTTTACTCCATCTTTTTTTCTAGAAAGGTTTGAAGGAGGTTTAACAACCTCAAGAAACTCAGACAATCATCCAGTGCCTCGCCCAGCAGGAAAGTGCTGAAGGTCAGTGGAATGTCTTTAACTTTTCAAAGCGCTTTTGCCGTCTTTCTTTGCTCCAGCAGATAATTTGAGCCCTCACTATGGGTAAGACCTGTGTGGGTTGCTGTGGGGGAAATGAACCCACACATAATCTTTCCAGACACACGGGCATGGCAGAGTAGAATCCTTTTCTGGTGACAGAAGACACTGAGGCACAGGACACAGAAGGCAAGCAACTTGCTCAGGACCACACAGCCAGGGAGGACCAGAACGGAAGTGTCCTAATTCCTGATCCAGGCTTAATTCACTCATTCATTCATTTGAGGAATTTTTTTATTTTTATTTTATTTTATTTTTAGACAGGGTCTGCTCTGTCACTCAGGTTGGAGTGCAGTGGCTGGATCACGGCTCAGTGCAGCCTAATGTCCTGGGTTCAAGCCGTCCTCCCACCTCAGCCTCCCAAGTAGCTTGGACGACGGGCACATGCCTGAATAATTTTTTGTTTGTTTGTTTTTGGTAGAGACAGGGTTTTGCCATGTTGCCCAGGCTGGTCTTTAAATCCTCCACCTGTCTTGGCCTCCCAAAGTGCTGGGATTACAGGCGTGAGCCACCGTGCCTGGACCATTGGAGGAACCTTTATTGAGCATCTGCATTGTGCAGGCACTGGAGGTGCAAAGGCCAGCTAGGTCCTGCCATGGTGGGGCTTATGCTGTAATGGGGTGTGGGTGGGGCAGGGGACAGATAATAAGCAAGGAAATGAATTTAAACATGGTGTTTCCAGTGTCGAGAGCAATGAAAGAATGATGGTGTCATAGAGTAGAGATCGACTTCCAGGGCTTCTTGGAAAGGATGAGCAGGGAAGACCTCCCAAGAAGCCTCAGCCTCTGGGAAGGGGGCAGAGAAAGGAAGGAGGAAAACTGGAGGCAGGGAAAGGGGTCCAGGAGCTAGAAGGGCAGCCCTGTGGAGAGAAGCCGCCTCTCTGAATTCAGCTTGTGCAGCACAGGCAGCAGGAGGTTCCCGGGGCAGGAGGAACCCCCCTCCCCACACTAGGAATTCCACTACCTCCCTCTGGGCACCTCAACAAAAGGCAGAAATGTGGTTCAATGCAGTAAGCCTTGATGTTTTGAACTGAGCCACTGTTCCACTTTGTGCCTGGTGCTCAGGGAGCTATCACCAAGTTTTAGATGTGGGCCCATTTCCCAAGAGCATCAATGGTCAGCCTGGGAGAGGCAGGCAGACAGGCAGCTGATGGCAGACAGTGAGGAACACAGGAGAGATCGGCAGGTGGCGCTGCAGGGCCCAGAAGGGACACTCCACACCCAGCCCTCGATTGTGGATGGCAAATGGCCTTCGCTGCTCTGGCTTCCCTCAAAGCAACTCCCCATCCATCTGCAGGAAGCCCTTATCACTAGAGGCTGGGGTAGAGGAGGGGCTGGTGCACACCCTTCTAGGATGACATCGGCACTGAGTGAATGGTCTGATGTTTCTATGACCCTCTTGCAGCGGGTGGGGTGACTGGTCACCAAGCAAGGCTCATGCGGATGGGCATCGATAAAGACATCGATAAAGACGTGGTTACCATGGCAACCATCACTTCTAACTTCTTATCAAACCACATCCTGTGAACATGAGGGAGCAGAGCCGAAGTGAGAGCCAGAGACCCTGCATCCTTCCTTATTCTACTCTTGCTACCATTCCGCACCACTACCGTGCCTCAGTTTCCCCCAATTTAAAGTGAGACAATACTTCTTTACCTTTCATCTGACCACGGACACTTGGGAAGCCATGCCTAGAGGAGGCTTCACCCCTCAGTGAAAAGAGACCTCAGGGAGACCTTGTTCTCCCTGAGCCTTGTACATTCAGATTTTCTAGGAGTTGAACAGGTAAGAGGTACCTGAGTAAGAGGTATAATATTAATAATTCTACCGCCTGCTCTATGACTGTCCATGTGATGTTGGGCAAGTCAATCTCTCTGAGCCTCAGTTTCTTTATCTCTAAAATGGGCATAACTATTTATGCCCTCTCTACTTTACAGAGTTATGGTGAGAGCTGTACAAGGTAATGTTGTGGAAGCATTCTGAAAGATGTAAAATCTCACATAAATGGAAGGAACAAATATTGCCTTCCATTTATACTCCCTCCTCTTAAGTTCCTCTAAATCAATTTATAGATGAAAACCCGTTAGCCTGAAGAGTTCCAGCACCACTGCTTTCCTTAGAATACTGGTTCTCAAGCCAGGTGTGGTGGCTCACGCCTGTAATCCCAGCACTTTGGGAGGCTGAGGTAGGTGGACTGCTTGAGGCCAGGAGTTCAAGACCAGCCTGGCCAACATGGTGAAACCCCATCTCTACTAAAAATACAAAAATCAGCTGGGTGTGGTGGTGTGTGCCTGTAGTCCCAGCTACTTGGGAGGCTGAGGCACGAGAATTGCTTGAACCCAGGAGGCGGAGGTTGCAGTGAGGTGAGATTGTGCCACTGTACTCCAGCCTGGGTGACAAGGCGAGACTCTCTCTCTCTCAAAAAAAAAAAAAAAAAAAAGGCCAGGCACTGTGGCTCACGCCTGTAATCCCAGCACTTTGGGAGGCTGAGGTGGGTGGATCACAGATCAGGAGATTGAGACCATCCTGGCTAACACGGTGAAATCCCGTCTCTACTAAAAATACAAAAAATTAGCCGGGCGTGGTAGCGGGCACACGTAGTCCCATCTACTTGGGAGGCTGAGGCAGGAGAATGGCGTGAACCTGGGAGGTGGAGCTTGCAGTGAGCCAAGATCCTGCCACTGCACTCCAGCCTGGGTGACAGAGTGAGACTCCATCTCAAAAAAAAAAAAAAAAAAAAGAGAGAGAGAGGGAAGAAAACAAAGAAAGAAAGAAAAAAGAATACTGGTTCTCAGTTGAGGCTGTGTATTAGGATCACCTGGGAATATCTGAAAACAACATTGTTGCCTTGGCCCCATCCCCAGAATTTCTGATTTAATGGATGGGGGGAAGGGGGTGTTTTCAAAGCTCTGCAGGTGATTCTAAAGCTCAGAACAGTAAAGGCTTGGAACCGCTTCAGAGCAGCATGTCTCAAACTTTAGGGTACATAAAAAGTACCGTAATAATCTCCACTTATTAAAGTGGAGATCCTAATTCAGTAGGATTGGAGCATAACGCCGTGCTGTTCAAAGTGCAGTCTGTGGACCAGTAGCATTGGAACTACCTGGGTGCTTGTTAGGAATGCAGAATCCCAGGCCCACCTTGGACCTACTGAATCTTTCTCTGGGGGGTGGTGCCCAACAATCTATGGATCACACTGTCTTGGTGATTCATCAGTGTGCTAAAATCTGAGACGCATTTGCTCAGTGGTTTTCAAATTTTGGTCTAGGCCAGACATATGAGTGTCACTTGGGGGCTTCTTAGAAATGCAAATTCTAAGGACTACAGAATCTGAGTCTCTGGGGATGGGGTGCAGAAGCCTGTGTTCTAAGCAGCCCTTCAGCACACTCAAGATGTTGCGTCCAGTCGCTTCTAGTGCACCAGTCTGTGTAGCACTCGCAGTCCATAGATTAGAGAGGTCAAAGGAGGGAAGGTTCGCACCTTCCTCCTTGAGCTGCACCAGAATTTCCTCGTTAAGGAATTTCCTCGTTAAGCTGCACCAGAAGGCATCCAGGAGGCCAGGCCGCTTGTCGGTCTATCTGGAGTTCAGATTTATCGAAGGCAAACAGTCCTCTAACCTCCATCTGGAGCACCCTCTGGGACAGTCAAATCCTACCCTTTGGGGTAAGAAATTGGCTTCCCCAGGCTCTGCCCCAGTATTAATCCTGCTTTGCTTGGTGCGCACCATTCCCAAAAAGCTTTCCACTTCCCACCTCATCTGTTCTTTACGACCCTGCCAGGTAAGCAGTTATCAACCCCATCTTAGAAAGGAGGAATCGGAGGGGGAAGGAGATTCAGCCACAGCTGACAGAGGTCCTGGCCTCCTTCTATTTGTCCCAGGGACAATGTCTGTCCATATCTGCATTTGTCCTGGCTTCTCTCTCTGACACACACACACACGCTTCTTCCAGTGGCTTCTGGAAAAAAGAATAAGCCCCAGAGTGAAGAGCTACCAGCCACCAGCTGAATGTTTGGGCACTTGAATTTCAATCTATGTTTCTGGGCTGTGCTGCTTTGGACCCGTGGTTCTGGAGCTGGGCTGGGTCCCCTGAACCTGTGGACATCTGGCAGCCTAATGCTGGGCTGAGTCCCAGGCATGAGGGAGGCCAGAAGGATAGGGCAGATTGGGTGAGAGGGGAGATAGTGAAGAGCCAACAAGGACAGAGGGAGGGCTGAAGCCAGAGGCCCCAGATGGGCCGGCTTGGCAAAGGAGGGCCTGGGATGCAATCCGCCGGCAGGCTGGGGCTGGAGAGGCACTGTTCTTGAAGAGCCTCAGGCCTGCTCTATTAATTCTAGCTCCTTTGGTTTTGGAATTGATTTCCCTGAGGGGTCTCCTTAGCCCTGGAAACCTCCCTCAGGGGCTTGGCTGGTAAAGCTGCTGAAGTCTGGAGGGGAATATACAAGCTGAGCAGGGCAGGGACAGCCGGCCTGGCTGTCAATATCAAGGCAATGCAGGGCTGGCATCTTGTTTGTGAAACGGGTCCCTTAGGCGGGCTCCCCCGGGGAGCCCCAGCTCTTCACAGACCAGCTGCTCCCCGCTGCCGGCTGGTGCAATCAGAGTCTGAGAAGCAGAGCCATAGCAGGCAAGAGCCCACCTGGAGGTACCCAGCGTAGAGCTGCTGCACGTGGACACTCCACAACCCAAGGACGCTGTTAGTGAAAAAACTGGGGAGTTGGGGGAGGGAGCAGAGGCAGGGGTGGGGGACATTTTCCAGGGCCTACCCCAGATGGGTCAGGCGGCTGTTCCCTGAGAGCCTCATATCCTGACATCACGCCACGCCCAGCTGAGAGGTATACAGACCCCCAGAGGTTCACTAACAGGGTTCAGAGAAAGCGCTCCTCTGACAACTTTAATCTTGGTTCCCAGTGTCGGACCCTGTTGATTTTAATGGGCCAAGACCCAATCGTTTTGATAAATCCTATGATTACCTTATAGCATTGTAACTGTTGTGTCATTTATATAAACACTTAATATACATCACATATTTTGTGACCCTATTTCAGCATGTGTTTCACTTTGGTATTGCAGGACCTCTCATGCAGCCGCCCAGGGCCAGTTGCCCAGGTTCCCGTTCATCTCTGAGAGGTGCTGCTGTTCTAAATTTCCTCCCCATTCCCTAAACCAGGGACAAACAAATGAGCAGTGACCCGTGCCCTGGAAGAGCCTGCCTGGGCACTGCAGTCTGGCCCTGAGTGGTCCTCAGTGTTGTGTGGGCTTGGAGAAGACTTCTGCCAGGTCACTGGGTTTCAGAGGGCGAGGATGGGAGCCTGCGTAGAGCCATCCTCAGCCCTTTGTGGCCTCTGTTGTTATTTTCAAAATCCTCAGGGTCCACATAGATAAGGAACAGGACTCAGTCCCTGTGAGAGGCTTTGAGCACCCCCTACGTCACCTGGGCCACTTGGAGGTGGACAGAAGCCCAGAAGAGTATAGGCAGATCCCCCCACCTGGAGACATATACATATTTCTTACAAGGGAAGAAAAGGTGTCTATCACATTGTTTTCTTCTTATATCTTTATTTATTTAGTTAGTTATTTTTTTAAAGATAGGGTCTGGCTCTGTTGCCCAGGCTGGAGTGCAGTGGTGCAATCATAGCTCACTGCAGGCTTGGACTACCTGGGCTCAAGCCATCTTCCTGCCTCAGCCTCTCAAGTAGCTGGGACTACAGGCGTGCGCCACCACACCTGCTTAATTTTTAAATTTGTAGTAGGGGGAGGGGGGGTCTCACTGTATTGCCCAAGCTGGTCTCGAACTCCTGGCTTCAAGTGATCTTCCTGCCTTGGCCTCCCAAGGTGCTGGGATTATAGGCCTGAGCCACTGTGCCTGGCCTCCCTTCTTATATCTTTATTGTTTTGCTGACTACACAGGAAATAGATGCTCTTGTAAAATTTTCAAGTGCTATGGAAATTAACTTAGAAAGTAAAAGAAAATCCCCTTTCATTTGGCTCATCCACTCTTCAGAGAGAGCCGCTATTATTCAGTTGTATTTTTCTAAATATCCTGCAACATACATATATCATTCATAATAAAAACGGGCTTATAATAGTGTTCAGCTACAGTTTTAAACAATATCTTAATAATACATCTTGGACATTTTTCCATGTCACTACAAAAGCTTCACTTCGCTCTATCATACTCCATCATAGGGATGACCATATTTATTTTTCTGTCCCCCAGTGAAGCACATTCTCCCCTCCACCCACTGAAATTGTTAGTATTTCCGAAGAACACTGTAATAGACATGTTTGTTCATATAACTTTCTGCGCACATACGAGTATATCTATGTAGGCTAGATTCTTGGAAGGGAGTAGGATGTTCACCTTGGCCCCATGAATGTCTGCTTGCCCCTGGAAGAGAACTCATCTTATCTTTACATTCTTAGTTGCTTTCAAAGGGGTAGCAAAAGCTAAGGCATTTCTCTTTGGAGCCACAACTTTGCTGCTCGCAGATGGTCAGTAAAATAGGAGCCCGGTGGCCTGTCTAATCAGAACCATAAATAAAGGACAGTGTGAACTCTGAACTGGGCATCCCTCAGCCACCTGGATCCTTTAGAGGGGGAAAGGTCCTGATACAGAAGTGTCCAGGAAGCAACAGAGCAATGGGCTCAGATACGTAAGGCCACGTCAGGGCCACTCGGAGCATGGAGGTGATGTTCGGAAGAGCCCTAGACCCCACCAGGGTCACTGGGTGGGCTTGGCTGTCATCTTCCCTACCTCAGCCTTTGAGAGACAACATTGGAACCCTCCCAAACGCATGCTCTTGGCTGACTGCTGAGGCAGAGTTGGTGGAGTGGTATTGCGGACTAGGAGACCAGATTCCTGGTTCCCCCTTCACCTCTTCCTGCTTTGCTGTGTGATCTTGTGAAAAGAATTTTGCCTCTTTGAGTCCTAGTTTCTCACTCTCCAAACATACACTTCTTCCTTTCTCTACCACAAAGCTAATAAGAATTTTGAAAATAATCCAACTCTTTAGGGTGATGGTGGCTTTTTCTGTTTTGGAATGGGCTAAGGGTCCTCCTGCCCCCATCCTCCCTCTCGTTGGGATTCAGCTGCCTCCTAAGGTCTCTTTGTCTTTGTTTACTACCAGCCAGCATCCAGAAGGGGTGGGGAGGTGGCTCCAACTCTCTGGGGGCTGTGGTTAATTGGGCTCCAGCGAGCCCACTCCAGGGACCTGGAGAGCTGCAAGGGAGAGTTCTCTCAGGTGTTTTTAAGATTGTGAGTGGTAGGGGGTACTCTTAGAATTGGGAAGAAACCCCATGTTGAAAACGGAAACCAGAATTGGTAGGAGAGAGGCCTAAACAGGGCTGGGAGTGCCTCAGGCACTGCGGTGTTGGGCTCACCTGGCAGCCTTTGGGTGTTCAGGAGGGGAGGAAGGTCGCCCAAAGCCTAATTCTGGATCCTTTTGTGGAATTCCGATTTGGCTGTATACATATCTTCCTAAGTCACCTCTCTCTCATCTCTGGTATTTTAATCCTCATGGCCCTCCTTCTCTGTCGGGTCCATGGCCTTTCCTTGGGACTTCCCTGAGGCTGTGATGTAGAGATGGCAGTGGAAGTCTGATGGACAAGGAAGAAGGTGCAAGCATCAAGCTCCCCCTTCACCCCGGAGCAGGAGGGAGCCAGAGGCACAATGGCTTTAGGAGGCTTTGAAGATCATGGGTTTGGTGGTAGCTTAACTACACTCTAGCCAAGCCAAGGACCCCATTTTGGGATACACGAAACTGCCCATCAACCCCAAGGGTGGGCTGGGGGCTTTTCTTTGGGGGAATGGGAGGGAGACTTATACCTATCATCATGGAAAAAAACCCTCTTCCAAACCAAGCAGGTGTTCAGGAACCAGAGTGGGAGAATAAACGCTGGCCAGGAACCAGCCCCACCAGTAACTTGCTCCATGACCTCGGAAAAGTCAACCCCTGTGTCTGTTTCCTCATCTGTATAAGGGGAGTCATGGTCTGCCCAGCAGCCTCACACCTTGAGAAGGTGCAATTGTGCTTAAGTACAATGTCTCAGATCAACGTAAGGATCTGCGTGGTTATGGACAGTGCTCTTGCTTGTCCCTCTGAGAATGGGGGAAAGTAGAACTATAGAGTCCTCTGTTTATAGCTGACTCATCTACCAGGAAGCCAGTGGTGTAACCTTGGCTGCTTGGTAACTTTCCTTGAATCATGCAAGTCTGGTGCAGATAAACTGGCAGGAGCCTCCTTAGGGAATGTGCATGTCATCTGGAATACTAAAAGGCTGCACTTCTCTTAGGAGAGCACTTTGTACCAAGGGAATTTTATGGCAGGAGCTGGGGATTGGAAACACAATCCCTCCTTAGCCCCATTTTACAGATTTAACAATCTACCCACTTCCATCAGTAATTCATAGGCAGATCACAGTCCTAACTCAGGTATTCAAATGCCTAGTCCCCTACCCCTCTAGCTTTCTCAGTTGGCTCCAAGGAAACAAAATTTCACCCATTAGCATCCCCAGACATTAACCCCTGCCTCCCCATAGCACTCTGGGCAGAGGATCTCTGCCCAGCCACCTCCACACCCTGCCAAGGCGAGGAAGGGAGGAGGGAAGAATGGAGTGAGGCACACCTGATGCCCCTCTGTTTTCCATCCCCCTTGCTCTCAGACCCCAGGATAAACTCCCTGTCATCCCACACAGATCTGGGACAGGGGCCTGAATGACAGGTGTCAGAGCCCACAAGGCTGAGCCTGGCCCCCTGGGGGGCTGTGCAGTGCAGTGGTTAAGAACTTGTCTTCTGGAGACAGCATCTGTCTTAGCCTTTCCCGTTGGCCTCCCTTTGGGGTCAGCCCCTCCAGGAGCCATTAGCTACCCGAGGGGAGGGTAGCTACAGACACCACAAAATGTCTGAGATGCCAGGATATTTTGGATGCTCATCTTAGCCAGGTCTGTGCGTAGAGAGGGAAATCAGATCACTTATTTTTTCGGAGTAACAGAAACAGAGTCTCTAGTGATATCAAAAGCCTCTAAAGGAGGACCACCCTTTATGCCTGAGTCAGACCACCACAGACACTTGGAATCCCAGTGCTGGGGGCTACCTCCAAAGGTCATTTGGTCTGGCCCTTGCTTTTTGGGTGAGTCAGTGTCAAGACCACACAGAGCAGAGGGTTAGTCACTGAGGCACTTAGGGTGGTGCCTCCCCCTACCCAGAGATGAAGTCACCAAGAGTACCCAGGATTATCACTATGAGGGAACAGGTCTGGGACTGGCACCCCAACGCTGCCCGCCACCACACCCACTGCTGCTGTATTGGGAAACCTACATGCCCACGGCGGCTGGAAAATGGACAAAGGAAGCAGGGGGGTGTTCAGGGCCCCCAATGCCATTTTCCACTCCTGCTCCCAGCCAATCAAGCTGGGGAGGCCACGTTTCCCTTCAGGATCCCCTAATTTATCCCAGCCTCCAGCAGGGTAAGGGGGCTAACCTAGCATTCAACAAAAGGGGAAGAGGAGGAAAGAAATGAGTGGTCTTCTGAGACCTGTGGCTGGAGCAGCTGAAGGCAGGGGAGGTGGGGGAGATGGCAGGGGGAACCTGGAGGCCTTCCCAGCCCAGGCCACCTCTCTGAGAAAGCTCCCACTTGCTCAGAATAAAGGTGCAAATGCGGGTGGGCTCTGGGTCATCTATGTTAGGGAAGAAAGTTACTGACAGTTGTGCCCAGAGCAGCCGGATGTCTCCCAAACCCGGGACCACTACCCCAGCAGGCTCTGCGACCAGACCACCTCCTGAGGGCAAACGTACACCTGCCCGCATTCAGCGCCGCCCCCTGCCCCCTTCACCGCAGGTCCCCTGGGTGCCAATGGGCACAGAAGTTGGGAGCTTTACTGACCGTCTGCGTCAAAGTGCTTCCATATTTCCAGGAACTGGGACGCCGTCAGCTCGGCCAGGTGCAGGTAAGGGGGCTGCTGCTGCGGGCCAGCCATGGCGAGCCGCTCGGAGACCTCAGCCTGCACCGCTCCCGCTCCGCGCCGGCTGGGCTCTGGCACTCGCGCTGGGGTTGTGCGCCACGCTGCCCTTATATACGCTCTGGAGCCTGCGCCTGCGCCCGGCCGCCAGAAGGGGGCGCGCGCGCTCAGGGAATCCGACCGGGGCGCGGCGCGGCGGGGGCGGCGGCGCGAGAGGCTCGGCCCGGACTCCTAGAGGGCCCTTACCTCTGCGCTGAGACCCCTCGGCGCGGGGCCAGGGACACCCGGAGGATTTTCGGTGAAAATGAGGGAGAGGCTGCCCTTGCCTTCCCTCCCGACCGTCTTGAGTACATCCACCACTTATTATTGCTGGCAGTAGCAATAATAATAACAGCAGTAACAACACTAATAGTAATACTAACACAAACTTGACAAATATTTAGCACTCGGGCTTCGGAGTTCACTAGGTCTCTGTCGTGCCTCCTCTCTTCTGATCCTTCCACAGCAGGAAGAGCTGGGACCACTTTTCTGATGAGGTACTTGTGACTTCAGATGATTAAGTGACTGGCCCAGCAAATTAGTGGCAGGGCTACAATTTGAACTCAGCACTCTTTCCACGCCGCACGTGGCTCCTTCATGGGGCTCAGTCTTGCAGAGCAGCCAAGAGTTCTCAAGGCTTTAGTGGGGAGCAGCTGGAATCAGCAGTGCCCCGGGAGGATTCCGATGGAAGTGGTGTGGGGTGGGGGTGGGGGGCTTCCACTGTCTGTTTGGGTCTTCGTATATCCGTCCCCTCGGAGCCTCCCTCCACCCCTGGTACCTGCCTCACGCTGGCCATGCTCTGGGGGGCTTTTAGACATTTGGCCAGGGGGTGGCAGAACTAGATCAACCCGTACCAGGTCTTAACCACGCCCACCTAGGGACATCGTGGGAATGTGCCTGCTCCAGTGGACAGAGAACAACGTCCAACTCTGTCTTGGGGATGTTCTGAGCTGGTCTCAGAGAAAATAGACGCAGCTACTGAGCGCACATCCTGAGGGCAGCAGACAGGACTCCCCAGCAGGGAGCTGGGCCCTCTCCCCATTCTCTCCTGCGGTCTGAGCCCTTAGGGGTCTGTCCTGGCCTTGTGGTGTGGTAAGGTAAGACACATTACCCACAGAGTGACAGCATCATCCCTCCTTTCTCCCCTCTCCTGCTACGGAGTGACTGAGACATGAATTGGCGATCTTTAACATGTGCTAATGAGTGTTAGCTGAACCACCTTCCAAGAGGAGAGTGAAAGGCAAGGAGGTAAGTGAGAATGAAAAGGAGGTCGCTGGGGGAGAGGGGAACCCAGGAGGAGACAGAGAGAGGGTTGTCCCTTGGAGAGAGGGCCAAGCCCAGAGCGAGTCTCAAAGGGGCAATAGAGAATGCAGGTTCCAAAACCACTTGTTCTTTGCCTAGGGTGAATGTGTTTAGAGTTACTTGCAGGAACAGACTGGGGGGAGAAGTCATCAAAAGCTAGCTTTAGAGGTACCCATCCACCTTGCTGAGAGATTCACCAAAGTCCCTAGGGAGGCAGGATGACTCAGTGGTTAAGAGTAGGCACTCAAGAATCAGGCTGCTTGGGTGTGAATCCCAGAATAAGCTGTGTGACCTTGAGCAAATTATATAACCTGTCTCTGCCTCAGTTTTTCTCTTCTGCAAAATGGGCATGTGGGCATACGCCTTTTAGAATTGTTGGCTGGGTGCCGTGGCTCATGCCTGTAATCCTAGCACTTTGGGAGGCCGAGGTGGGCAGATCACGAGGTTAAGAGATTGAGATCATCCTGGCCAACATGGTGAAACCCAGTCTCTACTAAAAAAAAAAAAAAAAAAAAAAAAAAAAAAATTAGCCAGGCGTGGCGGTGCATGCTTGTAATCCCAGCTACTTGGGAGGCTGAGGCAGGAGAATCGCTTGAACCCGGGAGGCGGAAAGGTTGCAGTGAGCCAAGATCGCACCACTGCACCCCAGCCTGGGCGACAGAGCGAGACTCTGTCTCTAATAATAGTAATAATAATAATAATATAATTGTTCTGAGGATTAAATGAGTTAGGGCTCCTGCCGCCCTTCATGGAGCCAGTGATCAGTGGTTGGCTTGGCAAGAAATTTCTCAGTCAGCATCACCTCCCCTGGGGTAGCTAATGAATGGATCCTGGAGGGGCTGACCCCAACGGGAGGCCAACGGGAAAGGCTAAGACAGATACTGTCTCCAGAACACAAGTTCTTAACCACTGCGCTGCACAGCCCCCCACGGGGCCAGGCTCAGCCCTGTGGGCTCTGACACCTGTCATTCAGGCCCCTGTCCCAAATCTGTGTTGGGTGAGAGAGCTCATCCCTGCTTCTCCAAGAAGCAAAGCCAGTGTCTCCATGCTACTTTGGTTTTCCTGGTGAGGAGTAAAGAGTGAAGCTCCTACTTCCTGCTTTCCAGAGCTGTTGAGATCAGGGGGACATGGTTCTGGGTATGACAGTAGGGTGGCCACAGTGACCTTTAAACTGTCTACTGGGACAGTCTTGCCTCGTTCATTTCAGATGCACAGTTGGTCTGTTTCTGGGAGGCCCATTCCTGGAGGACTGAGGAGCCCAAGCTGGTGCGTTTGTGGTTTATCTCCAAGTTGAGTCCTGCAGAAACAGCCACATTGAGCAGTTACAAGTTCCTGCCCTGGAGTCAGATAGATATGGGCTCAAAACCCTCTTGCTGGTTGTGAGGCCTTGGGCAAAGCTATTTAACCTCTTTGAACCTTTCTAAAAATCAAGGTAATTAGTTTCACAAAGTCAGTGGAAGCACCAAAAAGAATGTAATCAAGGGGTTAGCTAGCAAGAACCCCAGCAGCCGTAAGTGCTTAATTAATAGGCAGGTATTCTTACCAATGCAAGGATGTGAGGAGGGATTTTTCTTGTTGTTCTGAAATAGTGGCAGTTAGGCCACATCTGGAATCACAGCAATCAGATGCCTCGTGTCTTCCTGGCTTGCTCAGCCTGCCCGCCACCACCCACCAAGGCCAGGGATTATCAGGGGAGATGTCTGGGTGCGGGAGAGAGGAGCATTGGCCTTCTGGGAGTGCAGCATTTGTGGCTGTCCTGAAGTCAAGTTTTGTTGGAGGAACCCCCAGAAATCCCCTTCAGGTTGTGGGGGATTTCAGCAGCAAGGAGGAACTGGAGATGTCACCTGGCTCCAGAGTGGGCTGGGGTGAGCAGTGTTCTGGAGTTTGGGCCACATATGGAGTTGGGACTGGCGCTTGCTTCTGACTCAGAGCTGTCTGATGGCCTATGAAAGCAGCTTAGACTGCCCTGTCCTGCGTCTAGAAGGAAGATGGGAGCCACCATGGTTCTCGGCAGCCCTTGGGGGTTGCTATGGCTCCTGGGAAAGGTGCATATAGTTTAAAGAGGGGGCCGAAGCCAGATACCTGCTGGTGTTTATGATATCCTCGGTGTTGAGGAAGCTAGAGCGGAGCTGAAGACCGCTCCAAAAAACCTTCACTCCACTATGCACAGGCCCTCAAATTCCTCAGAGATCAGCAGCGGGAGCCAAAGCCTGGGATGCTCTTACAACCTGCAAGCGACCAGAGAGGTAGGAAGACCTCCCGCCCCTCATCTCTCCTTGCAGCTCCCTCTGCCCTACCAGGAGGGGATGTCTTAGAGCCAGCCATCCCTTCTCTCCAGGCTCAGCTCCAGACCCAAGCTCCTTGTCCAGTTTGCAATGGGAAAGGAGAAGAGCTTTGCATTGGAGAAGAGACTGGAGTCTTAGCTGGACTGGTCCAAGTTTCAATAACCAAATGTGTGAGGAGAAACATGGACTCAGATAAGAAATCATTCAGAGATAGGAAAGAGAGGTTCGATGAGCGTATTTTAAAGCAGTGACGGTAAAGACGGAACATTTATGAGCACATTTCCGTGAATTAAGGCTCTTGTAAGTAATTTCAGATGTCTGGGGTTCTGCTTCCCTTCCAGGACTTCCCCTCGAGTTTTATTACAATAATGATAATGATGATGATGACGACAATGATGGCGATAACCGTGAGGATACCTTTAAATGCCTTTACAGAGGGTTTTGATGTGTCTTGCTTTGTTTGGTCCTCACAACTCCCCTATCAGGTGTGCAATGCAAGAATTTGACCCATTCCAAAGATAGGGAAATCAAGGCTCAGAGAGATTAACACCCAACCAAGACCTGGGAGGGGTGGGGTACCAAGAACACTTTGTCCCCTCCAGTTTCCATGGTATATGGAGTCTTTGTGGACCAGGTGCCAAGCTCCTGGGCACTATGTATAAAGTTCTTCCCGGACCCTGGCCACTGGAGCCACAGGGCCCCTCCCAGCGTTAAGGAGTAATGCCAAGCCCACTGTTTACCCACCAGTTCTCTGATGGCTGGTTCCTCCCTCCACCAGAAGGGCAAACTGGGGACCACCTTCACTTTCGCATCCCCAGCCCACCAGCTCATTTGAGTGCTGTGATCTGACACCAAGGATTGGCAGGGAGACTTGCCCAACTGTCCCTCTGCCCCAGGACCCTAGAATCACTCCCTCAAGAAGGGAGGGAGGCTTGGTGACTGAAGTGGTGAGATGTCAGAGGACAGATGACAAACAACTTTCCAGCCAGGATCCACTGGGCTTCGGTAATTGGCTGAGCTCCTTAGAGCACCTGGTGTTATTTTGGAGCACTTCAAAGGAAAAAATACGAAGCCTGACCTGGTACCTCCCTATGCCTAGAAGTGTTTCTTCCAGATATTGCTTCTTTGGTTTTTATAATGGTCAGGCCTGGCTACCGGAGTGCTGGAGAGCTGGCCTTGCTTCCCAGAAAGGAGGATGAAAGGGATGCAGGAGCCCAGCAGTTTCCATGGAAACGGACTGAGGTGGTGGAGAAAATAGAGAAACCAGAGGAACCCAGAGGTGGAAGCAGGACTTGTGAATAACCCGGTCTGAAACTTGAGATCTATGGACAGCTCCCTCTGTGCAAAGGATTTGGGTCACCAGGATAGCAACAGGAGGTGAAATAGCAGTAGCTGGGGGCTGTTGGGTGATCCTCCCTCCGCAAGCAGGGACACAGGGGCTGAGGGCTCAGGCTCCAGAATTCCACAGGCCCCTTTCAGCTCCTGGATCTGCTTTTTATCGGCAGTTCTACTATGTGTTGGCTTTGTAATCCTGGGTAAGGTGTCTACGCTCTCTGAGCTTGTATTTCCTCATTGGTAAAATGGGGATAATCCTAGTAACTGCCTCACAGGCTTTGTGAGCATTAAGAGAGGTAATGCATGTTAAGGGTGATGCAAGGCCTGGAACAAAATAAGCATTCAAATGTTATTACAGGGGAGAAAACCGAAGGCAAGTGATGGTGAGTTTAATCCAAATGAGTGCAACCCATCTCCACCCTGGCCAAAGCAACTGGTTCAGGGATAGGCAATGAGACATCATATCCCAGAATGCAAAGGAGCTACTGGGACCTCCTGTCTATTTGCAGACAGTCTGGTGTGAAGCTGTGAGGTCTGGAATCACTGCAGCTATCTTGACACCATGAGTGCAGAGCCTGGAGTGAGGGAAATGGGAGAGAGCACAGAGTAGACACTGAGGTTGAAGCCAATGTTGCAAAAGGCAGAGCAGAGAGACTGCAAGAAGTCAGGTCACAAGTGACATCATTTGAACTGCTGGATCAAGCTGAGCCTGAAGTACCTTTGGACTTCTCAGTTGCACGAGTCAATATATACCCTTTAGTGTTCAAGCCCATTTATGGTAGGTTTTCTTTCATTTGCAACCTAAAAGACCTGACTGATAATCCATGAAGAGGACAGTTGTCCTCATGGGAGCTGGAAACAGGCAACCTTTTGGAACCAAATTTCTCTGTCCCTCTTTCTCTTAGAGCACAGGGCCACTCCTTCACAGATTGTCTCTGTGTGCACTGTGCCTCTATTTTCTTCTCTCCCTCCCAGCAGGCATCCTTACAACCTTGCCCTTTACAGTCACCAGCCACAACTTGTCCCCAAGACTCCTCTACCTTCCATTTCCCCTGACAGCCTTGCCTCTGTTTCCATATTCCAGACTCCCGAGAGAAAAATCTGGTTGGTCTAGCTTATCTTTTCATGTGAAGCCATTCAGATCATCAGCTGCTGTCCTGCCTTGCAAGGCCGCCTAGGGTTGGACACCCATCTCTTAGTCCAATCAGCTGTGGCTGGGGACAAGTCTCAGGAGGGCAGTGGGCAGCACAGAGAGGGGCCTATTTCCCTTAGGGACATCTATGGGCATGGTGAAAGTAACTGACACCTCTAGTGTTGGGTGCTCAACACAGAAAATTCAAACAAGCTGCGGAACATGTTTGCTTTAACATTGGGTGAAAAAAAAACATTCGGACAAACGAATTCAAATATAAAAGGGAGAGTCTGGGGGAAGGGTGTCATCTAAAACAGGAGTTGGCAAACTTTTTTTTTGTAATGGGCTAAATAGGAATTTTTTTTGAGGGGGGCTGCTTCGTGGGCCGTAGGTTCTCTGTCTCAACTACTCAACCCTGGTATTATAGTGCAAAAGCAGCTATAGATAATATGTAAACAGAGCAATATGACTCTGTTCCAATAATACTTCTTTTAGTAGTAGTAGTAATAATAATAATAATAAGAAGAAGAAGAAGAAGAACTTGGTGGACCTAATTTGGCCTGTGGGACATAGTTTACTGGCCCTCATCTAGTAAATGAATTCTAGGTTCTCTCTAATCCTAATGAAACCTGTGTAGAAGGATTGTTGTAATGATTCCATAAAATAATCTATGCAAATTACCTAGCACCGTGATTGGCACAGGGTCGATGGTGTTGGCTGTTTTTGTTCTCTTTTTTGTCGAGTGGGCTCTCGGAATAACTGGGTTCCAGATCCACCAATGTGCTTGGCTAATCTAGAAGAGTCCCTTCATCTTCTCTGAGCTGAGCTGGAAGTTGATCATATCACTCCATATAGTGAGATGGGATTTCTAAGGAAAGGAGGTGGAGGACGAAGAGAAAGGTGCAGGCAAGGAGGACACAAGGAAATGTAGCGTGCATGAGTGCAAATCCACAGGGCGTCCGTGTGAGGCCGGCTTGGCTCTGCCTGGGGGCCTGGCAGGGAGCCCTGGGCTTGATTTGCAAACAAATTTGCTCTATTTCCTGCCAGAACAGGACTTCCAGGTGGCCAGGAATTTGGACTCCTTTACTAAGGATGGGAAAAATGTCCCTAGAGGGACAGTGCCCCACTTCCAGGATTCCCCAGAATGCAGCAGGAATGTGAGAATGAGATGTTCAAAGATAAGGGCTGCATTTCATTCACTCATGAATTCATTACAAATTTTATTCATTCATGCTGTGTAAAAAATATTGATTAGCCAGCTACTTTGTGCCAGGCACTGTACTAGCAAAACAGAAATGATTCCTCCTTTCAGGAGTTTAAAGTCCAGTGAGGGAGACAGACATTGATCAAACCACACAATCACACATATAAGTGAAAACAGAGTGAATATCAGGGAGCGACCGTATCTAGCATGAGTAGGAAGCCATCCTGAGAGTGAACTAACCAGGAGGAGGGAGGAGGTGAGCATTCCTGGATTTAAACCCCATGCACCAAGGCTCCGTGCTGGCAGAGCTGTAAGAAAGCCAGAGGGATGGGAGATCAGTGGGACGAGTGGGTGCATGGTGGAGGTGACCCTGGAGAGGTTGGCAGGGCCAGACGCTAGAGCACTGGGAGCTATCAAAGGGTTTTCTGCCAGCAACAAACATAACCAGGATTATGGTCTCCCTCTGGCTCCTGTGTAGGGGGTGACTAGCGAGGAGTCTAAGTGGACACAGGGAAACCTATCAGGTGACTCCCGAGACTGTCTGGGAAACACGGCCGTACCTGGGCCTCCAGAGGGGCAGTGGTCATGGAGCAAAGTGATCAGGAACTTTGTAGGCAGAAAATAGGATTTGGCCATGAGTTGGATATGGACAGTGAGGGAGAGGGCGATTCCCAGTTGGTATTGGCACCTGGGAGAAAAGCAGACACTGACTGAGATGGGCGATGCTGGCAGAGGACTAGATTTGAGAAGGATACACCCTGCATTTGTTGGATGTGTTGAGTTTGAGTTGTCTTTGAATCAATCTACTGTGGACAAATGTTTGTATCCCTTCAAAATTCAGATGTTGAAAGCCTAACCCCTGATACGATGGTATTCAGAGTGGGGTCTTTGGGGCATGATTAGATTATGAGGGTGGAGCCCTCATGAATAGGCTTAATGCCCTTATAAAAAGAGGAAAAGGCAGGGCGTGGTGGCTCACGCCTGTAATCCCAGCACTTTGGGAGGCCGAGGTGGGCGGATCACAAGATCAGGAGTTCAAGACCAGCCTGGCCAACATGGTGAAATCCCATCTCTACTAAAAATACAAAAATTAGCTGGGCTTGTTGGCGCACGCCTGTAGTCCCAGCTACTCAGGAGGCTGAGGCAGGTGAATCGCTTGAAGCTGGGAGGCGGAGGTTGCAGTGAGCTGAGATCATGCCACTGCCCTCAAACCTGGCGACAGAGCTAGATCCCGTCTCAAAAAAAAAAAAAAAAAAAAAGGAAGAGACACAGAATCTCTTTCTGTGCCCTCTGCCATATGAAGATACATGAAGATATATGAAGATACATCTGCAAACTAGGAAGTGGATATTCACCAGACACTGGATCTGCTGGCATCTTGAAATTGGACTTCCCAGCCTCCAAAACTGGGGGAAATAAGTTTGTGTTGTTTGAGCTACCCAGTCTATGGTATATTTGTTATAGAAGTCTGAGCTGACTACAACATCATCTAAGGGAATGCATAGACCAGGCAGGGGGATTTATGGAGCCAGAGTTTGGAGGAGAGGTCTGGGCTAGAGAGGTAAATTTGAGAACCCCTGGGTGTTGAAACTGCACCTGGCCTAGCCTTACACACTTGGCTGGTTTTACCTCGGGGGTCCTCAGGTGCTATCTCCAAGCCCATTTCCCACTGCTCCCATGCCCAGTAGCTACTCAGGGCAGAGGCAATGGCTCCAAGGTTGAAGGTGTCCGTAGCTTTGCTCTTCAAGTTTCAGATCCATGAGTCTCACTAAAAGAGAAAGTAGTTCCTTCTAAGATGGACATGTTGGCTAGAACCATAAATGGGCAAGTTTAAGATATTTCTTCACCCCATCTGCCCTTCCCTTGAGGAAGATCAGATCAATTACAGTAAAACAAAGGAACGATATTTTCTTTGCACGTCTAACGGAGTGAATCTGTGACCCTACTGTGCCCAGTCTTATTTGTCTCCCCAGCTAGAATGGAGGTAGGTAGGACCTTGTCTACCTTGTCTATTTTGCTCATCACTTTTCTTCTTAGCTTGCAGCACCATTCATGGCCCAAATGCACTCAAGGGATAATTGTTTTGTTTTGTTTTTGTTTGTTTTTTGTTTTGTTTTGTTTTTTTGAGATGGAGTCTTGCGTTGTCGCCAGGCTGGAGTGCAGTGGTGCGATCTTGGCTCACTGCAACCTCTGCCTCCTGGGTTCAAGTGATCCTCCTGCCTCAGCCTCCCAAGTAGCTGGGACTACAGGTTTGTGCCACCACGTCCAGCTAATTTTTTGTACTTTTAGTAGGGACGGGGTTTCACCATGTTGGCCAGGATGGTCTTGATCTCTTGACCTTGTGATCCGCCCGCCTTGGCCTCTCAAAGTGCTGGGATTACAGGCATGAGCCACCGTGCCCAGCCGAGATAATTGTTGAATGAATGAAAGACTGAATGAAGATCACAGGAGTGGAAAAGGATGTTTCTGTGTATAGAGTCGAGACCCTTCTGGAAGCTCTAGAAATGACCCCTTGCACGCACCGGGACAGCTCAGCTCCTGTTAAGCAAGTGCCTGGCAGCAAGCCCACTTGGGCTGCCGTCCGGAGGGCAGCTGCTTGCCCTGCTGGGGGCCTCGGCACCGTCTGGTCAGGAGGAGCTGCCTGCCTCATAGCTGCTCCCTGAGCTGCCTTCCCGAGCACGTCAGTGGGAATCCCCTGACAGGCAGGCCACAGGAGGGGGCAAGTGGTGAGCAGGCCGAGCTCGGAAGAAGCCAAACTGGGGTGCTTCCTGGAGTCTGCAGATTGGCCGTCATTGCCGATGGTCTGATACGAGAGCCAGAAGCCTAGGCCCGGCTCAGCCCACCAGGTAGAAGATCAAGAGGGAAGAGAGGAAGACAGAGGTGGAGGGTAGGAAGGAGAAAGGCATAGTGATTTTCGAGGGACTGCGGAGCCAGTTAGTGACACCTGGGTCTCCTGGGTCTCCCACTCACAGGAGATGCCAATGATACCTGCCAAGATCCCCTCTGACAATCGTGCACCATTCCCCGGCTGCTGTGGGTGTTGGGTGCCAAGGCTCAGACCTGGACCATTCTCCGGAGAATTGTCACCTTGCACAGAGGTGCTCCTCCCACCCCAACCATGGGACAATCCATAGCCAATTACTGATGTATAAGAGGTATAGAGGCTGAGCGCCTTGCCTTGAGGTGGGGAAACCCTGCAGTACCCTTCATGCCCCAGAGC
Organism: Homo sapiens; assembly: GCF_000001405.40. Classification (NCBI taxonomy): domain Eukaryota; kingdom Metazoa; phylum Chordata; class Mammalia; order Primates; family Hominidae; genus Homo; species Homo sapiens. The sequence goes on along the minus strand of NC_000016.10, from coordinate 71,348,293 downwards.
TTCCCATGGGATCCGGCTGGGGCCAGACTTCAGCAGAACCTGCACCTCTACTTCTTCCTTGCCCAGCCTTCTCCTATGTCTCTTTACATACTTTAGAGCCCTTCTATGATAACACAACTGCACAAGACTTTTCCAACAGACCCAAGACATTCTCTCAGGCTAAAATTTGTCTCTCACCACTTGTTGAAGCCCTAACCCTTCATTTAGAACCCAAGTTTCTGAAGCTTCCAGAAACATGCATTTTCACATACAGGCAGGTGCCCCTACATCTCTTCACATCAGTGGCATGCCAACAAAGCATTCTCACACCACCCTTTGTCCACTGTATGAACTTGGACTAACAATTTGACTTCTCGGAGTTTCTATTTCTGCATCCAAAGACCTGGAATCCTAATACAGTCTTGCAGAATGGCTGTCAGACAGGGAGAGGCGGGGGTGCCCGGTGACAAAGAACCTGGCTTTAGAGTCACACACAGACCCGCCCAGCTCTGTGACCTTGGGTGCTGTGAGCTTCTCTGGCCTCCGTTTTCTCATCCATGAAATGAAGTTAATAATAGCACTGAAGCCGTAGGTGCCTGAACGCACTGGTTGCGTGCAAAGCACTTCACACGGAGCCTGGCCCACTTAGTGAATACGAGCCAGAGAGCTTAGCTCTCGCCTGGCACAGACTAAGTACTCAGTAAGAAGTGAGTATTGTATTTTTATTAATGGGAATGATATGTGTAAAGTCAGGTGGTAATAATGACAACAAATAGTCTTTGGATTTGTGAGAGGTGCCTGAAGAGTGTCCCAGAAGTGTAGCAGATGGACCTGATGAGGCCTGATGCATGGGATGTGGGCTGGGGAGTGGCAGGCAGATGGGGCCCACCTGGGCTCACTTCTCAGTCAACTGGTGTGAACCCTACGGCCACTGTTCTGCGGCAGCCCACCGCCGGTGGCTTACCTGCACGCCAGCCATTTGTCACCCTGTCATCACCTCCACACTTGAAAGCAGATCCCCAGGGATTGTGGACAAAGCACACAGAACAAGGAGCCACTTTTTTTCCCTCTAGGCCTGGAGAAGGGAAGGCAAGGATGGCACCCAGCAAAGAAAGACCGACGGCTTGTCCTTAGGGAGAGGGCATCTCAACAAGATGGGAAAGGGGTCAGGGCTCACAGGCAGATCCAGCCACCTCGTGTGTGTGTGTGTGTGTGTGTGTGTGTATGTGTGTGTGTGGTCTGCAAGCTAAGAATGGCTTTTGCATTTGTAAATGGCTGGAAAAAATCAAAAGAGGAATAATACTTTGTGAACATTATATGAAATCCAAATTGCAGTGTCCATAAATAAAGTTGTTTTGGAACACAGCTGCCCTCATCCCTTTGCTTATTGTTTCTGGTCACTTTTGTGCTACAATGGCAGGCTGAGTGGTTGCAACAAACTCTATGGCTTGCAAAGCTGAAAGCATTTACTATCTGGCCATTTTCAGATGAAGTTTGCTGACTCCTGACTAAGAGCATTGGGCTGACCAAGATTGGGTGGAAAGGAAAGTCACATCCCTCCTGCCTACGGTCCCCTCTCTCCCCACCCCTGCCAAAAATTCCATACCTTTTCAGTAAGCTTTCTCTTCGAATCATTGGTATTTTCTTAACATCTGGCTGATGCAGAGGGAAGTATCTGATTAATAAATTCGCACTAAGGTGTTGGTGACTTCATGTATTGCACCCTCCTTGTCCCAGGAGGTTGGACTATAGGAATAAATCTTTCAGTGGTGGCATTTGAGGAACTGTGGAATGTATCTGATTGTACGTGTGTGCATGCACATGTGCAACACACACACACACAGAGGGAGAGTGATTTGTAATTATAAAGGGTGGAAGCTTGGATGCTTCAGGGCCCGGGACCAGAGGAAATAGAGAAGTAGATTCTGTGGGGATGAACCATCTGGGAATGGGTAGTATGCAAGCCACATTATTGACTCCCAGAACCTCTAAGGGCAGGTTAGAAAAGGTGCCTTCCTTCTTGATGTGAACTCTAAGCTTCTATGGGCTGGGCATGGGAGCTCGTGTCCGTAATCTCAGCTCTTTGGAAGGCCGAGGCAAGAGCATCCCTTGAGGGCAGGAGTTAAAGACCAGCCTAGGCAACATAGCAAGACTCCAACTTTACACAAAAATTTTTTTAAATGAACTAGGCGTGATGGTGCACACCCATAGTCGCAGTCACTCAGGAGGCTAAGGCAGAGGATCGCTTGAGCCCAGGGGTTCGAGGCTGCAGTGAGCTATGATTGCACCACTGCACTCCAACCTGGGCAACAGAATGAGACCCTGTCTCTAAAAAAAAAGAATCAAAAATCGAAAAAAAGCAAATAGAGTGATGAGTACACAAAAAGGCAAACTTTACCACTATGCAATATTTCCATTAACACAATTTCACTTGTATCCCTAAATCCATAAAAATGCACAATTAAAAAAATAACAAATAAATCAACCTCTAGTACAAACCTCCCTTGATAGCACTGGGAGGTCTGGGAATCTGTGAACAAGTCATGACAATGGGGGTACTGCTCCCCCAAGGAGGTGGCCAGGAGGCCAGCCCCCCTTGGCTTGGCCCAGAGGACAGGTGACAGCTGGCTTTGTGCCCTTGCTGGCCTTGATGCTCACTGTGCGGGTCTTTGGTGCCCTGGGTGCCAGCTGCTTGCCTTTCCCCAGCGGTGCACTTTTGTCCTCTTCTCTCTGCTGCCTGCATCTGAAGGTCAGTCACAGCCCGGGATTGGGGCCAGGTCAGCCTGGCTACCGCAGTTCAGCATCACATAGACTGCGGCATCAGCCATTCTTCCTACAGGGCTTAATTGGCTGGACAGCTGCAGTAGGCTGTCACTCCAGCCTGCCACCTCTAGCCTCTGTTCTCTAAGTTGTGCTCTCAACCAAAACCAGGACGATTGTTCCAAAATGCCAGTCTCACTGCAGAACTCCTCGTTTAGAATCTTTGTTGGCTCTCCATCCCTGAGGGTGTACTCTCCTCCTCCCGGCCTCATCTCCCCCTACCACCCCTCTCAGTCTTCACTCCACCTCCGCGGAACTCCTCGAGGCTGCCGGAATGTGCCCATTGTTTCCCACCGCCTAGCTTTTGTGTTGCTGTGACCTGTGTTGGAAAAATCTCTTTCCCCAACTTGGCAACTCCCACCCCTCCTTCAAGATTCCCCAGAGCCTCCTTCTCTGACCTCCCCGATAGGATGACTGACGAGGGCTCTGTTAGAAGTTCCTGCTAGTTACATGCTAGATACCCCAATGACCCCTGTGACCCCAAACTCAGTACACAACCAGCTTCCAGACACATCCAGCTTCCTCTTAGTGAGTGCTTTCTATGGGGTTGGTGCTGGGCTGAGTACTTGTCTGGGTGATCTCATTTCATTCCCAGCTGCAAAGTGGGCCTCAGATACTTCCCACCCCTAAGGCTGTGGCAAGGAGTAAACAAGGGAATGTATGTTGGCCCAAGACCTTGTCCCTGTAAAAGCGTCATAAATTGGAGGAGTGATTAACAGCTGAAGCCAGCCCATCAGAGTTCTGCCCGGATCCCCTGCAATCCCGGTTACACGTTCTGGGCCTCCCCACTGAGCTTCCGTGGCTTTTGCTCCTCCCAGCTCACACCTGCTGCCTCTTCAGGGCCTGCCTGAGTCACTTCACCTGCACGGGACCCAGAAGGTCTCCCACAGGAGCAGGCTGGGGCAGGACTTTGCCTGATATCACACCTTTGGTGGCCTCTTTTCTTTCACTGTCCTGCCTCCCTTGCTTTCTCCTTGGCGTCTCCTGGTCGCACTTGCTTGGTAAGTCGTTTATACCCAAATCCTCATCTCAAGCTCTGCTTCTGGGGATCTGATCTAAGGCAGGGTTGGCAAACTTTTTTGTTAAAGGGCCGGATGATATTCTACACCTGGCACGGTGGCTCACACCTATAATCCCACGACTTTGGGAGGCCAAGGTGGGCAGATCGCTTGAGCCCAGGAGTTCGAGACCAGCCTGGGCAACATGGCAAAACCATCTCTACTAAAAAATACAAAAATTAGCTGGGTGTGGTGGCACATGCCTGTAATCCCAGCTACTTGGGAGGCTGAGGTGGGAGGATTGCTTGAGCCCAGGAGGTCAAGGCTGCAGTGAGTCATGAATATGCCCTGCACTCCACCTGGGCAACAGCGTGAGACCCTAAATAATCTCTCTCTCTGTCTCCTCTCTCACTCTCTACATATATATATATATATATATATATATATATATATATATATATATATATATATGTATATACACACACATATATAGTATATGTATATTCTAGGCTTTGTGGGCCATGTACTCTCTGTCACAACTACTCAACTCTGTAGCACAAAAGCAGCCATATGTAAATGAATCTGCATGGCTGTGTTCCAATAAAACTTTATTTATAGAAAGAAGAGGTGGGCCAGATTGAGTCTGAGGGCCATAGATTGCTGACCTTTGACTGAAGACAACACCCCTGGAAGCTTAGTGCTCTAAAGGTGAAATAGCCCACCCAAGGTCACACACTGGTGAGCAGCAGGGCCACAGATTGGCTCGGAAGCTCCTCTGCTGAAATGCCACCTGCAGCAGGGGTTTAGTACGCTGTGGTCCGTGAGTGGCTCCAGGTGTCTCCAATGATGAAAGAAACAATGCTGCAGGTGAGAAAGTTCTGACTGGCTTAATTAGAAGGAAGGGTAGCAAATATATGAGGGGGTGAACGCATCTTCCCCTAAAGCTCTGGGTAATTTCCACTAAATTATTAATTGGTTCATTTGCCTTCCTAGAGCACTGGGTGGACTGAGAACTCCTGGAATCCTTTATGAAACCAAATGTGTTGGAAAGATTTTAAAAATAGCACCAGGCCCTTTGACAAGTCTAGCGCTAATTACCCTGAAGCTCTGGCACTCCTGCTGATGTGCCACCGAAGCTTCTGCTGCGATCCTGCACCCTCCCAAGCCCCAGCTTTGCATCGTGAAGTCTTTGTTGAGAAGGGAGGTGAGGCTACCAGTATGTCCTAAATTTTCCAGCTCTGGCCAGGGAGCTGCCTCATTATAGGGGTCTCCAACCTGAATGGGACTTTAATGGTGATGTGCAGAACTTCATTTTCTGCACACGTTGGAGCGTAGGATGGGGGCGTAGAGGAGCTCAGGTCCCCTGTGCCCAGTGGCCGGCCAACCTGGAAAGCTTTCTGGTGAACTGTGTGTGTGCACGTGTGTGTGTTCATGTGCACATGCAAATTTTTTCTTTGCAAAAATCATTTATTTATTTTTTTTTGAGACAGGGTCTTGCTCTGTCATCCAGGCTGAAATGCAGTGATGTGATCATGGCTTACTGCAGCCTTGACCTCCCAGGCTCAAGCAATCCTCCTACCTCAGCCTCCCAAGTAGCTGGGACTACAGGTGCTTGCCACCATGCCTGGCTAAGTTTTTCATATTTTTTGTAGAGAGGGGGTTTTGCCATGTTGCCCAGGCTGGGCAAAAATAATTTATATTCATTGTAGAAAATATTGCTAAGCAAAACCAAGATGTACCACCCACAATCCCACTCCTTGGGTTAGCCGTTTTTAACATTTTCGTTTATTTTTTTCCAGTCTTTTGCCTCTGCATACATTTACATATTATTTATTACAAAAAATGAGATTGTACTATATGTATTGCTTAGTTTCAATGACATATTTTGACCATCTTTCCATGTCGTTGCACACTCTTCTACAATGTCTTTTAAAATGACCATACATGATTCATCCTTTGCATGTGTGTATTATAACTTTATTTTCCAGTTGCCTATTATTAAGGAGAAGCTGTTGTTTCCAGTCATTTTGCTATTATAAACAAAGTAGCTAGATCTTTGTTCAAGTTCCTGAAGATCTTCTTACATTTTTAGGTGTGGAGTTGCTGGGATTTAGGGGAACTTTGCGGGAGGTTGGAATCTTATTGATCTGTTCTAAGTTATCCATAGCTCCTTGGCACAGACACTCTAAGGAAATAATTAGAGGCACATGATTAAAGATCAAGTGGCTGGGTTTGAATCCCAGCTCTGCCTAGCAAAGGTTTGGGACCCTGGGCATATTCCTGAACCTCAGTTTCTTCATCTGTAATATGGGAACAACAGTACCCCACCCTGTCGTGTTGCTATGAGGTTGATGTGACCGCCTGGCCCATCTCCGACCTGGTTCTCCAGCTCTCACCTTGTCCCTACTCCCCAGCCTCACCAACGCAACATGGCAGCGGCTTGTCTGCCACAGGACCTTTGCACTTGCTGTTCCCACAGTGTGACACCTTCTTCCTCCAGATTCCATGTAGCTCTCTCCCTCCCCTCACTCAGGTCTCAGCTCAGATCACCCCTTTTCTGACCCTCTTCCCTTGCCATCATTCTCTATTACTTTACTGGGCTTTATTTTTCTTAGACTAGTTGTAATCTCTTGTCATCTTACGTATCTATTTGGTTTTGTCTATCCCCCCCTTCCCAAGAATATAAGTTCCTTGAGGACAAGGAGTTTATTTTTTTCTAGGGCCATGTCAGCAGTATCTGAATTATATTGCCTGTTGCATAGAAGGTGCTCAAACATGACTTTAATTTTTTTTTCCCTGGAGCAACTAAATACTAAATATCTGCTTTGTTTTCTCTGTACCTATTGCTAATACTTTCCACACTCACAAAGACTCTATCAATATAATTTCCTACAATGTTCAATTTGGTAGTTGGGTTCTCCCCCCTCCATCCCCATCCAGAGACCCCTGTTGAAGGAGAAGTTTAGTTACTCTTTAAGCTGGCTACAAAGCCATCATTCTCTGATTTTTTTCTTTCTCTTCTTCTTCTTCTTCTTTTTTTTTTTTTTTGAGAAAGGGTCTTGCTCTGTTGCCCAAGCTGGAGGGTAGTGGTATGATCTCAGCTCACTGCAGCCTCCGTGTCCTGGGTTCAAACGATTCTCATGCCTCGGTCTCCCCGGTAGCTGGGATTATAGGCGAGCACCACCATGCCTGGCCAATAGAGATGGGGTTTCGCCAGTTTTGAGTCTCGAACTCCCGGCCTCAAGTGATCCACCCACCTTGGCCTGCCAAAGCGCTGGGATTACAACTGTAAGCCACTGTGCCTGGGCCTAAGTTTTTGTTTTTTTTCAAGACAGGGTCTCATTTTGTCACCCAGGCTGGAGTGCAGTGGTGCAATCATGGCTCACTGCAGCCTCAACCTCCTAGGCTCAAGTGATCCTCCCACCTCAGCCTCCTGAGTAGCTGGGACCACAGGCAGGCACCACTACTCCTGGCTAATTTTTAATTTTTTGTAGACACAGGGTTTCACCATGTTGCCCAGGCTGTCTTCAAACTTCTGGGCTCAAGCAGTCCTTCCCACTTCAGCCTCCCAAATTGCTGGGATTAAAGGCGTTAGCCACTATGCTCACTCTCAAACATGATTTTAGAAATGAATGGATTTTGCATGGGAAGTACTGAGCACAGTGCCACTCCTGGGTTCATGTGCAATAAACTGTTATTCATCCCCTAGAAGGGCTGGATGGAATGATCTGGAAGTTGCCATGGCATGATCCTGTTAGATCTAGGCAGCAGAGATGCTCTGAGCAGACAGGAGGTGGGAGGGCGGGGGATGTCCTGTTTGATTGCTTCTCCAGCTCATGGTTGAATAGGCAATGGGGGGCTGTGGCCACGGTGCCCCACCCCTTACCCTCTTAGTTCCTTTCTTCTTGAGGATACTACCCCTTCTCCCTCAAAACACAGAACCTCCTCTTAGCTACTTCTCAACTAATCTCTTCCTGGGCTGTTCCACTTTAAATGGAAGCCAGGCAACCAGACGCCCGCAGAGAAGCGAGGGACCTTCCTTTTTCTGTCCCAGCGTTCCTCTTGAGCTGCAATTCTTCTTGTCTTTGCCTTCATCATTCACTCTGAGCCAGTGACTGAGCTACTCTTTTTTTTTTTTCTTCCTTTGAGATGGAGTCTCGCTCCCTCGCCCAGGCTGGAATGCAATGGTGCAGTCTTGGCTCACTGCAACCTCTGTCTCCTGGGTTCAAGTGATTCTCCTGCCTCAGCCTCCTGAGTAGCTGAGATTACAGGCATGAGCCACCATGCCTGGCTAATTTTTGTATTTTAGTGGAGACGAGATTTTACCATGTTGGTCAGGCTGGTCTCGAACTTCTGACCTCGTCATCCGCCTGCCTTGGCCTCCCAAAGTGCTGGGATTACAGGAATGAGCCACTGTGCCCGGCCAACCGAGCTACTCTTGAGGTAACTTGGATGGAATGCTCTTCTCCCTGTCTGGGCTTTTTCATACGTGCCTTTGCCCGGGGCCCTTTCCTCCTTCCTACGCACTCCTCACCCCATCCCAGCTAACACCTGCTCAGCCCTCAAGACTCAGGTTTCACCAGGAAAACACCCTTGACTCCATGCCTGGGCAGGTGACTCCACAGTTCCCACACATCTGCTCTCATGGTTTTTATTTTATTATTATTATTATTATTATTATTTAAATCACACCGGGTTGCCATTGTCTGCTTTTTTATCAGCTTCCTCATCAAAATTGCCTTGGTGACCACGGGAACACAGCATTCGTCACCATTTAACCTCAGTACCTTGCTCGACACAGAGAAGGTGCTTGATGTTATCTAGTGAATGAATGGATGATGATGACATAGGCCCTACCAGTGTCAGCAGGAACGTTTTCTGGGTGGGATGCCTGTTCATAGTGCATTGGTGGCAGGACCTGGAGTCTCTCTCTCTCAGGCCAGGCGCTATCCATGGTTTCTGGATAAAGCATCCTTTGTGTCTGGGGGAGTGACATCCTCTGCTCAGCGACAGACCCCATCAGATTCAAATGTTTTCAGCCAGTTTCTATAAATGGGAACGTTTTGATTGGACAGCAGCTGCCATGGTAACTGGCTGATTTTTAGAACGTGGGGACTGGGGACAGACAAGAGACCAGGTATCTTTGAAGAGGCTCTTTTTGAATTATTCCGGTGTTTGGAAGCTCATCAATGAGAACTGACTTTGCCCAAGTGCCCCATGATTGCAACGCTCAGTGCTTTCCTCTCTCTGGGCAGGGGTCTTAAGTGCTTTCATGGGTCATATTTGTGGTATTTCCAGCTTATCCTCTTGGATCCCAGGTTGTTTGGGGCTCAGATGAGGCAGGCTGAGATCTTCTTTGGTATACCAAGGTGATAAGATTGGCAAGGAGGTACAGAAAAACGAGGAGAGGAAGGTCACTTTCACTTTTAATATTTTGCTCCAAACATCCAAATGACCCTCCAGACTCCCTATCTGGAGCTTTATTAAGTGGCAGGACAATGCTTTTGAAGCACTAACTAATGTTATTTCCCCAGTGGAATTTATTTTCCCCATTCAGAGTGTGTGGCTATGTGGTCAACATTTCTGCAGCACATACAGCTGTGCATACCCATACAGCTGTTCAGGTTGTGCACTGAATAAGTCCACCCAGGCTTTGTGCACAATACTTCCTGAAATTGCACAACATGGTAGCCCTGGTAAGGGATGTGGTAACAAAGGTAAAGGGTGATGCTTCCAAGATTTTGCATACAAAATCCTGGCCTTAAGGGGAACAAAAGGAACTGGTAGCATAGATTATTGGTAGCGTTATTATTATTATTATTATTATTATTATTATGTCATCTACTAACAGATGTAAATATAAATAACATATAATAAAAAGAATGAGAGATATTGGCCAATTAAGAACAAGGATACTTTAGCCCAGTCTACATAAAGGTTCCTTGGGCTGTAGAAAGGAGAAGCAACAAGTGTATAGAAGTTAGTGGTTCATTGAGAAGAGGATCCTGCACTTTGCTCCCTGGGTCAAATCCAGGTTAGAGCAGGTGGATATGGCAAAAATCCTCAGGTCAGTTTGTGGAATCTAAGAGTCATGGTGACTCATTTCCCGTTTCCTGGGTGGAGCTCCAGAAAAAGAAAGGGTTGTATGGTAAATCCAATCTAAACAGTCAGGGCCTCTGAGGGTGTAGCCTGGTGGGATGAGTTCAGTGCTATGGATATGGCATCAGAGCTGGCCAGGGAGCTGCGGAAACTGAATGACCCCATGGCCAGAATGAGCCATGACTTAGCAGCCTTCTGTGAGACCCAGCAATGAGGGTGGCTGAGGTGATGGCTGAATCAGATCTCCCTGTACCCCCACCCCTCAACGCTCCTGGGAACTTAGAAGCGTATGTGGGGAAGTGGTGTTGGGGGTCATCACTTTGGCCAAGATTTGGCATGTGTTTTCTGGTGCAATGAGAGATCAGAACAGATTAAATTGTAGTAAAGAAAAATATGGTCATGTTTCTTGCAGTCCTCAGTCTTGGATGCAAGATTTGCTCCCACAACAACAAGCTGCCTTGAGATTCTCCAAAAGAGGCCTGCTTGGGTGTCACTGGCTTATACTAGTGATTTGTCCACCAGACTGCTGCTCAGAATCACCTGGGAAGCTTTGCCAAAACAGGTGCTTGGGCCTCACTTCAGACGTAGAGAATCAGAGTATCTGCAGGTTGGGGCTGGCCCATGCTAGCTGTTGGATGGATCAGTGCCTGCAAAGTAGCTAGTTGGAATCTTGGCTGAATTTGCTCTGTGCTTTTGTGAAAATTTCTTTCTCTTTTCCTATTTCCTTATCCATTAAATAGGTAAATCCTATCTCTTTTTGTAAATGACTCTGAACACTCAGAAATTATTCAGAGGAAAGATCTTAAAAGAAACATAGCAATGCTGTTCACTTAAAAGCATTTCGTGATTACTGTTTAAAAGCAGAAACCTTTCTTTGCCATTTGGCAAAGGACTCTTTTCGTTCATATTTTTATATTTTATTTATATTTATTATATGTTATTTATATTTATATCTGTTAGCAGATGATATAATGATAATAATGATAATTTTTGAAAAACTAGTTATCTATCGGGAGAGGGAAGGAACAGGTGAAGGGAACAGGGACAGAGGCTAGACTTCTTGGAAAGTACCCTTTTTTTTTTTTTTTCGAGACAGAGTCTCACTCTGTTGCCCAGGCTGGAGAGCAATGGCGTGATCTTGGCTTACTGCAACCTCTGCTTCCTGGGTTCAAGCGATTTTCCTGCCTCAGCCTCCTGAGTAGCTGGGATTACAGGCGTGCGCCACAACATCCAGCTTATTTTTGTATTTTAGTAGAGATGCGGGGTTTCACCATGTTGGTGAAGTTGGTCTCGAACTGCTGACCTCAGGTGATCCACCTGCCTCAGCCTCCCCAAGTGCTGGGATTACAGGCGTGAGCCACTGTGCCTGGCCTGGAATGTACCTTTTCTGCAAATTTGACTCCCATGATTACAAAACATAATTAACTCAAAAATGAAAATAACAATCCCTGAACCCCAAAAGAAATGTGAAACAGCGAACCTAATTGTGTGTCCAGTTGGAGGCACACAAACAGAGATAATTTCAAATGACTTTTAAAACACAGTAATTTAACTGTGCATATGAAGTGAAATACATTCTGAGGACAAAAGAACTAAAAATCAACTATTGTCAGTAAAAATATCATTGGAAATAACATTAACATTATTATTCCAAGACTATTTCACACACACAGACATATAGTAAAATAAAGCAAGTAGATAATGATGTAATTAGAAACCAAGATTTTCAGCATAAAAGAGATGCAAATATAAAATTAAAGAGTTCAAGTAAAAGTTCTGTAATTTAAATTTTGAATTAGAAATATCTGCTTAAACTTACACTGTAGCTTCTGTTTTAAACATACACACACAAACACACACATACACACCGTTTGTATTTTCTAGTTCTGTAAACCCAAGAAGTCCTAGAAGCAGTGACCAACTCTATAGCGATGAGAAATCCAGAATCCAGTTTATAGTCTCCAAATACCATTTCTTACAAAAGTAGGATGTTTGAACAATATGCAATGTGTAGACTTCATTTTGGACTTGATTTGAATACAACAACTATATTGAAACATTTATAAAATGATGGAGAAAAATTGAAGGCCAATTTGATATTTGATGAAATTAAGGAATTATGAGAATTGTATTTTGGATATGTTCTTAAAGTGGTACATTATATTTTTAAGATATATACTGACATATTCACAAATGACACATCTTGGATTTGTTTCAAAATAATTTAGTAGGGCCCGTTAAAAAATGGGCAAAAGACATGAACAGACACTTCTCAAAAGAAGACATGCAAGCAACCAACAAACATATGAAAAAATACTTCACATCACTAATCATCAGAGAAACGAAAATCAAAACCACAATAAGATACCCTATCACACCAATCAGAATAGCTATTATAACAAAGTCAAAGAAAGAAAAAAAACAAAACCCCACAGATGTTGGTGAGACTGTCGGTGGGAACGTCACAGTGGAAAGCAGTACAAAGATTTCTCAAAGGACTTAAAATAGAACTACCATTCAGCCCAGCAGTCACATTATTGGGTATGTATCCAAAAGAAACAAATCATTCTACTAAAAAGACACATGCACTCACTGCAATGTTCATTGCAGTACTGCTCACAATAGCAAAGACATGCTCAACCTAGGTGCCCATCAATGGCAGACTAAATGAAGAAAATGTGGCACATATACACCATGGAATACTACACAGCCATAAAAAAGAATGAAATCATGTCCTTTACAGCAACATGGATGGAGCTGGAGGCCACTATCCTAAGCAAATTAATGCGGGGGCTGAAAACCAAATACTACATGTTCTCACTTATAAGTGGGAGCTAAGCACTGGGTGCTCATGGACATAAAGATGGCAACAGTAGATACTGGCAACTCAAAAATGGGGGAGGGAAAATTACAGGGTTGAAAAACTAACTGTTGGGTACTATGCTCAGTACCCGGGTGATGAGATCATTTATAGCCCAAACCTCGGCATGATGCATTAAACCCATGCGTGCACAGGCACCCCCTGAATCTAAAATAAAAGTTGGAAAATAATAATCCAGTAGGCATGGGGGATAATTGGGTGGGTGTGTAGGAGAAAAAAGGACGTAATGTGTTGATCATTGTTGAGGTTACATGGGGGTTCATTATACTATTCTCTGTAATTTAGTGTATGTTTGAAAATTTCCATCAAAAAAAATTTCTTGTAGAAAGAGAAGAAAAGGAGGAGGAGGAGAGGGAGGAAGAGAAGAAAGTGGGGAGTGCATTTTGTAGACCCTCAAGTTGAAAGCATTTTGGGTTGTCCACCAAGAAAGAAGGCGGGCAGCTCCAAGGAGCACAGCCACTTCCCTCTGCACCAAAGGTCATAGTGCCCCCTGGGCAGAGAAACCCATGATTGGTGAGTTAAGTAGTGATTCAGAAAATGTGGCAGTGAATTGAATAATCCACTTTCAGGCAGGTGGCTGAGCTGGCCTGGTGGAAGGCAAGCTGGCCCAAGCAGGAAAGGGGGGCCAGCTATGGGTCCTGACCCCTCTTTTCTCTGGCCATGACTTTTAAAGGAAACAAATTCTAGTTTTAAGGTGGATTGGTCCTGCTTAGAAGGTAACAGCTGGGAAGGTGTCAACTGAGTCAGGTTGAGGAGGTCGTTGTGTGATTCCAGATTTAAAATATTTTATAACACTAATGAATTTTTTTATATTAGGAAAATAACATTCTTAAAAAACATAATGTTGAGAGAAAGGTGTCAGACCCAACAGAACACAGACGATGTTATTCCATTTATATAATGTTCAAAATGAGCAGAATTAACCTACATTTTTTTGAGATACATGATTAGATGGTGATTTTAAAGGAAGACAAGGGCATGACGACTTGGCAGTGAGAACGGTTATCTTTACGTGGGAGGGAGCTGTGATCAGACAGGGCTCCTGGGGTGCTGATATAGACGATGGTTCCATGGGGTTTATTCTATGGTATATTAAGCTATAAATTTATGCTTTATGCTTGCTTTCTAAATGTGGTATGTTTCACAATATAAATATAAAGTAATATACCTTGCTTGTAGAAAATTAGGAAAGGATACAAAATAGTACAAAGTACAAAATAGAAAATAGTTCCCTATGATCGCTCCACCTATAAGTAACCACTGTTGACATGTTGGTATGAATCGTTTTGTAAGGAGTTGGGCTTGGTGGTTAAGGAGATGGACTTTGGAGTTTAACAGACCCAGGCAATTTTCAAATCCTGGCACTGCCTCTTACTAAATGTGAGAACGTGGGCAAGTTACTGCAGTTCTTGTCTGCAAAATAAGGATAATAACAATACTTGTCTTAAAGGGTTGTCATGGGGATAAAAAGAACTAATGAATGAAGAACACCCAGAAATCTTCAATCAGTGTTAACCATTTTTAACTCACTGCAATCTTTTAAAAAACTTATGTGTACTATATATACGAAATCTCTATATTATATGTGTATAGCTATTTATAGTCTATATATTTTTATGCAATTGTGACTGTAGTTCTTAGCAATTATGACTTGAAATCATTTTTTTTTAAAAAGTAATGATCCCTTATTCAATTTCTCAGAGGTACAATTCTACATAATAATGCCTGAATAATCTGGTACAACATCCGAAGCTGTCTGTAACTCATGCTACTCCATCTTACTCCAAAATTGATTATTTGCCTGTGCTGGTGCTTTGTCTGGTCTCCTTACCCCTTTTTGCTGGTTGAAATTCTTTTTTTCTAATTATCAATGATGCTGAGCTTTTTTTCATATGTTTGTTGGCTGCATGAATGTCTTCTTTTGAGAAGTGTCTTTTCATGTCCTTTGGCCATTTTTTAATGGGGTTGTTTGTTTTTTCTTGTAAATGTGTTTAAGTTCTTTGTAGACTCTGGATGTTAGACCTTTGTCAGATGGATAGATGGCAAAAATTTTCTCCCATTCTGTAGGTTGTCTGTTCACTCTGATGATAGTTTCTTTTGCTGTGCAGAAGCTCTTTAGTTTAATCAGATCCCATTTGTCAGTTTTTGCTTTTGTTGCAATTGCTTTTGGCGTTTTTGTCATGAAAACTTTGCCCATGCCTATGTCCTGAATGGTATTGCCTAGATTTTCTTCTAGGGTTTTTATAGTTTTGGTTTTTACATTTTAGTCTTTAATCCATCTTGAGTTAATTTTTGTATAAGGCATAAGGAAGGGGTTCGGTTTCAGTTTTCTGCATGTGGCTATCCAGTTCCCAGCACCATTTATTAAATAGGAAATTATTTCCCCATTACTTGTTTTTGTCAGGTTTGTTAATGGTCATTTGGTTGTAGGTGTGCAGTCTAACTTCTGAGTTCTCTATTCTATTCCACTGGTCTATATGTCTGTTTTTGTACCAGTACCACACTATGTTGGTTACTGTAGCCTTGTAGAGTAGTTTGAAAATGGGTAGCGTGATGCTTCCAGCTTTGTTCTTTTTGTTTAGGATTGTCTTGGCTATATGGGTTCTTTTTTGGTTCCATATGAATTTTAAAAGTTTTTTTTTTCTAATTCTGTGAAGAATGTCAATGGTAGTTTAATGGGAATAGCATTGAATATATAAATTACTTTGGGCAATATGGCCATTTTCATGATATTGATTCTTCATATCCATGAGCATGGAATGTTTTTCCATTTGTTTGTGTCCTCTCTGATTTCCTTGAACAATGGTTTGTAGTTCTTCTTGAAGAGGTCCTTGACTTCCCTTGTTAGCTGTATTCCTAGGTATTTTATTCTCTTTGTAGCAATTGTGAATAGGAGTTCATTCATGATCTGGCGCTCTGCATGCCTGTTGTTGGTGTACTGATCATTAGAGAAATACAAATCAAAACCACAATGAGATACCATCTCATGCCAGTCAGAATGGCGATTATTAAAAAGTCAAGAAACAACAGATGCTGGTGAGGTTGTAGAGAAAAAGGAACACTTTTACACTGTTGGTTGGAGTGTAAATTACTTCAACCATTTGGAAGACATTGTGGCGATTTCTCAAAGATCTAGAAACAGAAACACCATTTGACCCAGCAATCCCATTACTGGGTATATACCCAAAGGAATATAATCATTCTATTATAAAGATACATGCACGTATATGTTCATTGTATCACTATGCACAATAGCAAAGACATGGAATCAATCCAAATGCCCATCAGTGATAGACCGGATAAAGAAAATGTGGCACATATACACCATGGAATACTATGTAGCCATAAAAAGGAATGAGATTCTGTCCTTTGCAGAAACATGGATGAAGCTGGAAGCTGTTATTCTCAGCAGACTAACACAGGAACGGAAAACCAAACACTGCATGTTCTCACTCGTAAGTGGGAGCTGAAGGATGAGAAAGCATGGACACACGTAGGGGAAACAACACACACTGGGGCCTGTCAGGGGAGTCGGGGGAGGGAGAGCATCAGGAAGAATAGCTAATAGATGCTGGGCTTAATACATAGGTGATGGGTTGATCTGCACAGTAAACCACCATGGCACTCGCTTACCTAGGTAACAAACCTGCACATCTTGCACATGTACCCCAGAACTTAAAATAAAAGTTGATGAAAAAAATTAGAAAGAATTCTGTGAGAATCAATTGGCTATATTAAAAGTACTACATTTTTTTAAAAGAAATTCTTTTTTTAAAAAAACCCAAATTTTCCCACACTATTAATTATTATTATTATTGTGATAAATACAGTTAACGTAAGATCTATCTTCTTAGTGGATTTTACAGTACACAGTACAGTACATGTTAACTGTAGACACTGCTGGATAGTAGGTTCCTTGGACTTGTTCGTCTTGTATAACTGAAACTTTATGCCCTTTGACTAATATCTCCTCATTTCCTCCTCCCCCTATCCCCTGGTAACCACTATTTTTTACTCTCTGTTTCCATGAGTTTGACTATTTTAGACTGATCGTGTAAGTGGTTGTCCATCATGTAAGTATTTGTCCTTCTGTTTTTGTCTTATTTCACTTAGCATAGTGCCCTCCAGGTTCATCCATGTTTTCCCAAATGGCAGAATTTCCTTCTTTTTAAGGCTGAGTGATATTTTATATATATATATGTGTATATATATGTGTGTGTATATATATATGTGTATATATATATGTGTGTATATATATATACGTATATATGTATATATATGTATATATATGTATATATATGTATGTATATATATATATATATATATATATATATATATATATATATATATATATATAAAACATTTTCTTTATCCATTCATCTGTCATTGGACATTTAGGTTGTTTCCATGCCTTTGCTATTGTGAATAATGCCACAATGAAAATGGGAGTGCAGATATCTCTTCAACATTCTGATTTTATTTTCTTTGGATGTATACCAGAAGTAAGATTTCTGGATCATATGGTAGTTCTAGTTTTAATATTTGAGAAAAACCCATATTGTTTCTTGTAGTGACTGCACCAATTTACATTCCCATAAACCATGTACAAGGGTTTCCTTTTCTGCACAACCTCACCAATATTTGTTATTTGTTTATTTTGATGATAGACTTCCTAACAAGTGTGAGGTCATATTTCATTGTAGTTTTGATTTGCATTCCCCGATGATTAGTGATGTTGAGCACCTTTTCATTACATCTATTGGCTTTTTGTATATCTTCTTTGGAGAAAAGTCTATTCAGTTTCTTTGTTCACTTTTTAATTGAGTTCTTTGTTTTGTTTTTTGCTACTGAGTTGTAGGAGTTATACGTTTTGAGTATTAGCTCTTTGTCAGATACACAGTTTACAAGTATTTTTGCGCATTTTTTACATTGCCTTCTCATTTTGTTGATTGTTTGCTTTGGTGTGCAGAGCTTTTGGTTTGATGTAATCCCACTTTTCTATATTTACATTTGTTGTCTGTGCTTCTTGTCATATCCAAGAAATTATTACTAAGGTCAAAATCAGGAATATTTCCCTCTATGTTTTTCTTCTAGAAGTTTTAAGGTTTCAGGTCTTACATTTAAGTGTTTAATCCATTTTGAGTTGATTTTTGTGTATAGTGTAAGATAAGGGTTCAATTTCATTCTTTTGTATGTTGATACCCAGTTTTCCCAGCATCACTTATTGAAGAGACTAACATTTCCCCATTGTGTGTTCTTGGCACCCTTGTCAAAGATATGTTAACCACATATGCATGGGTTTATTTCTGGGCTCTCTATTCTATTCAATTGGTCTATATGTCTGTTTTTATGCCAGTACCATGTTGTTTTAATTATTGTAGCTTTGTAATATTTTTTGAAACCAGAACGTATGATGCCTCCAGCTTTGTTCTTTTTGCTCAAAATTGCTTTGACTATTTGGGGTCTTTTGTGATTTCATATAAATTTTAGAATTGCTTTTTGTATTTCTACAAACATGTCAATGGGATTTTAGTAGGGATTACATTGAATCTATAAGTAACTTTGGATAGTATGACCACTTTAACATTATTAACTCTTCCAATCCATGAACATGGGATGTCTTTAATTTCTCTTATTAGTGTTTTATAGTTTTTAGGGTACAAGTCTTTTACTTTCTTGATTAAGTTTATTCCTATTTTATTCTTTTTGGTGCTGTCATAATTGGAATTGTTTTCATATTTTCATTTAGTATAATTTGTTGTTAGTGTTTAGAAACACAACTGATTTTTGTATGTTGATTTTATATCCTGTAACTTTGCTGAATTTGTTTCTAATGATTTTTTATATCCTGAAACTTTGATTAATTAGTTCTAACAATTTTTATGAAGTCTTTTAGGGTTTTCTATATATAAGATCATGAAGTATGCAAACAGGGATAGTTTTACTTCTTCCTTTTGATTTGGATGACTTTTTTTTTCTTGCCTAATTGCTCTGCCTATCATGTCCAGAACTACATTGAATGGAAGTGGTGAAAGTAGCATCCTTGTCATGTTCCAGATCTTAGGGGAAAAGCTCTCAGTCTTTCACCATATGATGTTAGCTATGGGTTGTTCATATATGAATATATATTGTGCTGAGATAAGTTCCTTCTGTATCTAATTTAGTGACAATGTCTATTATAAATTACGTGTTGAATTTTGTCACAAGCTCTTTCTGCATCAATAATCATGGGGTTTTATCTCATTTGTTAATGTTGTATATCACACTGGTTGATTTGCATATGTTGCATATATTTGCAAAGCCTATGGCTTTGATATCAGATGACGCTGGCCTTATAACAAGTTTGGAAGTGTTCCCATGCTGATGGAAATTCTAATTATTGTTTAAGACCTAGCCCCCAAAATAAAACCCTCCATGAAATTCTCCTTGGTTCTTCCAATTGGGATAGCAGAGAGTACTTCTCTACTTGAAGATTTCTGTGTTATAAAACCTTAGCAGAGAAGCTAACACCACCTCCTGCCTCCAAGGCGTGGGTGGAATCTTAATCAATATTTACCAGTAACGATGATGAACACATTTCCAAACTTGCTTCCCACTGATTTGAAAGCCATTAGTAATGAGTCTCAGCTCAGGGCTCAGGCTGGGAATAACCTACTAGGCACTAGGCCTCTGAACAGAATTTTAAACAGTTGAAGTTAGTAAGACTTCTTCCTGCCATATAAAAGCTGGAAACAATACAGATTTAAACATATAATGGTTTATTCTCTCATGTAGAAAAAGTCCAGAGGTGATTGGCCCAGGCCTGGTAATGGAGGCTGTAGGCTGTCATCAGGCAGACTCCTTTCTCTCTGCTTTGCTACCTCCAGTGCATGGCCATCCTGAGTCACCTCTTAGTCTAACATGGCTTCTGGTGTGCCAGCCAGTGGATATCCATGCCACGCTGTAGGTCTGGTCATAAAGGGGGAAAAGGGGGAGAAATAACTTTCTTTTCAAAGAGTTTTTGCAAAAGCTCCATAAACACTTCTAGTTACATCTTGTTGGCCACAACATAGTCACCTGGCCATACCTAGATTCAACAGAATCTGGGAAATATTGCCGCTTAAATACAACTGGCATCGTTTTATAAAGGAGGAAGGTGAGAATGGTTGTTGGCATAGCAAGAAGCAGTCCTTGCCAGAGCTGGAAGGCTCTGATGACAGGCGGTGTTACCAGCATGACTCTCACCTGTAAAAGGAATTGTATACAATGGGAATTTTTGGGGCTGACAGTGGGGTGAGGTGGGGAGCATCAAGATCACAATCATATAGAAAACACCTGGAGCCCCAGAAAGTGGCCTGCCCTGCACTGCAGGTTGTCCTTGGGCCTCCTATATATCTTGCTCTGGAGTGTCTTTCTTTGGATCCTCTTCCAAGGGTCTTTCCTAACCCCAGCTCCAAAATGTGGTAGACTGATTTCCAGAAGCCTTCAGAGTCTTTTCAGTCCTTTGTACTTTTCAAAGCACTTTACACACATGATTCTGTTTTATTCTTACCAAAGCCCCATTTAGTAGTAATAGGTGGTGTTTCCTGATCTTGCTAGAAGCCATTCAAGTGTTAAATACTTCTATGTGCATCATCTTGAGTCATTCTCACAATGACTCTGAGAGTCCAGAATTGCTGGAAGCTTATTTTTCAGATGAAGGAATGGAGGCTCAGAGAGGTGATGTGACTTGCCTGAGGTAACACAGGACATAGGTGGGAGTTGAACCCAGTTCTGTTTGATTCTGAAGCTCCAGTTCCTTAGCCATAAGGCTGGAATGGCTCTTATTTCCATTTGACAATTGAGAAAAAGAGCCTAGGGAGTTTAAGTGTGAAAGGTTATAAACAAGTGGGTGATGATGCCCACATCAGGACCCAGCTCCCAGACCTCTCACCACTGGGCTGCCCGGCCTCATCGCCCAGGACCTGTGAGCACACGTACATGCACCAGTCCATGCCAGGCTGACTGGTGCAGCCCAGATTACCTTTAGATCTCTGCCTCCTCCATACAGTTTCCAACCTAGAAGCATCCAGGCTAATCAAGATCAAAGCAGAATTTGTGAGGTGTCTGGGAGAGGCTGCAGATTTAGCAGCAGGGAGGGAAAACCATCTTTTGATTTGTGAGCTGAACCCCTCTGATCTGAAAATCAATAGGAGTAAATTGGTTAGACCCAGGGAGGCCTTTCCCTGCTATGCCCTGCTGCAAGAGCCCTTGAACGTGCTGCTGTCCTGCTGTTCCCCGGCTGCAGTAGCTCTTGAACTTGCCACTGTCCTCCTGCATTGTGACTCCCTCCAGGATGGCCCCTGCAGTGGCCCCTGTGGAAAAGCAGCATCAGATGAAGTCATTATTCTGCGAGGACCAGACAAGAGTTTTTTATTTTTTATTTTTTTTATTATTATTTTCTTTTCTGGTTCCAGCCCATGATGTGACTTCGATAGCTCTTCTTTATTGTTTGTCAGGGGCAGCTGTTCTGGAGTCTCAGTTGCAGAAGAAAGGCCTGGATTTAATAAGTTTTTATAGCAAATGCCAACTGGGCCTATCAAAGCTGCCTGGAGACCCCACAGGGCATGCCATGGCCTCTTTCAAGACTCCTCAGTTCTGTTCAAGAGCTGAGAACTGCAGGCATTTCAGATGCATCGGCCACTGGGGTGAAACGCAGGCCAGGAACTTGTTGTCTCTCCTGTCAATCATTCTGGGCAGAAATTACCAGGGGGGCACTCACTGACCACCTGAGCAGTTTCAGGAGCACCCAGGATCATTAGACCCAAAGCTGGAAGGGAATCTTATCATCATCTTGTTCACTCCTGGATCTCCAGGCTGAACCATGGTAAACCAAACCTATGGGGAATATTTTCCAGTTGTAAATAATTTGGTAGAGGGCCTTGTACCCTGTCTCAGTGCTGGCACATCCTAGGTACTCCATGAATAAACATTGATTGAATGAATATATGAATAAATTGTCACTGTAACTAAAGGCTATAGAGCCAGGAAGTTCTTCAGGGAACTCTGAGAACTCACATTTAATCATCAGCTGCACAGGAGTTTAGAAAAGTGTGAGCTCAAAAACCTAGCACCTAGGTGTTCCCAGCACTGTGCCTCCTGAGCACTGACCTGTTACTCCACCCCCGCCCCATCGTAGGTGGGTTTCTTGGGCTCTGGTTGCTGTAGCAGGATAGTCAAGCTTTACCATCTGACAGATCTAGGTTCAGATCCAGACTCTGCCACCTGTTAGCTACATGATCTTAGGCAAACATCTTTTGGAGACTCACTTTTTCTCAGTAGAATGAGGCAGCAATTTTATCTAACTCTTGGGCTGTTTACAGGTTGCCCGAGACAATGCACGTGAAGAGTGCCTGGCACTTGGTAAAGAGATCACAGTAATGGTTACTATGACATCACCGTGACAGTAGGTCCCTGGATCATTCTTTTCTGTCCACTCCCACCCCTGCATCCAGCCAGGTTCTCCTGGCTACAGTGTAGACCTCACCTTTTCCCATTTTGCCAAGGCCAGAACTGTACTTGTGGAACTTCACTAAGAAAAGAAAGATAGATAAAACCCTTCTATGACTCAAAACACTCATTTTCCTTTAAAATTTCAGGAAATAAACATTCACCTGCCATAAGTTGGATTGACTGGCTTAGCTTACCTGAGGTACAGTCCTAAAACACTTCTATTTCATCATACTTGCCTCAGGATCCTTAATAACACTGATTAATTATTGACAGATTGACTTATTATTTATTATATATTTATGGTGATCCAGGCTTGGGGAATGCAGTGCTGGGTTAGACAGACAATAAACAGTTAAATATTTGGAACACCAGAAGGTTGTCAATGCCCTACAGCCAAAGAGCAATGGGATTATACCTGTAATTGAGCGAAGTTGCCTTTATTGGCTCTTGGCAGTGAGAGAGAATGTATGCTGGGGAGCTGCATTATCCAGATGTCCTTAGTTTTTACCTAGTGTTCCTTTTTCATTCTAGGATCTCATCCAGGATACCATAGTTCATTAGTCCTCACGTCTCCTTAGGGTCTTCTTGGCTGTGACCGTTTCTCGGACTTTCCTTGTCTTTGATGACCTTGACAGTTTTAAGGAGTGCCGATCAGCTATTTTGTAGAATATCTCTTAGTGAGATGTTAGGAAGAAATAATGATAGGGCTTGGAGTTGTGTTGGGTGATTTGGGGGAGGATTCAAGGAAGTGGTTCTTTGCTCCAGATTGGATGCTTCCAGGAAGCAGGGGTCATTCTGTATCTGGGTATCTGTATTAGTTTCCAACTGCTGCCATTATGAAACATCATAAACCTAGTAGCTTAGAACAGCAAAAAATTATCTTACAGTTCTGGAGGAAGTCCAAAATCAGATTCATTGGGTTAAAATGAAGGTGCCAGCAGGTCTGGTTCTTCTCCCCTGGAGGCTCCAGGGGAGAACCTGTCTTCTTGCCATTCCCAGATCTGGATGCCACATGCATTCCTTGGCTTATGGCATCTTCCTTAATCTTCAAAGCCAGCAGCATGGTGTTGTCATATCTCCTTCACTGACTCCAACCCGACTGTCTTCCTCTTACAAGAGCCATTGTGATTACATTGGGCCCGCCTGGATAATTCTGAATAATCTCCCCTTCTAAAAATCTTCAACTTGGTCACATCTGCAAATCCCCTTTTGCCATATAAAGTGACATATTCACAAGTTCTTGGGATTAGACTGTGAACATCTTCGGAGGGGCACTCTTCTGCCTATCACAGTACCTCAAAAATTCTCATCTAGAAGGCGAGGCGAACAGAGCAAGGCCAAATCTATTGTTGGTGAAGCAGCAGCAGTCACTCCTATTAGCAGAATATCAGGATGCTTGATCGCTGCTGTGTTTTGGACAATGCTCATGTTTTTGTCTATGTTCAAACATGATTATGGAGTGGTCTTGTTTTTGTTTTGATCCATCGTGGACACAGAGGGGTCTTGTCTGATCTTGTTCTGTGAAGTTGTTTATGTTCAACAGGAGAACACCCCAGCCTAGCTGAAGGTGTCAGGCAAGCTCTTGGCTGTCAGGGACTGCTTTTTCTTTGTCATGAAGATAAATTCTATGAACAGTAGGACAGTTTGAGGGGGATGGGTCATACTGTGGTGGAGTGTTCTCTTATTTTACAGGCACAATCAGGAAAGGCCTTGGTGGTGAAGTTGACATTTGAAGGATATGAAGGAAGAGGCTATGTGATCATCTGGGGAGAAAGAATTTCAGGCAGAGAGATCATAAGGTGGAAAGCCCTGAGATGGGAGTATGTTTGGATGTTGGGTACAGAGTGTAAAAAAGAGAATGCAGCCAAAGATGACTCCAAAAGTTTTGACCTGAGCAACTGGAAGAGTGGAGTTCGCATTTATTGAGATGGGAAAGACTGCATTTTATTGTAGAAGGAGTTTAATATTTTACAACCTTTTAGTTTTAGGAAAGTTTTAGATTTACAGAAACATTGTGACAGTAATACAGAGTTTCCATATATCTCACACTCAATTTCCCCTATTCTTAATATATTTAATATACATTTGTCACAGTTAGTGAACCAATATCGATGGACTATTAATAACTGAAGTCCATTCATTATCCAGATGTCCTTAGTTTTTACCGAGTGTTCCTTTTTCATTCTAGGATCCCATCCAGGATACCATATTCCATTACTCATCACGTCACCTTAGGCTCCTCTTGGCTGTGACCATTTCTCGGACTTTCGTTGTCTTTGATGACCTTGACAGTTTTGAGGAGTGCCAATCAGCTATTTTGTAGAGTATCCCTCAATTAGGATTTGTCCAGTGATTTTTTTTGTTTTTGTTTTTGTTTTTGTTTTGAGACAGAGTCTCACTCTGTCACCCAGGCTGGAGTACAGTGGCGCGATCTCGGCTCACTGCAAGCTCCGCCTCCTGGGTTCACGCCATTCTCCTGCCTCAGCCTCCCGAGTAGCTGGGACTACAGGTGCCCGCCACCACACCTGCCTAATTATTTTGTATTTTTTTAGTAGAGACGGGGTTTCACCGTGTTAGCCAGGATGGTCTCGATCTCCCGACCTTGTGATCCACCCACCTCGGCCTCCCAAAGTGCTGGGATTACAGGCGTGAGGCACCGTGCCCGGCCTTTTTTTTTTTTTTTTTTTTTTTTTATCGTGATTAGACTGGTGTTATGGGTTTTTGGGAGGAAGACCCCAGAGGTATGGTGTCCTTCTCATCACATCATATCAAGGGTGCATACTGTCAACATGACTTATCCTGTTGGTGTTAATCTTCAGCATCTGGATAAGGTAGGATTTTTCAGGTTTTTCTACAGTAAAGTTACAGTTTTAACCCTTTTCCATGCTGTACTCTTTGAAAGGAAGTCCTTATGAACAGCCTACACTTAAGGAATGTAGATACTCTACCTCCTTGGTGGTGGAGTATCTGCATACATTATTTGGAATTCTTCTGCATTCATCTGGTCTCCATTTACTTACTTATTTAATCATTTATATGAGTATGGACTCATAGACTTTTATTTTATACCTTGGGTTATAGTCCAATACTACTTTATTTCATTGCTCAAATTGTTGCAGCTTTGACCATTGGGAGCGCTTTCCTTTGACTCCTAGGTCTTTTTCTGTTTGTTTGTTTTTGTTTTTGTTTTTCTGAGATGGGGTCTCACTCTGTTGCCCAGGCTGGAGTACAGTAGCATATCTTGGCTCATTGCAACCTCGACCTCCCAGGCTCAAGTGATCCTCATGCCTTAGCCTTCTGAGTATCTAGGACTACAGGTGCATGCCATCACACCTGGCTAATTTTTGTACTTTTGTTTTTTTTTTTTTTTTTTTTTTTTTGTAGAGACAGGTCTTGCTATGTTGCCCAGGTTGGTCTCAAACTCCTGGACTTAAGTGATTCTCCCACCTCAGCCTCCCAAAGTGCTGGGATTGCAGACGTGAGCCACCGTGCCCAGCCTTTAGGTCTTTTTGACATCCCACGTGTGTGTGTGTGTGTGTTGCACTTCCATACTTTTGGGCACCAGAATGTGCTCAAGGCTGGTCCTTTTTATTTTCTGCCTCAGCCCTAGAATCAGCCATTTCTTTAAGGAACCCTGGTTCCTTTTATTGGAAAATGATATTTGAAACCAAGGTACAGGGTACAGATGCCAGGTTTTCCCTTATTGCTACTGGGATGCTGTTGTTTCTAATCCAAGAGTTCCATTTTGGTAATATTAAGCTAAACCCTCTCACTTGACATGCAAGTAGATATATATACACAAGTGGCAGTTCTATAGAGAGGGCTGGAGTTCAGGGAAGGGTCTGGGCTGGAGATAAACATTTGAGAGTCATTATAATGAAAATGACAATAAAGTCATAAGACTGGATAAAATTTTCTAGTAATTAGAAAACAATTATCAATTGCAAGATGATGAGTGAGCAAAGAAGGTTCAGGAGTGGCCAGTGAGATAAGGTGAGTGGATTCCAGAAGCCAAGTGAAGAAAGATTTTCAGGAAAGAGAGCGAGGGATCATCGGTGTCTATGATCAAGGGAAACGATAACTGAGAATTGATCAGTGGATTTTGTCATGGCAACATCCGTGGTGATCCTAACCAGGGCTCTTTTAGGGAAGTAGTAGAGATAAAAGCCTGACAGCTTCAAATGAGAATGGCAAGAGAGGATCTAGAGACAATGAGTTTGAATAACTTTTATTTGGAGAAGTTTTATTCTAAAAAAGAGCAAAGAAATGGGGTGGTATATGGAAAGGGATGTGAATCAAGAGATGGATTTTTAATTTATATATATATATTTTAAAACAGGAGCTATTGCAATATGTTTTCTTCTTATGGGAATAATCCAGTGGAGAATAAAAAAACTGATGTTTCAGTAAAAAGAGGTGACAGTAATTACAATGTGTTTTAAGATGTTACTATTTACCTTCACTCTGCTAAGTGCTTTATATGAATCATCTCATTAAATACCCACACAAATTCTGCAAAGCAAGCATTATCCCATTTTAAATATTAGAAAACTGAGGCCCAAAGAGGTAAAACAAATTAGCCAAGGTCAAACAGAACCAAGATTCAAATCCAGATTGTTCTGACAGTGATGTCCATGGTCTTAGCCAATGTGCTCTTAAAAAAAAAAAAAATCTTTGGGGAATTCTCTTTTCTCTTTCCTTCATTTGCTTCTTTCCTCTTCAGGAAAAAGAGTCTTTAGGACAGTGGATATAACATGCGGTAATAACCCTTTCTTTGGCTGGGCTTTGGGGCCCCCGTACTTCTCCGGAGCCACACTAACAAGGCAGTGGTGTCTGATGACTTTGAAGTGTTCCACATGTTCCCCTCTCCGATGAGGGGCCCAAGATCTTTTTATCTACCTTCTTCTCCCTCCTTCCCATGTGTCCCTTCTCCATTCATCTATCCCAGAAGTATATTAAGTACCTGATATGTGTGAGATGCAGGGGATATAATGGAAAATAAAATAGACAAAGGGATACATACACAAGCGGCAGGTCTACGCTTGCCCTCATGAAACTTACCATTTCCACATTGAGTATGTTTGGACAGATGTAGCCAATTCCACGATGGGAAGTAACAGTGACCTTTTACCATTCTCTGGTCTCCGGCTGGTAATATAAGGAAGGCAAAGAGGTTGGGCATAGCACAACAGAGGTAGATGGGGTCTGCGGCCACCTGGAAAGTACGTGGCCACCCAAAGGGGACAGTCATTTCTCAAATCGAGCTGACTGTGGTCCTGAGCCCAGTGTTATCAGGTATTTACATTTTGTCACAAGAAGATGGAGATTAACACTTTCATGTGAGAACTCCCAATTTTAAGATTTGGGCAATTTATTTTAATAAATCCTCTCCTGCCTGCCATTCCACACTTCCTCTTCTATGGGTCTGATCCAATCTGTGGGCTGTCAGTTTACAATTTCTGCTGTATAGCACTTCACTTGGTTAGATAAAGCATGACAGTTCCCATTTAACATCTTGTTGCTTTTTGGTCTGTTAAACAAAGTCAAGATTGGAACTTTAGTCCTAATATCAGCCCTTAAAAATAATTTCTCTGAAATATGCCTTTTGCCTAGTAAGATGACTAAAGTGTGCATAATGAATGTATGCGTAAACTTACATTCAGCTACGTGAATGTTCCTTTCATTTTAAAAGCCATCTTGCTTATGAAAACTGAAAGGAATTTATTACAAGAAACCCCTTTGGTATTTTGGAGTGTACTTTTACATGAACAGTAGAAGCAAAGGAATAGGAAACACAGCTCAGAAATTTGGAACTGGGACACACACAGTCTTTCATGTCTAGGTCACTGAGTGGAATCCGGCCCAAGGCAAAACTGTCTAAAACATGCAAGCATCAACAGCTGCTCAGCAGACCATGTGCGAGGGACTCAGGATCTCAGTTTGCTATCATCGCTGGGTTTTCTATACCATGCTGTGGCTGTGCTTAGGTGCTGCTCTTCATAACAATTATGTGAATACTGCTAGCATTGTCATCCCTGTTTAGTGGATGTAGAGACAGAGGCAGAGAGAGAAAAGGGGAAGCTATTTTGGAAGGCCTGAGAAGAAGCCAAGGTTCAAGTCCTCGTCTTGAGTTTAGATTCTTTGTCTACCATGTGTTATACAGTGTTTCTTAAATATCAGGTGTTCTTATGCTGCTGGAATGAATCTTACTATATCTTTATACCACCTGCGCTCTTATTTACATAATTGTAAAAAATGCACCCACATTTTCACTCAAATAATGTATTTTATAAGGAAAATGGCCAGGTGCAATGGCTCATGCCTGTAATCCCAGCACTTTGGAAGGCCAAGGTGGACGGATCACTTCAGGTCAGGATTTCAAGACCAGCCTGGCCAACATGGAGAAAACCTGTCTCTACTGAAAATACAAAAACGAGCCATGCGTGGTGGCATATGTCTGTAGTTCTAGCTACTCGGAAGGCTGAGGCACAAGAATCGCTTAAGCCTTGGAGGTGGAGGTTGCAGTGAGCCGAGATCATGCCACTGCACTCCAGCCTTGGTGACGGAGTGAGACTGTCTCAAAAAAAAAAAAAAAAAAAAGAGGCTGGATGCATGCAGTGGCTCATGCTTGTAATCCCAGCACTTTGGGAGGCCAAGGCGGGCAGATCACAAGGTCAGGAGCTCAAGACCAGCCTTACCAACATGGTGAAACCACATCTATACTAAAACTACAAAAATTAGCTAGGCATGGTGGCACATGCCTGTAATCCCAGCTACTCAGGAGGCTGAGGCAGGAGAATCGCTTGAACCTGGAAGGCGGAGGTTGCAGTGAGCCGAGATCACGCCATTGCACTCCAGCCTGGGCGACAGAGTGAGACTCTGTCTCAAAAAAAAAGAAAAAGAAAATTTATCTCATTACCATTAATCAAAAACCAATATTATTTGCCATAAACAGGAGGTAACAAAAAAGTGTGATAATGTCACATCATTTTTATCATTTTATCAATGTTTATCTATGTATTAATTGCACTTGTCTTGCAGTTCACTAGCAGAATACATTAGGCTAAATCCTTCTGTAAGGAAAGAAGAGTATGCCCAGCTCTGGATTATCTATAGGTGGCAGGTCAGATTTACTATTCTCCTATGTCTTTTTCTGGGGAACTGTTAGTTCATTAATTCATTCATTGACTTGACATTGTTTAAATCTCTATTCTGAGCCTGGCAAAGGTCCCCATCCCTGTGATTCCTTCTAAGTGAGATTATTTCTGTGGGTCACGAATGCTGGGGTGTTTTGGCCTGGGTTTTTGTTGTGCTTCTTTGGCTGCAAACTGGGCTGATCTTTAGCCAAGACACACCAGCACAGTCACACCAGATCCGTGGCTGACACCTGTTCTAATTGCTTAGTGCATCTGGTTCAGATGGAATCGTTTTTCAATATTTTGAATACCCCCCTTAGTGGCAGGCAATAGAAACAGATTCAAATTAATTTAAGCACAAGGGAATTCAATGGAAGGAACTGAGAGCTCACAGATTTTTTTTTTTGAAGGCTGAAGAACCAGGCTGGCGACAGGGCAGAACTAAGGCCAATCTGGAAAGCAACAGTGCTGGAGTCCCCAGCTAATTAGAACATGGATGCTGGTCAGGAATTGACCCCACCAGGGTTAGTCTCTTTGGCCCTCTGCTCATGAATAAAATTCTAGGGAAGGAGGGTCTGACTGCTGAAGGCTGTGGTCACAAGGACACACCTTGAGTGGCAAAAGGAAAGACGTGAATGCTTGTATCCCAAAGAGAAGAGGCACATTTTCAAAGGAAATAGGAGTGTTTTTAGAAGATAGAAGTGGATGCTGAGTGGTCAAAAGGCAACACATATCCAAATACATTGCCTTTTCAGTTATGGGGGAGAAAAACATAGGTCCCTTGCTAATCAGTAGAGTAATTGTGGGATGGAAAGATGAGTTTTGCCATAAATAATCATTGAAAAATGTTGGCAATATTTATGCCCTAACCATTTATGAGAAAGAAGTGTCTTTTTCTCTCAATTGTTACATATGTCCTTATTACACAATTATACTAACTACACTTGTATATTTAATGAGAAGGATCATTGTACCTGGAATGAAAAATTCTCATTTTGCCTTTGTTCAACTCTGAGCTTAGTATAGGGAAAACACACACACACACACGAGAGATTTAAGGAGCAGGATATTTTTCTGTGAGTCCCAGCCCTCTCATTGAGTAACTTGTGAGATCTTTGGTGAGATACTTTCTAGGAGCCTTTTCTGGAGTCAGAGACCAAGACAAACTTCCCAGTATCTGTCTTGGGTTGATGGTTACACAGATTGATGTTCTAAGGCAGAAAGTGACTCTGTAGGCTGGGTGCGGTGGCTTATGCCTGTATGCCCATAATCCCAGCACTTTGGGAGGCTGAGGCGGGCGGATCATGAGGTCAGGAGATCGAGACCAGCATGACCAATATGGTGAAACCCAGTATTTACTAAAAATACAAAAATTAGCCAGGCATAGTGGTGGGCACCTGTAATCCCAACTACTCAGGAGGCTGAGGCAGGAGAATCGCTAGAACCTGGGAGGTGGAGGAGGTTGCAGTGAGCGAAGATCACACCATTGCACTCCAGCCTGGGTGAGAGAGTGAGACTCTGTCTCAAAAAAAAAAAAAAAAAAAGTGACTCTGTAGAGGCCTCTTCAATTCATAAGCAGTTTTATTGATGCCCAACAGTGAGAGAGCCAACTTCTAGTGAAAATTCCCTAATTTATAAATTTTCTGGAGAAAAATATTTCAGTTTATTCTTTAGCATCAAGTAGATCAAGTCCCAGATGTCTGACTGAATTTTTGACTCAGGTGTTTGACATTTAGGGTACTAGCCTAAGCTCCCCAGAGATGTAATTTGCAGGGCCATTGGGACTGCTTTATTTACTGTGGCTAGACCAGGAGAAATGACACGTACAACTTTAATCAGAGGCAGAGACAAAATAGTCCAGCCGGAAATAGTTTGAGAATGGATTTTTCTAGAGAAA
This sequence comes from Homo sapiens, assembly GCF_000001405.40. Lineage (NCBI taxonomy): Eukaryota > Metazoa > Chordata > Mammalia > Primates > Hominidae > Homo > Homo sapiens. The sequence goes on along the minus strand of NC_000016.10, from coordinate 71,317,012 downwards.
AGTGATCTAATAGATCAGTGGTCTCCCAACTTTTGTCTTCACTGAACACACACACACACACACACACACACACACACACACACACAGACACCAAACAATAACAAAAAAAAAACAGAACAAGATAGTAGGTTCATCAAACAATACTTACCCTGACTATTTGCAAATACACTATACATTTTTATTTCATTCTTTCCTTCTTTATTTTATTTTTAAAGTGCTGCTCACAGCCCTTTAGTATTGATTTTGCATAGGCCCACAATTTTAAGAACACTGATATAGCCGGGTGCAGTGGCTCACGCCTGTAATCCCAGTACTTTGGGAGGCCGAGACGGGCGGATCACGAGGTCAGGAGATGTAGACCATCCTGGCTAACACGGTGAAACCCCATCTCTACTAAAAATACAAAAAAATTAGACGGGCATGGTGGCGGGCACCTGTAGTCCCAGCTACTCGGGAGGCTGAGGCAGGAGAATTTCTTGAACCTGGGAGGCGCAGCTTGCAGTGAGCCAAGATCACGCCACTGCACTCCAGCCTGGGCGACAGAGTGAGACTCCATCTCAAAAACAAACAAACAAAAAACAAAAGCAAAAAAACACTGATGGTCTAATTTTAAAGCCAGCACCACTCGCTCCATTTGCAATTAATGGAGCTGTCCACAGTGCTGATTTCTGCCCACTAAATTGACTTGGTACATAAGAAAAAAAATCCTAAGGCCTTTTGAGAAAGATGCACTTTTATGCTCAGATTTTTCTTTTGCCCATCCTAGAATATATTCTCTGTCTACAGTGCTGGATATATCAATGCAGAATTGTGTGCAAGTGTGTGACTTGCTAGCAGTCAGCCACAGTCCCATGCACTTTGCATATGGTATCTCTTTTAATTCTTACGATCACCTCATTCATAAGAGGTAGGCACCATTCTCATCCTCATTTTCCAGATAAATAATCTGATGCTCAAGGAGATTGTATAACTTCCTTGAAATTACACAGTTGCATAGAGTGGAGTGGAGATTTAAGTCCAGGCCTCTTCTGCCTTCAAACATTTTAGTAAAATCTTCTCCTTAATATATGTAGGTATGCAGGCTGAATAATTTAGATCAATACCAGTGCACAGTATTTACTTTTGACAGGAGGTCTTAGTTTTCTGTCCAAATAACAGTACTCACCCCAGGGCCCAGAGCTGCTGGTGGATTGTCAGAGTGCACAACTGCACGTGATGCTGAGTATGGGTGACTGGCCAACACTGATGACTGAGCCTTGCTGATGGCCAAAAACACATTCCTCTGAACTCCAAGCACACTGCCATCTGGAGAAATGCTTCCCTTATGTTTTGGAGGATAGCTAAACACAGCAGACCCTCCATAGCAGCAAATGTACCTTCCACATGCCTATATGTTGATTTAGAGCAAATTCAGCCAACTAGAACACAGCCAATTCAAGAAAGCAGGAAGAGAGCACGTGTGTTCAAAGAGCACCTATATTTGCAATCCCCATAAATACACTCTCTAGCTTAAACCAGAGAGTTTAATATAGCTACTTAAATGGTCAATAGTATACCAGTGCAAGCTTTCTCAAGGTCAGCTGGGCATTGCAATATTTTACAATCCAGACAACTGACACGAACCAAATGGCCCCCTTCTTCTTTTATAACAACGTGTTTACTTCTTCTCATCCTCCTTCTGACATTTATGGAGTACCTGGTCAGATGAGCAAAGAAAAATAAGACAAGGCTCATCTGCTATTGAAGCTGATGCAATCTCATTCCTTCCAGAACTGCTTATTATGGATCTTTGTGTATTGCCTGAGGCTTTACCTTTCTCTTTCTGTTCTTTTCTTCTGTTTCTGCAAACTCCTCCTTGCTCTCCTCAGGGATAAACACAAATTAATGGGTGTACTGGAGGCCAGCACATGGTTACATCAGAATTTTAAGGAAGCCAGTTTTCTCTGTGTAGAAATGAGAGGCTCAGCTCTCCATGATTCCTTGACTTCTAATCAAACATGCTAATTAGAACCCCATAAACAAGCCAAGGCTCAGAAGAGGGTGGTTTCAAACAGGGTAAGTGTGGAAAGCTATTCTGAATTCCACTAACACTGTGGGTTAATACTTATTATCCTTTTTTTCTCATAAAAAAATACTATTCTGCTCTTTAAACCTGCATTCTCTTAGCTACTATACAAGATAATAATCTATACTTTTTTTCCTGAGACTATTTTACCATCATCTTTATCATGGTTGGCAAGTAACACATAATTTTGGTGTTTGATTAATTGATACACTGTAAGAGTAGGTACTGATATCTCTTTTGATCACCCTTTGACTTTTTACGGTAGGTGTTGAATACATGTTTGTTGAATTCATTAATGAAAAAATGATGTGAGTAAGTACCCAAGTGATACTCATAGTGCAAATATTTTCAATAAATTCCAGATTCATCTAGAAACTTTTCATTGTTCCTGGGTGGTATTTGATGGAACATTCTCAAGAGAAATACTTATGGGAAGTCTGAGAGTCAACAAACATCTCTGGATTTGGGGCAAAGTTCACATCAGCCAGTTAGTTGATCACAACCATCTTTTCTGACAGTGCCTTTATGCTTGTAATGAGATGTGATCACAGAGCTATAAAGAAGTGAGAAAGTTAAACCTAAGAGAGACTTGTGAAATATTACAGTGAGATAAATTTTGGGGACATTTGGACAAAATGTATCTTTTTTCAGTAACATGGAAGATGGCTACAGCTTTGTTCTCATATCTGGTAAATATTATCAATAGCATGTCCTAGGATTCCACAATCCAGACCTTTCTCTCATCTCTCTGTTGGCTTAGGACCCCAAAATGCCTTAAGATTCTTGGAATTTAGAGCCAGAAAGAAATTTCAATATTACTGTATCCAAGTTACTGTGTTTCATAAATGAGGCTTGAGCTAATAAACTCCTTCATTTATTCAACATCTATGTATTGAAGATCTCCTAGATGCCAGGCACTGAACTCATGGACTGCAATATCACAACTAAAAAGGTTCTCCTAACCACACTCTTTGTTCTTATGTAGTTTGCATTCTGGTAGAATGACACAGAAGAGAAAACCAGTTGATAAATAAATGAGTAGCATAGTTTCAGATAGTGGTGAATACTGTGGAGAAGATAAAGCAAGGGATGGACACAAGAATAAGGGAACACGCCTCGACAAGGAATGGTATCTGATTTGAGCTCTGACAAGAAGGAGCCAGGCTTGGAGAGTTCAAGGTGAAGGATTTTCTGGCTGCCTCTCTGGTAAATATCACAAGGTAGGAATAAGTTGCTAAATTCAAATCAGAAAGCCGGTTTGCCTGGATCATAGTGAGGAATGGGGAGGAGAGAGACACAGTGGCTGTGTCAGGTATGGGCAATGGTTGTGTCAGGTATAGCTGTGTAAATCAGGCCAAGCGTTTTGGGTTTCATTCTTTGTGCAATGGGAAACCACTGGAAAGCTTTAAGCAGGGAAGTAAAGTGATGTATTTATTTTTAAAAGATTACTCTAGCTGTCCAAGAAGAAACTAGTCCATTGGGGTTGGCATGGGAAAAGTATAGGTAAGAGGCTATGCTATGATCTAAATGAGAGATAAATCCTCAATCGTATAGTGACTTACTGGCAGATCCTAGGGTAAAAATTCAGGTTTCCTCCAACAACAAATGAATTCAGTAAAGTTAAAAAATATCAAATAAAAGAGTAGTTAATATTTATTAAGTGCTTAGTGTTTGCCAGATCCTTTATAGGCATCACTTTAATTGACTGCTTTCTAAGCACCATTTTATTTAAAATTTGTCATAATTCTCTGAGGTGGATTCTATTCTTTCTATTTTACAGATGAGGAAACTGAAGCCTCAAGAATTTAAGTGTGTTTCCCATGTTCACACAGATATCAAGTGACAGAGTGGCAGGGTGGGGCTACAACCTAGACTGTCCCAGAACCCATAAGCCTCAAAGACCAGTCTCACTAGTTGTAGTGAGGGGCAGATAGTAGGGTGGTCATGCAGGTGGGTATTGGAGCCAGAAAGCCTGCATTCAGATCCCAGCTCTCTTGCTTATGAACCCTGTGACCTTGGGTGAATCACTTCATTAACTTCTCATTGCCTTTATTTCCTCATCTATAAACTAGGAAGAAGAAGAAGAGTAGATTATGCTTCATAGACTCATTGATTTAACGTATGCACAGAGTTTAGAATGGTGTTTGGCCATAGGAAGCATTCAGCAAATACTGTCATTGCTGTGTAGTCACACCACGTGAATGTGAGCCACATTTTAGACTATAATGCAAAGAAGCTCCTCCCTTCATCTTCTGGGTAGCTGAAATGCTCAGCCCAGAGCAGGGGCTCAAGAGACATTTGTTTGAAGATATTGTTTTCTTGAGGCCAGATGAACTTCTTACTCATTTGGATTCCAGGTGAGCTGGGAGGAAGTATGCAAGTGATCCGTCTCTGCTAGTGTTCCCTAGTTTTGGGTGTGTCCCCCTTGGAAACTCTGCTTTGTCTAGGGGGCAACTGAGTAACTGCCACAGCTTCATCCTCAGAACAAGAGGAGGAGAAGGGAGGAAGTGAGTCCTGGGGATCGAGCTTCATGTCAGGTGGTGGTTAGGGAAATTGTTTACAGAGGTCCCTCCTCAGGCATAAAAACAAAGAGAAAAATATTTAAGGCTTTCATTTTCAGGTAACATTTCAGGGAGAGCCAGACACTCTAGATTCGGAACCAAGACAAAAATCCAATGACCTAACGAGATTCTAGAACTTTTGTGATGTGATTGCAATGTTTACTATCTTGCATCCTTTCCCCTCCCCATGTTCCCATGGTGATTAGTATTATAATAAAACTCGGGAAAGAAATATGACCCCTGAACTTTGTCTTTGCAAAGGATGGAAAAACAGAGAAGCTGGGTCCCATGTAACAGCCACAGTTTGTAGAATGGATATGGCAGCAATGCCTGAAAGAAAGGGAAAACGCTGATTCTCTGGCTCCCTGGGGCAAAAGAAAAAGGAAAGTGGAGGAGGGGGAGTTTCATTGAACTTAGGGCTAATAAGTGGCTTTGGGACTGGTCAGGCAGAAGTCCTCATAGGTTCCTTGGTATATGTGTGGTCTCAAAGACCACCAGCCTCTCACCCCCTTGCAGCCTCTGCTGGTCTCGGAAACCCAAGCTCATTATTTCAACTGGCTGTCGGCATCTGTGCTGTTACACATAATGATCAGCAGGGGGCAGTGTAGCCAACATATTACTTGTGAGTGAGGGGCTGTCTGCTTTCCACAGGAGGGTCTGGGGAAAAAGTTCATGCAACGTAAAACTGCGCCTAGCTGTGCAGGCTCTGAGTAGAAGACTCTACCTTTTCCCTTTCTCGCCTCCAGGATTCTACTCTTCCCTCTCTTGTCTCTTCTTCTATTTTGCTTCCTTGCTCCCTCTGCTCAGCCGCCTACCTTTTATCTTTGCAAAGCATGCTCATACCCATTGCCTTCTTGGGTCCTCCCAGATATTCTATGAGAGATGGGGCCACGTTAAATATCGAACATTTTGCAGATGAAGAAACAGAGACCCAGAGAGGCGCCTGGTCCCTAGCCCCCGTTCTTTCTTCCCATACACTTAGGGGACATGAAAGTCAACAGCCCAGGGTTACATTGTTTTTCATTGCAGAGAAGGCTCTTCTACCCCCAGGGGCACTGCACACACACGTTGGAATTAGAGCAAGAGCTGCCAAAGTAATAAATTGAGAAGGGGCTTGTTCAGAGGCATGGACTCTGGGGTACCGTCAATTTCATCAGGCCCTCCACGGAAAGGATGAAAAGTCAAAGGACTATATATCCTTTGAAGACACACTTGGGACAAGGTGGGAAGAAATCTTTCTTTGTGCTTGTTAAGAAAATACGTCACCAGTGCTCCTGGATCAGGGCTCGGTGGCCGGACCGAGCCAGTGAAAGCTAAGACTACATCCTCCGTACAGGAGTGTGAGACTATGAGTGCCTTCCTCCATCTCTTTAAACCTTGGTTTCCTCTCATATGAGGGGTGATTGTAACAGTGTTGATCTCACAGAGCAGTTTTGATGGAGTCCTGCACATACTCTGCATTCAATCAATATTGCTATTAGTATCAAAATAAGAAACTGACTGTTTTCATAGCTACTCTGTGTGAAAGATTGATTATATTGATGGTCTTGGTTAATGCCTGCTTGTAGCTACCCTTTGCTATGGGACCTTCTAGTCTCTGCCCACTCTGAGTCCAAACTGGACTTGGGTCTTGCTTTGGCCAATGGAATGCCAAAGTGACTTTGGCTAAAGGGACTCTGTGATAGTTTCAAGCCTGGCTTCCAGTATCCTTGAACTCTTCTGTTTTCTCTTGCTTGCTCTTGAAACATTGCCACCACTGTAGGGAAAAGCCCAGGCTACCCTAGTGGAGGATGAGAGTGACATGGAGCAGAGCGAGTCCAGTTTCCTAACTGAGGTTATTATTGGACCAGGCTCAGACACTGGACTTCCAGTCATGTGGGAGAGCCCAGCTAACATCAGCAGAACTGCCACCTGACCACAGCTGACCCAGGTACATGAGTAGGTCCACCTGCCACCAGAAGAACTTCTCAGCTGACCCATACCGACTTGGGAACAATCATAAATACTTATTGTTTGATGCCACCTACTTTTGAGAGAGTCTGTTTCACAGCAATAGCTAATGATCCACTACTTAAAGTTTTACAGCGTTTCATTGAAGGAGGGGGAAATGCTGGCTAGGACTATCTGAAAAGTGACCAACGTATTAGCTATATTACTAAATACTTAAGTCAGTAGTGATATTTTTAAAGTCTCAAGTTTAATGATAGGTGCATGATGATTCAGAGTAAACACTGGAATAAGACAGTGCTGATTCCAAATGCCTGCTCCACCTTTGACCAAATTTGGGAACTGCTGTATGCCTCGATCTCGTCTTCTGCAAAGTGGGGATGATAATAGTTGATGGGAAGAATAGTGGTGGGGATTACATGGGATAATCTATGTAGAGTGTTTAGCATGGTGCCTGGCACATAGTGAGCACTCTGTAAAGGTTAAACATTTTTATTAACAGTGATGAATTAAATCTTCAAAGAACATCTCTACACACCACCATGTGTTTGCTGAAGATCCAGTTGATAATCCAGGATAGAATTTTGCAATTAATGCATTTAAAGCTTTGAAAAAAGAAGAATTACAATTACACATATATTGTATATGTATGTGTGTATATATATATATATTTCCTTCTTTCTTTAATTAAAAAAGTAACATATATGTTGCTATATATATATATTCCAACATATATACATATTTCCTTCTTTCTTTAATTAAAAACGTAACGTATACTATATACCTGAATCCAAAATTTCTCCTAGGGCAAAAATGCTGATTCAAAAAAATTTGAATTGTGAGTTATGACTTATAATTATGAAAATCAAACTCCACTGCATTGAGGTCAACTTAATTTTCTTAGAAAAGAAACGTGCACACTGTGCTCTTCTGTTAGACGATGGCATAAATCTCTTCGGGTTGTGAGTGGTAATGATTTACCTTATATTTTGTTGAACAAGGAAGCAGAGCAATTATCCACAATAGCTCAGGTGAGAAAAAAATCATCCGACTAGGTAGCTCTTGTGTAAAGGTTTAACTCATCAGGAGATCTCAAAAGGAAACTAGACTTAGGTTTAATTCAAATTCAGGATGACACTTCAAGGATCAGTCCCTTACCAGCTTTCAGATTGTACATGGTGTTTATTCCTCATGGAGAAGAGAAACTGGGGAGCAGATAGGAGTCATGGAGAAATTCTCCAGTTTACAGAGGAATGCTGTGTCAACTCCTCTTTCCCGGACAGAATTATGCTGTGTGAACACTCACTGATTTTGTTGATTCTCAGTTAATTAAAAAAAAAAAAAAGGTAAAAATAAACTTGACCCTGTCCCCAAACACTGGCTCTTGCACTTTTTTGTCTTATCTTGGTTCTGTCTTTGGATGCCTATCCTGTCCTATCTGGTGTTAGCTACATGCTTGTGGATGTTGCACTTAAGATCAAGGGATTTTCCTGGATATCCTTTTTAACTTTCTGTCTCATTGATCTGTCTAATGTTGACAGTGGGGTGTTAAAGTCTTCCATTATTATTGTGTGGGAGTCTAAGTCTCTTTGTAAGTATCTAAGGACTTGCTTTATGAATCTGGGTGCTCCTGTATTGGGTGCATATATATTTAGGATGGTTAGCTCTTCTTGTTGAATTGATCCCTTTACCATTATGTAATGGCCTTCTTTGTCTCTCTTGATGTTTGTTGGTTTAAAGTCTGTTTTATCAGAGACTAGGATTGCAACCCCTGCCTTTTTTTGTTTTCCATTTGCTTGGTAGATCTTCCTCCATCCCTTTATTTTGAGCCTATGTGTGTCTCTGCACATGAGATGGGTTTCCTGAATACAGCACACTGATGGGTCTTGACTCTTTATCCAATTTGCCAGTCTGCATCTTTTAATTGGAGAATTTAGCCCTTTTACACTTAAGGTTAATATTGTTATGTGTGAATTTGATCGTGTCATTATGATGTTAGCTGGTTATTTTGCTCATTAGTTGATGCAGTTTCTTCCTAGCCTCAATGCTCTTTACAATTGGCATGTTTTTGCAGTGGCTGGTACCAGTTATTCCTCTCCATGTTTAGTGCTTCCTTCAGGAACTCTTGTAGGGTGGGCCTGGTGGTGACAAAATCTCTCAGCATTTGCTTGTCTGTAAAGGATTTTATTTCTCCTTCACTTTTGAAGCTTAGTTTGGCTGGATATGAAATTCTGGGTTGAAAATTCCTTTCTTTAAGAATGTTGAATATTGGCCCCCACTCTCTTCTGACTTGCAGAGTTTCTGCCAAGAGATCTGCTGTTAGTCTGATGGGCTTCCCTTTGTGGGTAACCCGACCTTTCTCTCTGGCTGCCCTTAACATTTTTTCCTTCATTTCAACTTTGGTGAATCTGATAATTATGGATTGAACTCACCTCTGCACCAAGCAGACCTAATAGACATCTACAGAACTCTCCAACCCCAAATCAACAGAATATACATTCTTCTCAGCACCACATTGCACTTATTCCAAAATTGACCACATAGTTGGAAGTAAAGCACTCCTCAGCAAATGTAAAGAACAGAAGTTATAACAAACTGTCTCTCAGACCACAGTGCAATCAAACTAGAACTCAGGATTAAGAAACTCACTCAAAACTGCTCAACTACATGGAAACTGAACAACCTGCTCCTGAATGACTACTGGGTACATAATGAAATGAAGGTAGAAATAAAGATGTTCTTTGAAACCAATGAGAACAAAGACACAACATACCAGAATCTCTGGGACACATTTAAAGCAGTGTGTAGAGGGAAATTTATAGCACTAAATGCCCACAAGAGAAAGCAGGAAAGATCTAAAATTGACACCCTAACATCACAATTAAAAGAACTAGAGAAGCAAGAGCAAACACATTCAAAAGCTATCAGAAGGCAAGAAATAACTAAGATGAGAGCAGAACTGAAGGAAATAGAGACACAAAAAACCCTTCAACAAACCAATGAATACAGGAGGTGGTTTTTTGAAAAGATCAATGAAATTGATAGACTGCTAGCAAGACTAATAAAGAAGAAAAGAGAGAAGAATCAAATAGACGCAATAAAAAATGATAAAGGGGATATCACCACCGATCCCACAGAATTACAAACTAACATCAGAGAATACTATAAATACTTCTACGCAAATAAACTAGAAAATCTAGAAGAAACGGATAAATTCCTGGACACTTACACCCTCCCAAGACTAAACCAGGAAGAAGTTGAATCTCTGAATAGACCAATAACAGGTTCTGAAATTGAGGCAATAATTAAGAGCCTACCAACCAAAAAAAGTCCAAGACCAGATGGATTCACAGCCGATTTCTATCAGAGGTACAAGGAGGAGCTGGTACCATTCCTTCTGAAACTATTCCAATCAATAGAAAAAGAGGGAATCCTCCCTAACTCATTTTATGAGGCCAGCATCATCCTGATACCAAAGCCTGGCAGAGACACGACAAAAAAAGAGAATTTTAGACCAATATCCCTGATGAACATTGATGCAAAAATCCTCAATAAAATACTGGCAAACCAAATCCAGCAGCACATCAAAAAGCTTATCCACCATGATCAAGTGGGCTTCATCCCTGGGATGCAAGGCTGGTTCAACATATGCAAATCAATAAACGTAATCCAGCATATAAACAGAACCAATGACAAAAACCACATGATTATCTCAATAGGTGCAGAAAAGGCCTTTGATAAAATTCAACAGCCCTTCATGCTAAAAACTCTCAATAAATTAGGTATTGATGGGACATATCTCAAAATAATAAGAGCTATTTATGACAAACCCACAGCCAATATCATACTGAAGGGGCAAAAACTGGAAGCATTCCCTTTGAAAACTGGCACAAGACAGCGATGCCCTCTCTCACCACTCCTATTCAACATAGTGTTGGAAGTTCTGGCCAGGGCAATCAGGCAGGAGAAAGAAATAAAGGATATTCAATTAGGAAAAGAGGAAGTCAAATTGTCCCTGTTTGCAGATGACATGATTATATATTTAGAAAACCCCATCGTCTCAGGCCAAAATCTCCTTAAGCTGATAAGCAACTTCAGCAAACTCTCAGGATACAAAATCAATGTGCAAATATCACAAGCAGTCTTATACACCAATAACAGACAAACAGAGAGCCAAATCATGAGTGAACTCCCATTCACAATTGCTTCAAAGAGAATAAAATACCTAGGAATCCAACTTCCAAGGGATGTGAAGGACCTCTTCAAGGACAACTTCAAACCACTGCTCAACGAAATAAAAGAGGACACAAACAAAGAGAAGAACATTCCATGCTCATGGATAGGAATAATCAGTATCGTGAAAATGGCCATACTGTCCAAGGTAATTTATAGATTCAGTGCTATCCCCATCAAGCTACGAATGACTTTCTTCACAGAATTGGAAAAAACTACTTTAAAGTTCATATGGAACCAAAAAAGAGCTTGCATTGCCAAGACAATCCTAAGCCAAAAGAACAAAGCCGGAGGCATCATGCTACCTGACTTCAAACTATACTACAAGGCTACAGTAACCAAAACAGCATGGCACTGGTACCAAAACAGAGATATAGACCAATGGAACAGAACGGAGCCCTCAGAAATAATACCACACATCTACAACCATCTCATCTTTGACAAACCTGACAAAAACAAGAAATGGGGAAAGGATTCCCTATTTAATAAATGGTGCTGGGAAAACTGGCTAGCCATATGTAGAAAGCTGAAACTGGATCCCTTCCTTACACCTTATACAAAAATTAATTCAAGATGGATTAAAGACTTACATGTTAGACCTAAAACCATAAAAACCCTAGAAGAAAACCTAGGCAATACCATTCAGGACATAGGCATGGGCAAGGACTTCATGTCTAAAACACCAAAAGCAATGGCAACAAAAGGTCAAAATTGACAAATGGTATCTAATTAAACTAAAGAGCTTCTGCACAGCAAAAGAAACTACCAGAGTTAACAGGCAATCTACAGAATGGAAGAAAATTTTTGCAATCTACTCATCTGAGAAAGGGTAATATCCAGAATCTACAAAGAACTCAATCAAATTTACAAGAAAAAAACAACCCCATCAAGAAGTGGGCGAAGGATATGAACAGACACTTCTCAAAAGAGATATTTATGCAGCCAACAGACACATGAAAAAATGCTCATCATCACTGACCATCAGAGAAATGCAAGTCAAAACCACAATAAGATACCACCTCACACCAGTTAGAATGGCAATCATTAAAAAGTCAGGAAACAACAGGTGCTGGAGAGGATGTGGAGAAATAGGAACAATTTTACACTGTTGGTGGGACTGTAAACTAGTTCAACCATTGTGGGAGACAGTGTGGCGATTCCTCAAGGGTCTAGAACTAGAAATACCATTTGACCCAGCCATCCCATTACTGGGTATATGCCCAAAGGATTATAAATCATGCTGCTATAAAGACACATGCACACGTATGTCTATTGCGGCACTATTCACAATAGCAAAGACTTGGAACCAACCCAAATGTCCATCAGCAATAGACTGGATTAAGTAAATATGGCATATATACACCATGGAATACTATGCAGCCATAAAAAAGGATGAGTTCATGTCCTTTGTAGGGACATGGATGAGGCTAGAAACCATCATTCTCAGCAAACTATCGCAAGGACAAAAAACCAAACACCACATGTTCTCACTCATAGGTGGGAATTGAACATTGAGAACACTTGGACTCATTGTTCACACAGGAAGGGGAACATCACACACCCGGGCCTGTTGTGGGGTGGGGGGAGTGGGGAGGCATAGCATTAGGAGACGTACCTAATGTAAATGACGAGTTAATGGGTGCAGCACACCAACATGGCACATGTACACATATGTAACAAATCTGCACAATGTGCACATGTACCCTAGAACTTAAAGTATAATTAAAAAAAAAAAAAGATCAAGGGCTTTACTATCCACAGACCCAGGTTGCAGGTCCTGTTTTAGAGGAAGTGGCAAGTTTCTTAAATCCCACCACCCAGAGGTGGCTCTTTCCAGCCTCTTCTCACTCATATCAGATGTAGGCTTTTCATCCCTGTCTAGGATACTCGTGTGTGTTCTTCCGGGAATCACAGTGAGTGAGCCAGAAAAGCACTGGACATTGTCTCAAAAGCCTCCACTGTGAGTTGTCTGCCACAGATACTGACACCCCAGTGGGTTACAGAGCAAATCTGCAATCATACAGAGGTTTCTGTGCTACGCCACCATGACTCACTGCTGGTGATCTGAGGTTCTCAGGCCCCACCTTTCCCCAGCCTGCCTGCCTTCGGGCTGCAGTGTGGTCGAGGCCAGATTGCAGTGGCCTTGAGATGGCAGACAGCTGGTGGGTACCCAGCATTCAGCAGTGGGACCACACCAGCTATTTATGGTGAGCTCCTTCTGGATTGGGCTCCTTCTGGATTGGTTGGTATTTGGACCTTATTGGTTGTTAAATGTTAACATTAATTCATCTAAAGCTTTGAAAAAAGAATTATCATTGCATATATATATATATATATATATATATATATTCTGTTTTTCCTTTAGTTAAAAAAGTAACATATACTATATACTTCAATTCAAAATCTCTCCTGGGGCAAAATTACTGATTCAAAAAAAAAATGGAAATATCACCGCTGGTTGCATGTGACAGAAACCTAGTTTTTATTGTACCTTTCCAAACCCAGGGGAGGAACCACAACCATCCTCTCTGTCTCTATGCCTCTCTCTCTCTCTCACACTCCTATCCAGCCATCTCTACTTATTTTTGAACACAGCAGAAAATGGCTGTCCCAAAGCTCCCAATTATTTCATTTCAAACCTCTAGCAGAAACCAACCAGGGTCTCTGAATTGCAATTCAGAATTCCTGGGGGAGAGAATCTAATTGGCCTAGTTTGGATCAGGTGTCCGTCTCTGGTCCAGTCAGCTGTGGCTGGGGGCGGTGGGGGGTCACAGTCACAGAACACAAGCACACCATTTAGCCTGCCCCTGGGAGTGATGGGGTGGGCAGTTGTCTGAGAAAGGCGCGGTGGTAGGCGGCTTCTGAAATGCCTCCCAATGATCCCGACCTACTGGTATCGACACCTCTGTGTAATCACTACCCCTTGAGTAAGGGCTGGACCTGGTGGCTCACTTCTAATGAATCAACTCTGCCAATAGTAAGGAGCTGTCACTTCCAAAATTAGGTTACAAAAGACCATGACTTCCATTTTGCACACTCTTTCTCTCTGGTTCTTCTTGTTCACTTGCTCTGAGAAAGCAAGCTGCTGTGTGTGCCCTGGGGAGTGGTCCATGTGGCAAGGGACAGAGGGTGGCCTCTGGCCTAGTGCCAGTGAGGGACTAAATCCTGCTAACAACCAAAGAGAGAGAATGGGAGTGGACCCTTCCCCAGTCCAGCCTTGAGATGGCTGCAGCCTTGCCTGTCACCTTGATAGTAGCCTCATGAGAGACGGTGAGGTAGAGTCACCCTGCTAAGCCATGCACAGATTCCTGACCCACAGAAACTGTGAGATAACAGATGTTGTTTTAAGCCACTAAGTTTTATCCCACCATTCCAGCAATCCTGCTCCTAAGCTGCTAAATATTGGGGCAATTTGTTATGCAGCAATAGATAACTCATACAGGTATTTCATGATTGGAGAGACTCTTGAGGTCAGATGCCCGTGTCTTGTCCTTGCTTCATCATGTACCAGCTGTGGTCTTGTACAAGTCATGGAACCTATTCAAGCCACATTCTCCTCTGTAAAATAGAGATAATAATAACAATATGGTTGCTGTGAGGACTAAATGAGATAATATAAACCCAGTGCTTCCACTTAGTTTAGGTATATTAATATTGACTAATTAAAATGAATATTAGCAATATCAGTAAAGTTTAGCTATTGTTAGTGAGCTGTCACAGCTCTTCTAACCCTACATATTTGGGTCATTGGTGCCTCAGTGCCATCTTCAAAGAAATCTGGAGAATTTTATGCTCTTTACAGAAATGATATGGAAAGAAACATAAAATATCCAAAAATCTTGAAGCAAATGGCTATTTAACTACTAAATATACAGAACTATTTTCATTTAACTCATTTTGGTCATACAGCAAAGGACAATTGCATATCATGGAGAAGACAAATAGAAATTGAACCAGTGCTCTCAGATTTGAAATATAAAAAAACAATTTGAGTTGATGGAATAAAGTTTGTTTTTGTAGTTTCCTCCCACAGCAAGGCATCTGACAACTTTCTGCAGCCAATTATTTTGTGCATGGAAATGCCAGGGCGCTGTGCAGGTGGCAATCCACCAGAGAGACGAGCCTGAAGATGAGGGGCACAGGGGTTGTCACTGGAACTTTCAAGGTTTCTGCCTTCTGAGGCCAAAATCCATGATGTCAAGGGTTTGATGGGATTTGCTTATTAATTCCAAGCACAAATGCTCAGTTCCTGTGTTTTCATTCCTCCTTGAGATGTGGTCTTTCTACCACTGGGAACTGTAAACCTTGTTTAGTAGTGAGAGAGGCTAGATTTGCAGATCCCCAACCGCACCTCACCTTCATCCTTTCACTGCTCCAGCCCAGGGCCACTGTTGGAGCCCAGATTTCCTACCTGCCATGGCTGTGTGTTCGTTCCAGGAGCCAGGGGCTCAGCCTACCAGCCTCCTCTTCTCCATCCATTCACACCGCTGTGCCTCTTCCTTCCTGAGCCTGGCTACTGGGGGTGAGGGCGGTGTAGGTAGCTTCCTTAGCTCCCCTACTTTTCCTGTCTTAAGGTCAGGCACAGTAGAAGCCCTTTCTGTGTGAAAAGCAGCATTACTCCTTGCTGAGAAAACAAAGGGCAGCAGAAAGATTGAATGAGAAGTATGGTGGGCAGGTACCCTTTACAAAAAAAATGCCAAGCCCCCTGAGGACAGACTGTCTCTGCCATGAAGCTGGGTGCTTCTGGGGTCTGGTGGGGGTCACTGCATTTCATCTCCCTCACGCCAACCCTGTCCCTAAGGATGCTAGAAAAAAATTGACGGTATATCTATCTGTCTGTCTATCTATCTATCTATCTATCTATCTATCTATCTATCTATCTATATTTGTTTTTGCTTCCAGAATCACCCTCCTCCAATCCTCAATGAAATAAACCAATTAAAAAAATTACCAGTAACAAGTACACAAGGAAAGAGGCGATCCTCTTGCTATAAACTGAAAAGTATCCAACAAGAAGAAAAGCAGGAGATTTTAGTGTGACTTAATGTAGCCCCTCTTCCTACAGAATGATACAAAAGTAAGTGAGTCTCAAAACCTTGAAAATTCTCACCAAATACCCCCGATTTGGATAGAAGCAGACAAAGTTGGGAATAGGGGGCTTAGAAAAAAGTCAAAGAAATCTTCTTAAGTGCAGAGGCTCCTATGTGTGGTTTCAATATTTCCTGGCTCAATACAAGTTGAGCCAGGAAAAGCCCCAAAGTGTTACCATCTCCCAGGACCCCGTGCTGAATCCGGGGACTGATCTGAAGTCTGAGAATACTCCCACTCCATGAGAAGAGGGAGAAAGGGAGTACCCCAAACTGGACATTACCAAAACCTTAGAAGAGAGGGTAAGCCCAGTACTATACCAAAGGCTGCAGAAAGTTTGCCAAGCTTTTTCCAAGTTCCTGTCCCCTTGCATTAAAATAGTATCTGGAAGGGAAAAAAGACCCCAGGTAAGGTTGGGAGGGTTTCACTGATAATTACTCTTCTTTTTGTCAGAGCCAAAAGAAGAACTGGACAGAGCTGTCTGCTTGAAGCATGAGCAAGATGAAAAGAAGCAATATGGTTACTAAGCAAGCATTTTGCAGAAGAATACAATGAAAGCAAAGACTTAAATAAGCATGGCAGGCATAAAACAGAGGAAAGACTGCAAGAAACAATAACCCAAGGAACCTAGGAAAAGTTTCTTGCAATTGCTTCAAGCTGCAGAGGAAATTGTTAAAAACATGAATTCAATAAGACAAGAGCCAAAACCAAAACCAAACAAAACCCAAATACTTCAGTCATGAAATTCAACAAACCAAAAGACAAACGGAGAAGCCAAAGAAAGAAGAATGAATGCAACACTCATTCCCAGGCAATCTTGGAGCAACTTCTGCAAACCTGTGGGGGAAAGAAAGTATAAATGTCCTTTGGGGATAAAGGCAATAGAAGACATTTATTTTTATTTTTTAAGGCAGAGTCTCGCTCTGTCATCCGGGCTAGAATGCAGTGGCATGTTCATAGCTCATCGCAGCCTTGACCTCCAGGGCTCAAGCAATATTCTCACCTCAGCCTCCTGAGTAGCTGGGACTACAGGCACGCACCACCATGCCTGTTTAATTTTGTTTATTTTTTCTAGAGATGAGGTCTCACTATGTTGCCCAGGCTGGTCTCAAACTCCTGAGCTTAAGCTATCCTCCCACCACGGTCTCCCAAAGTGCTGGGATTGTAGGTGTGAGCCACCATGCCTGGCCAATAGGAGACATTTTAAACTTGCCCTATTTAAACTTGGCATCTATGAACCCTCTTGAAAAAAGCATAAATAGAAAAACCATAGAGTCCTCTTACTAAAGGATTCAAAGGGAATCAACTTTTATATATGATGATAAAAAGATTTGCATTTGCACAACTTGGAGAATGAGTTACCATCTCATTCCAGTCCCAAACAGTTGACTGTGGGAGGCTATGGGTGGAAGAGGTGTTTGGAACTGAAATTCAATTTTAACTCCATCTGAGAAGCTTACAAGGCATCCCAGTGGAGATGTTGAATAGGCAGTTGGATCTAAGAGACTAGAAGTTGGAAGACAGGTCTGGGATGAAGATACACATTTGGGAGTCATAGACATACAGGTGGTATTTAAGGCTTGAGAGTGGATGAGATCACTCAAAGGGTGTAGACAAGAAGGCCAAGGAATAAGCCTTTGTTCACTCCAGTATTAAGAAATCAGGAAGAGGAGGAGGAATGAGCAAAGAAGACTGAGGTGGAAAGTCAGTGAGGAAGGAAGAAAACCAGAAGAGGGTGGTATCTGGAAGGCCAAGTGAAGGATGGGTATCAAGCAGAAATGCCATCAGCTGTGTCAACTGTGGCTGAAAGATCAAAGTAAGATGAGATCTGAGGATTATCCACTGTTTTTAGCAATGCAGAAGTCATGGGCGACTTTGACAAGAGTGTTTCAGTGGAGCTGGAGCTGTCGAGTTGAAAGCCGGCTTGGAGGGAGTTTAAGAGAAAGAGTTGGAGAGGAATTGGAGCAGTAAATATAGACAAGTTTTTCAAGAAGTTTTGCTGCAAATGGGGCAGATAAATAGGTGAAAGCTGGCTGGGGTGGTGAGGTTGAGATAATTTTTTTTTTTTTTTTTGAGATGGAGTCTTGCCCTGTTGCCCAGGCTGGAGTGCAGTGGCACTATCTTGGCTCACTGTAAGCTCCACCTCCTGGGTTCACGCCATTCTCCTGCCTCAGCCTCCCGAGTAGCTGGGGCTACAGGTGCCTGCCACCACGCCCAGCTAATTTTTTGTATTTTCAGTAGAGACGGGTTTCACTGTTAGCCAGGATGGTCTCAATCTCCTGACCTCATGATTCACCCTCCTCGGCCTCCCAAAGTGCTGAGATTACAGGTGTGAGCCACCACGCCCGGCCAAGATAATTATTTTTTCAAGATGGAACTGGATGTGGTGAGTAAGGTTAAGAGGGGTGATTTCTAATTCTGTTAGGCAATTGGCCAGCTGATTCTAGCCTCAGTAATGAGCTCTGGGTTGGAAAAATAAACTTGAGGATCATCATTAGATTTAAAATTGCCTAGAGATGGCCCAGTGAGGTGATTTATGCTGTAATCCTAGCACTTTGGGGGGCCAAGGCAGGGGTATCGAGCTTAGGAGTTCAAGAGCAGCCTGGGCAATATGGCGAAACCCTGTCTCTACAAAAAATACAAAAATTAGCTGGGCATGGTGGCGTGCACATGTAGTCTCAGCTACTTGGAAGACTGAGGTTGAAGAGGGGTCGCTTGAGCCTGGGAGGCGGAGGTTGCAATAAGGTGAGATCGAGCCACTGCACTCCAGCCTGGGCGACAGAGCTAGACCCTGTCTCAAAAAAAAAAAAAAAAAAAAAGGCCTAGAGATGAGATGATATGTCCTAGGGGAGTATGTAGACTAAGAGTCAAGGGCCTAGCAGAGAACCCTGAAGATACAGTTTTTTAACAAATAGGCAGAGTTAGTTGTTAAAAATCTGTATCTTCAGAGTGTTGGGGGCATGGTTTCCTCCTATGGTCATTCTTCTGTAGGCTTCTTTGTAGGTCTACAAAGCCAACAAAGAAGCCTAAAGGAGAATGACCACAGGAGTAAAATCAGGAGATCATGTTGTCACAAGAACCACGGAAAAGAATGTTTCATTTCAATAGGGTTGATGAGTGCCAGAGATTTAGTAAAGAGCAAAGAATTCTGAGTTGGATGTAGCACCATAGGAAGTTATTTGGGATCTTCAAGGAGAACGTTTCAGGAATATAATGGAAGAGAAGGAGATTTGTCATTAGTTGAGAAATTATTGGAATGATGAACTGGAGACAGTGAACACAGAACCCTATCAAGAACTTTGACTGTGAAGGAGGTAGAGCGAGAGAAAGGGCAACAATTGGAGGAGGAGAGACTTACTTTCAAGATGGTAGAGCTATGCATGACTAAACGTTGATGGAAGGTTTCCAGGAGAAAAAGAGAGATGGAGAGAGGGGAGAGTGGGGAGAGGAAGGCAGGGAAGGGTGGGGAGAGGAAGGCAGGGGAGGAAAAAGGAGGGGAGGAGGGGAGGAGGGGAGAAAGAACTCTGAAACTTCCTCCACTTATAAAATAATAAAACTATCTGAAATCAGTTGGAACCAATATGGCAATGGACTGAGCTTGCTGACATCATAGCCTGAATTTCCGCTGCATACTTTCCCATCAGGAAGTATAAAGCATTAACTGTGCATGCCCAAGGACCTTCCAGACCTCCCCTTTCCTTCCACCAATCACCAGCGGCTAATCCCAGAATCCACTCCCAAACAGTTTCTAATGCAATTACTGCCTTGAAGCCAGCACAGGAAGACAGATTTGAGCTGGACTCCTCTCTTCTCATTTGTCAACTTGTAATAAAAGCCATTCTCTTCTCAAACACCCAGTATCATAGTATTGGCTTCTAACACACTGAGCATTGAGCTGCTTTTGCTAGGTAACAAGAGAATGTTCAACAAAGAAAAAGAAACTAGACATGCAAGAGTGTCTATTTATCATCTTCTACAGCAAGCTTCCACAAATAAGGATCCACCAGCCAAATCCAGCCCACTGCCTGTTTTTGCGGTAAAGTTTGATTGCAATTCAGCCACACCCACCTGTTTACACATTGTCTATGGCTGCCTTACAGTTACATCAGAGTTGAGTGGTTGTGACAGAGACCTTATGATCTGCAAAGACAGAAGTTTTACTATCGGCCCTTTACAGAGAATTTTTGTCAATCCCTGTTCTATAGGAAAGATGGGAAGGTTTTGGAGAAAAGGCAACCTTCAGAAAAATCCAACTTCTGAGTCTGTTTCCTTTTCTGCAAAATAAGGACACCATTCATTAAATCAGTCTTTCATTTCACAAACATTTATTGATTGCTACTATGTGCCAGAAGCTGGGAGTGCAGAGATCAATAAGATCTAGCCTTGTCCTTTGAAAGCCCATGGTCTAGTAGCAGAGATAGATGGATAAACAAATAGTTGGAATACTTAGAGTCCAATGCTACGTGCATGCTATGCAGATGAAGGGGAGGCATTTTACCTGGCTTGGATGGGGCTGGGAAGGAATCATTGGCATATGAGGTTGCTATGGTTGAGAATGAAACCAGTCAGTGATTAGTGTGGCACAAGTAAAGATCAAAGAGAATCAAAGAGGAAGAATTCTGGAAAGCACTAAGATAGAAGGGCTAAGGGAAGGGAGACTGAGAAGGAGCAGTGAGAGAGGTAGAAGGAGAACAAGGAATGTGTTCCTGGTTGATTTTAGAAATATAGCACCCTATCTTCCAAAAAAGAACAG
Source organism: Homo sapiens (assembly GCF_000001405.40). NCBI lineage: Eukaryota > Metazoa > Chordata > Mammalia > Primates > Hominidae > Homo > Homo sapiens. The sequence goes on along the minus strand of NC_000016.10, from coordinate 71,296,365 downwards.
ACATTTTTCCAGAGCCTAACATTTATCAGATACTGGCTAAGTGCAAGAATCTGTCTAAGTACTTTACATTCATTTGGTAATCCTCAATACAAGCTGGTGGGAGAGGGATGTCTTCCTAGCCCAGGGTTATACAACTATTAGGTGAAATATCAATGGGACACACATAGGATACCACTCTATCACTCTGCCCTTGATACACCTCCCTAGCTGATCATTGCCCTCCCTGCTGAGTCCAGATGTGGCTTCACAATGTGTCTCAACAGAGCTTTCTGGGCAGCCACCACCAATCAGTTGGAGTTGGCCCCTGAAATGAAATCTATCTTATTTTTTATCCCGTCTTTTTTTTTTTTTTTTTTTTTTTTTAGTTTTTAGAATCTATGTTTTTGAATTTCCCATTACAAAAAAAAAACTCTATAAAAATGCTACTGGTTGTATTTGATAAAAATTTTGCACTTGATTTTCCATTATTTAATTTAGCATTGATCAAACTCTTTGAAGACGGCAAATAGTGTTTTTCTTTCTTTCCATTTTCAGCTACTGCCTTCTTAAGCACATTTTCTTTTTTTTTAATTATACTTTAAGTTTTAGGGTACATGTGCACAACGTGCAGGTTTGTTACATATGTATACATGTGCCATGCTGGTGTGCTGCACCCATTATCTCGTCATTTAACATTAGGTATATCTCCTAATGCTATCCCTCCCCACTCCCCCCACCCCACAACAGGCCCCAGTGTGTGACGTTCCCCTTCCTGTGTCCATGTGTTCTCATTGTTCAATTCCCACCTATGAGTGAGAACATGTGGTGTTTGGTTTTTTGTCCTTGTGATAGTTTGCTGAGAATGATGGTTTCCAGCTTCATCCATGTCCCTACAAAGGACATGAACTCATCATTTTTTATGGCTGCATAGTATTCCATGGTGTATATGTGCCACATTTTCTTAATCCAGTCTATCATTGTTGGACATTTGGCTTGGCTCCAAGTCTTTGCTATTGTGAGTAGTGCCACAATAAACATACGTGTGCATGTGTCTTTATAGCGGCATGATTTATAATCCTTTGGGTATATACCCAGTAATGTGTTATCCCCTGTCTTAATGCATACCCAAGCAGTTTGTAAAGTACAAAGCACCCTTGCCTTAAAATGTGGTATTACTATTACTATTGATTATTAATAAAATTAAACAAAATAAAAACCTAACAATGACATGATAATATGTGTGACATTCAACCTAGATGTTTTGGAATCTGGAATATATTTTGGCAATGTAAATGTAACACAAATACATAACTGATCTTTAATAAATTCATTATACTCTTTTCAAATTGAGTCTAGGATGCATACTCATTCCTGGAAATCATTCCTACATGTAATTTAACTGAGCAAATAAGGAATTTCTAAAATGTACGGGAGATTGAATGGATTTAGGAATGGGGCAGATAGTCCCCTTTATTATGTTTAACATTTTAAGGAAATATTTCAAACATTCAGTAAAGAGAAAAGTATAACACCCATGTATTCACTACCTAGATTTTAAAAGTAGGCATCCCTCAGTATCCATGAGGGATTTGTTTCAGGACCTCCCTACCAGCATACCAAAATCCATGGATGCTCAAGTCCTTTATATAAAATAGTGGAGTATTTGCATATAACCAATGCACTTCCTTCCATATACTTTCAGTCATCTCTAGATTACTTGTAATACCTAATACGATGTAAATACTGTGCAACTAGTTGCTATGCTGTATTGTTTAGGGAATAATGATAAGAAAAAGAGTCTGTACATGTTCACTACAGATGCCACATAGATTTTTTCCTCCAAATATTTCTGTGATTGGCAGAATCCACAGATGTAGAAGCCAGAGATACAGAGGGCCATCTGTACTAGCATTTTGCCATTGCATCAGAGATTAATGAAAAGAATACAATTATTACAGATACAGTTGGTGTTCATTTTATGCCTTCTTCCCATCCTGAATTCTCTCCTTCTCCCTGGAGGTTACCACTCTTCAGAGGGTGGTGTGTATCCTCTTCATCCACGTCTTTATATTTTTACTATATTTATATAAATGAATACTAAACAGAATTGTTTCACATGTTTTTAAACATTACAAAAATGCTAAGGCAATGTAAAATTGTTCTGCAACTTGCCTTTATCATTCCATACTATGGTTTTGAAATGCCTTTGTGTTGATTCATGTGTTCATTCATTTTATAGCCTGTCTTCTTTCTATTCTTTGAAACCTGTCCAAATTGTTGAAGACAGAAAGCAGATATATCCGACAGCTTCTCTGTAGCAGATATGAAATCATTTGGCCTCAATTGTTTTCTCTTTTTTCCCTTTTTTCTTCTTAGTCTCTCCCCTCCCCTTTCCTCTTCTGCTCTATTAAGGATTTTGAATATAAAAGGAAATAGCAGAAGAGAGAAAACTCTTCATGGAGGGTCTGAATTTAGCACCTTATCTTCCAAAAAAGAACGGACTTTTTTTTTGGAGCAGCTAACATTTGTCAGATACCAGCGAAGTGCAAGAATCTGTTCTAAGCACTTTACATTTATTTGGTAATCTTCAATACAACCTAGTGGACAGAGGTGTCTTCCTAGCCCAGGGTAGGTGGTGATTTTAACCCAGGCATTGAGATGCCAGAGCTGATGCCCTTCCCTATTCAAAATAAAAAGTCATGTTGATCCCAGCCTCCCACAGTGTTAGGCAAGCTATGAAAAGTGAGAGTCCCCAGGGCTAGTGCTTTAACAATTTTGGGTAGTGATTCCACTACTAAATTAAGTATCATAATGATTGCTAATAATGAATAATAATAAAGTAGGTACTTGAAAATCCACAGGGCTGAGTGTTACCTCAGTTCAGTTTTCTCACCTGAACTTTAGCCACCCATTGATTTCCAGCTCCCCTATGGATATTTCCATTTGACTACGCCATGACTGTTCCTAACTCTGTAAGAACCAAGCTTAGTTATTTCTTTCCCTCTTGACCATTTCTTATTGCAGCAGATCTGGTGCCTCAGTCTGCCTTCCATGGTCTTCTGTACTCTGGTTCCTCAATACCTGCTAAAGACTGAATCCCACCACCCTCCCAAATTCCCTAATCCCCAGTGTGATGGTATTTGGAAATGGGGCCTTTGGGAGGTAATTAGGTTTAGGTGAAGCCAGGGGGATGTGGTCCTCATGATGGGATTAGTGCCCTTCTTGAAGAAGAGACAAGAGAGCTTGCTTTCTCTCCACCATGTGAGAATACAGCAAGAAGCTGGCCATCTGCAAGCCAGTAAGAGAGCCTCAATCTCGAACTTCTAATCTCCCACTTGAGAAAACAAATTTCTGATGTTTAAGCCACACTCTCTGGTATTTGTTGTAACAGCCTGATATGGTTTGGTTCCGTGTCCCCACCCAAATCTCATTTTGAATTATAATTGACAGAGCAGGAGTATCGCCATCTTGGACAAGGACTGTCATTTAAAAATTCACCTTAATCAAAAACCACCTAAATCCAAAGGGCATCAGCCTAATGGCTAAGGTCAGCATGAACATAAACCACAAATAACATCTCTGACCAGAAACATTCCAAACTCCTCCCTGATCAGAAACATGCTAGCCCCAAGATAAGCCCCCTCTGGCCAGGAAGATGCTAGCCTCAGATAACTCCCCTCTGGCCAGGAAGATGTCAGGCCAAGATAATAGAAACATTCCAACCCCACCATAAACTTCTCCCCCCACCCCCAAAGAAACATCCAAGCTTGTGATAAACCTGCTCACCCTAAAACCAATTTATACTCTTAGTCGGGAAGAGAAAGTGCTCCTGACCAAAATCAGCCAGAAGCCCCCTCAGGTTTTTTCTCTAAAATAAACCTGTCTTTGACTGTTAAGCCTTGTTTCATATTTCTTTCCTCTTTCTTTAACTCTTAAAGTAATAATCCCCACATGTTGTGGGAGAGAGCTGGTGGCAGGTAATTTAATTATGGGGGGCAGGTTTTTCCCATGCTGTTCTCATGATAGTAAATAAGTCTCATGAGATCTGATGGTTTTATAAAGGGGAGTTCCCTTGCACAAGTTCTCTTGACTACCGCCATGTAAGACGTGCCTTTGCTTCTCCTTTGCCTTCTGCCACGATTGTGAGGCCTCCCCAGGCATGTGGAACTGTGAGTCCATTAAACCTCTTTCCTTTATAAATTACCCAGTCTCAGGTATGTCTGTATTAGCAGCATGAGAACAGACTAATACACAGCCCAAGCTAAGACACTATATATAGCACCTAAGCCACCTATTTAGCATTTAAACGTATTAACTTTCCATCCCTTTTCTGCAAATCTACATTACCTGTCCTCTTGCCTGTTTTTTCACTCATTATTTTCCTGAGCTAGGCTGGCACTCCCCTTCCCCACGTAACTTCACCCTTAAAAGAACAGAAATTAAAGTTTCTTTTTCCCTAGTCTTTTCCTATATTTTTCCTACTAACTTCATTCTTTAGACTCCTACAACACTTAACTTGTACCACACAATATAGCACTTACTTGTATAAATGCTATTCACTTTGCAATAAATCCCTGTACTTTATTATTATTTTGAGACAGGGTCTCACTCTGTTGTACTGGCTAGAGTGCAGTGGTGTGATCTCAGCTCACTGCATCCTCAACCTCCTGGGCTCAGGTGATCCACCTCAGCCTCCCTTGTAGCTGAGATTACAGGTGCACACCACCATGCCAGGTTAATTTTTTGTTTTTCAGTAGAGACGGGGTTTCACTATGTTGCCTAGGCTGGTCTCAAACTCCTGGACTCAAGCAGTCTGCCCGCCTTGGCCTCCCAGAATGCTGGGATTACAGGCATAAGCCACCACACCCAGCCCGTGCTTTCTTTTTTTTTTTTTTTTTTTTTTTTTGTGAGACGGAGTCTCGCTCTGTCACCCAGGCTGGAGTGCAGTGGTGCAATCTCGGTTCACTGCAAGTTCCACCTCCTGGGTTCATGCCATCCTCCTGCCTCAGCCTCCCTAGAGCTGGGACTACAGGCTCTAAATATTTTTAGTTTTAATATAGTTCAATTTATACATTTTTCCTTTATGATTAGTATTTTGTGTCCTGTTATAAACTTTTTGACTACTTCAAGGTTGCAAAGATGTTCTCTTATGTTTTCTTATTAACTTTTAAAATACAGACTGACAATCCAAATGAAATGTATTTTTGTTTATGATGTAAGGAGGGTCCAAATACAATTTTTTTTGCATGGAGAGACACAAATGACCTACCACTATTTTGTGAAAATATAATCTTTTCTCCATTGGTCCATGTTCTGGAAGACTTGTAAAAAATGAATTTTACATTTATGTCTATATATCTATTTACATAAATGGTTAAAAACTCTACACATAATTCTAATATTCTTCTATTTTCATGCAATACTGTTGACACATACAGCCTATTAATGGCTGCATATAATGCATATATGTGCATTATATAGATGTACTGTAATAATTTAATTAATTCTCTTAAAGTAGACATTTAGAGTATTTCCATTTGGCTATGTTATTGAGATGCTGAAATGAACATTTTGTCCAAAGTGAGTGCCAGCTGTTTAATTATCTCCTAAGGATAAACTGCGAGGAGGAGGAATTGCTGGGTTAAAATGCATGTCCTCTTTTTTTCCCGAGACGGAGTCTCGCACTGTCGCCCGGGCTGGTGTGCAGTGGTGAGATCTCGGCTCGCTCCAACCTCCGCCTCCCGGGTTCAAGCGATTCTCCTGCCTCAGCCTCCCAAGTAGCTAGGATTACAGGCGCCCGCCACCACGCCTGGCTAATTTTTTGCATTATTAGTAGAGACGGGGTTTCACTATGTTGGTCAGGCTGGTCTCGGACTCTTGACCTCGTGATCCGCTCGCCTCGGCCTCTCAAAATGCTGGGATTACAGGCGTGAGCCACTGCGCCCAGCCAAAGTGCATGTCTCTTTTCAACGTTTGCCTTCTGGGCTAGGCGGCTTGGCTCATGCCTGTAATCCCAGCACTTTGGGTGGCCGAGACCAACGGATCGCTTGAGTCCAGGAGTTCCAGACCAGCCTAAGATAGGGAGATGCCATCTCTCTAGGAGGATCGCGTGAGCCCGGGGAAGTTGAGGCTGCAGTGAGCCGAGATCGAGCCACTGCACACCAGCCTGGGTGAGGGTAAGACCTTGTTTCAGTAAACAAACAAATAAATAAGTTTGCCTTCCGTAAGGTTTCTAATAACGTTTTTCTTCCATCCACAGATGTAAACCTGTTTCCCCATAGTCACACCAACAGTGGTCATTACCAAGGTTTTACATCTTTGCTAAACCGAGTAAAAAGAAAACTTGCTGTTTTCATTTCCATTCTTGTCTAATAATAGTTTAAACAGTTTTGTATATCCTTAGTGGCTATTTGTTTGACTTTTTTGTTTTTTGGGAGGCCTGTTCTAATATTTGCTCATTTTCCTTCTGGGGTTGTTGGCCTTTTTCTTATTGGCTTATTAAGCAACATAATTAATATATATTATGTCATGTATATATAAACAATCTTATCTTGCAGTTCCCTAGTTTGGCTTTTAACCTATCGTCTTTTGAGCTGCAGTTTCAACCCAGTCTGTACAGGAAGTAACAACTGTCCAGAAGAGTCTGAAAGCCCTTGGGGCCAGCAGCCAGTGAGCGGAACCAGCACGTCCTGACAGACAGGTTTGCCCCGTCCCTTCCCTCCCTCCCCCTCCCCCTCCCCTTCGCCTCCCTGTCCCTCTCCCTTTCACCCCTCTTCGGGACGGAGCCAAAGAATGCTCCGCCTGCGCGCGCCGCTTCCGTTGCCATAGTGGCCGGGGGCGGGAGGCTGGCGCCTCCCAGCTTCTGTACTCCGCGAAGCAAAACCTAGGGAGCTGAGGCCTAGGCGAGGCGAGAGTCGCCGGCGTGCGTAACGTTGGCGCACGTGACTCCGGCCCGGCCTACAGGGCGCGTGCGCAGTGGGACTTGAGTGCCTCCTGGTCCCTGTCTGCCGGCATTCGCGGCTGCGGGGCCCGGAGGTGGGACTGGCTTCCCGGTGCCGCGAGGGCGGGTCCGGACAGCCTTCCCCCCAGTCCGGCGCACCATCTCCCTGCCTTGTGGCTGGAGGCGCCGCGGACCCAAAGGGAGGGACCATCCCGGGAAGCAGCCCCGAGAGCGGAAGTGCAGAATGGCTTCCTCGAGAGAGTAAAGTGCAGCCTCTCCAGACACTGGGGCCCCAGTGGGCGTGGGCGAAGGTAATCCAGGCCTGGGTACGATTCCGGGCCCTCCTTCGACTTCCCAGCGGGTGAGCCAGGGGCTGGGACTGAGTTTCCTCCAGGTCAGGGACCGGGCCTCTGGAGTGGGGTTTGGGACTTACTTCACTAGATGAAATGAGATATGGGGTGCCCGGCCCAAAGTCAGCCCTGGATACTCACTGGCCGTTGTTTTCACAGTTGCTGGTAGGAGGAGTTGGCGGAAGCACTTGGAACTCCTTTATAAGTGTCAGCTGTGAGGTAAAAACTGTTGATGAGATCTTGTGGGTTTTGTTTTGGGTTCACTAATTTGGGCGGGGGCTACATAACTGCCTACTTGAGTTTGCAATATGAGAATGGTAATAGCGACCCACTTAGCAGAATTATGATGTCACAAAGCTCAAAGGACTGTTTAATGAAAGGCTCAGAGGATCATATACTGGAAAATTTTTCCACACACGCTGTAAGCCACATGCTTTTTTTTTTTTTTTTAAGTCATGCATTTAAGTGCTGGAGTGAAGTTGAGGTGCACTATTAATGACTCATATTCAGAACCTGAAGAGAGAGATCCCTTTTGTGCTAAGTATGATATCCACTCATTTATTCAGTAATACTGAGTGCTTACTGTGTACCAGGCAATGTCCAACTTCTTGGAATGGTCTATGTGTAAACAAAACAAAGATCTCTGTCCTGTGGAGCTTACATTCTAGTTTGGGGAAGACAAATAATAAACAGTAAACAAAAAGAAGGAAGTTATAGGTTGGAAGTACATGAGTACCATAGGAAAAAAATACAGCGAGGTAAGAGGCATGGGGAATGCAAGATGCAATCTTAGGTAGGCTTCACTGAGAAAATGACATTTGAGCAAATATTGGAAGGAGGTGAAGGAGTTAGCTGTGCTGACAGCTGGGGAAAGAGCATTCCAGGCAGAGGGACCACCAATGCAGAAAGACTTTTGTCTTGGAATGTGCTTGGTGTCTTCAGTGAACAGCAGAAAGGCCTGTTTGGCTGGAGTAGTGAGTAAGGGAGTAGTAATAAAAATTAGGTGGCAACACAGCAAAAGTATAGTCAGAACGGTGGAGTGTCTGAATCACTTAAGTTGTCCTCATGTGAAGGTAATTTCCTATTAGCTTAGGTAAGGTTTCACAGCTTAACTACAGCCGTTAATTAGTATGTGAAGTTAATGATTAAAATTAGACTTTTTCCGAAATAGAGTATAGATGAGATCTAAACATGGCTGTAGTTTCCAGCAAGCACAATGCGAATTAAGACAGAGGAGCTTGTTGAAAAAAACTTTTATATGCCCTTATTTTAAGATTTTAGTGAATGTGGAAACACCTCAGTTTTGTCTTCCTTTAGAAATTTGTCTAAATATAGCTCTACCAGTAAAAAAGAAACAAACAAAAAACAGGCATAGTGGCTGACACCTGTAATCCCAGCACCTTGGAAGGCCGAGTTGGAGGGATTGCTTGAGCCCAGGATTTTGAGACCAGCCTGGGCAACAGAGCAAGACCCCATCTCCACAATTTTTTTTTTAACTAACTGGGTGTGGTGGTGCACGTCTGTAGTCCCAACTCCTTTGGAGGCTGAGGTGGGAGGATCCTTTGAGCCTGGGAAGAGGTCAAGGCTGCAGGGAGCTATGACCTGTGCCACTGCACTCCAGCCTGGGTAGCAGAGTGAGACCCTGTCTCAAAAAAAAACTTTTTTTTAATATAAATATACCGTGGCAAACAAATGACTAAGAAGACACCTGTTACTTCAAGGAAATTACAAACTGGTAGAGTAGACTTGCAAATAATTTAAACAAAATAAGAAAGAATGAAAAAAGTGTGCTAAAAGAACAGTACAAAGTAAATGCTAAAAGAAACATCATCTGAATATTATTGTATGTATTACAGCAGTAGTTCCCTTTGTTTCTCATTTTGTCCTTGAACATCTGCTTTTCTGGAGTGATGATTTGATTGCCAATTTTTTCATATTTAACAAATTCAGATTTTTTTGAAAATCATTTGTAGAATGCATTGTGTATGCTAAATAAGTGCAGAATTTGTGAACTAAAGCATCTATTGATTAACATTGCACTAACAGGTACCATGTAATATTCATTGCTCTCCCTGCTGGAATTTGTAACTTTTCCAAAACTATGCCATTAAGCCATACTTCTCATATCCTTTTTCCTCTTCAGAAGGAAGAGGTTTCTTTGTTTCTGGTTTCTTTGGCAGTGTTGACTGCCAGAGTATGTAGAGTGACTATTTGTAATTTGTATATTCAATATGTATATTTCTTCAGTATAAAATTCTGCTATCCAAGTGTTAAGTTTTAGTGGCTAGAAGAAATAATGATATGTTATGGTGGAAGTGTGGAGCTGTCTGAACCATATGAAAGCCAGGAATCTATAGTTTGAGACATACCGGGTAAACAGTTGGTCACTTTCAGCATCAAGCAGAAAAAGGCTAACCACTCAAGTACAGCACAGTTTACAAGCAGTATGATGATGAACGTTAGTTGATGACCTGTATAGGTGATTGGTACCACCAAAGTGCCTGTCTTAGAGAATGAAATCTGGACAGAGGATGTATTCAACAATCCTACTAGTGAGGTAAGTGGCTTGTGGCAGGATCAGTACTGGGTTCAGGTACATGATCCTCTCCCTGAAGGAGGTAAAGTATGACGGGAACTAAAAAAAAAAAAAACGAAAAGTCACATGTTAGAGCTTGAACAAAGGTCATGTCCAGGGATGAATCTCTAAGGATGGATTTGTTTGAGGTCATGTAGGTGTTGTCACAGTCATTGGTAGGGAAGAACTTTGGGGAAGAGTTAGATGGGTTACTATGATAATCAGAGCTGTCATTCACTGATGATTATGCTTTGTTATATGTTTTTTATATGCTAGTATGTTTTATCTTCTTCTTAAAAAATGATAGGCTTTTTTTTTTAATGAGAAGAAACCAAATCCAAGAGATGGAATTTGCCCAAGGGTGCTTATTAAGCCATAATTAGCAGAGCTGGAATTTGAACCCAGGTCTTGGATATCAAAGCCTTTTTCATTATTCCAGATTACTTGGTTAAATAACAGAGTATGCTGACTTTAGCCTTCCCATTTTATGGAGTTTGTCATGAGTGTGATCGTATTTGCTGCTCATGAGATTTCGCTCACTAATAAATTTGATTCATTTAATTATGTGTTTTCTCTTCCTAGATTTTAATTTGATTTGAAAATGAGTAAGTGCAGAAAGACACCAGTTCAGCAGCTAGCAAGTCCCGCGTCATTCAGCCCAGATATTCTTGCTGACATTTTTGAACTCTTTGCCAAGAACTTTTCTTATGGCAAGCCACTTAATAATGAGTGGCAGTTACCAGATCCCAGTGAGATTTTCACCTGTGACCACACTGAACTTAATGCATTTCTTGATTTGAAGAACTCCCTAAATGAAGTAAAAAACCTACTGAGTGATAAGAAACTGGATGAGTGGCATGAGCACACTGCTTTCACTAATAAAGCGGGGAAAATCATTTCTCATGTTAGAAAATCTGTGAATGCTGAACTTTGTACTCAAGCATGGTGTAAGTTCCATGAGATTTTGTGCAGCTTTCCACTTATTCCACAGGAAGCTTTTCAGAATGGAAAACTGAATTCTCTACACCTTTGTGAAGCTCCAGGAGCTTTTATAGCTAGTCTCAACCACTACTTAAAATCCCATCGGTTTCCTTGTCATTGGAGTTGGGTAGCGAATACTCTGAATCCATACCATGAAGCAAATGACGACCTCATGATGATTATGGATGACCGGCTTATTGCAAATACCTTGCACTGGTGGTACTTTGGTCCAGATAACACTGGTGATATCATGACCCTGAAATTCTTGACTGGACTTCAGAATTTCATAAGCAGCATGGCTACTGTTCACTTGGTCACTGCAGATGGGAGTTTTGATTGCCAAGGAAACCCAGGTGAACAAGAAGCTTTAGTTTCTTCTTTGCATTACTGTGAAGTTGTCACTGCTCTGACCACTCTTGGAAACGGTGGCTCTTTTGTTCTAAAGATGTTTACTATGTTTGAACATTGTTCCATAAACTTGATGTACCTGCTAAACTGTTGTTTTGACCAAGTCCATGTTTTCAAACCTGCTACTAGCAAGGCAGGAAACTCCGAAGTCTATGTGGTTTGCCTCCACTATAAGGGGAGAGAGGCCATCCATCCTCTGTTATCTAAGATGACCTTGAATTTTGGGACTGAAATGAAAAGGAAAGCCCTTTTTCCCCATCATGTGATTCCTGATTCTTTTCTTAAGAGACATGAAGAATGTTGTGTGTTCTTTCATAAATATCAGCTAGAGACTATTTCTGAAAACATTCGTCTATTTGAGTGCATGGGAAAGGCGGAACAAGAAAAGCTGAATAATTTAAGGGATTGTGCTATACAATATTTTATGCAAAAATTTCAACTGAAACATCTTTCCAGAAATAATTGGCTAGTAAAAAAATCTAGTATTGGTTGTAGTACAAATACAAAATGGTTTGGGCAGAGGAACAAATATTTTAAAACTTATAATGAAAGGAAGATGCTAGAAGCCCTTTCATGGAAAGATAAAGTAGCCAAAGGATACTTTAATAGTTGGGCTGAAGAACATGGTGTATATCATCCTGGGCAGAGTTCTATTTTAGAAGGAACAGCTTCCAATCTTGAGTGTCACTTATGGCATATTTTGGAGGGAAAGAAACTGCCAAAGGTAAAATGTTCTCCTTTTTGCAATGGTGAAATTTTAAAAACTCTTAATGAAGCAATTGAAAAGTCATTAGGAGGAGCTTTTAATTTGGATTCCAAGTTTAGGCCAAAACAGCAGTATTCTTGTTCTTGTCATGTTTTTTCTGAAGAACTGATATTTTCCGAGTTGTGTAGCCTTACTGAGTGCCTTCAGGATGAGCAGGTTGTAGTACCCAGCAATCAAATAAAGTGCCTGCTGGTGGGCTTTTCGACTCTCCGTAATATCAAAATGCATATACCGTTGGAAGTTCGACTCCTAGAATCAGCTGAACTCACAACTTTTAGCTGTTCATTGCTTCATGATGGAGATCCAACTTACCAGCGTTTATTTTTGGACTGCCTTCTACATTCATTGCGGGAGCTTCATACAGGAGATGTTATGATTTTGCCTGTACTTTCTTGCTTCACAAGATTTATGGCTGGTTTGATCTTTGTACTCCACAGTTGTTTTAGATTCATCACTTTTGTTTGTCCCACATCCTCTGATCCCCTGAGGACCTGCGCAGTCCTGCTATGTGTTGGTTATCAGGACCTTCCAAATCCAGTTTTCCGATATTTGCAGAGTGTGAATGAATTGTTGAGCACTTTGCTCAACTCTGACTCACCCCAGCAGGTTTTACAGTTTGTGCCAATGGAGGTACTCCTTAAGGGGGCCCTGCTTGATTTTTTGTGGGATTTGAATGCTGCCATTGCTAAAAGGCATTTGCATTTCATTATTCAAAGAGAGAGAGAAGAAATTATCAACAGCCTTCAGTTACAAAACTGAACATATGCTTTCTGAGATTCAACTTTATGATTTCTTATAATTTGCCCAGTATTTGCATCCTGTTGCTCTATTAATTTAAAAACCTTTTATTTTGGGGAAAGGCCAACATTTGCATCATTCAAAGTCTCATTAATTCTGGAAAACCATCCATTCTGATCTCTAGGGTATATACACCCACAGGCATAGAGCTCTTCCACGTGGTGGAATCTATGCAATGATAGATATTCACACTCTAAATATGAGGTGTGTGTATGTGTATGGGTGGCCACAGCCATGCTTACCTATGCCATTTAGTTGGTCTTACTTAATCTGCTTAAGATTTGCATCTGTGTACCTTTGTTCAGATTAGTTTTTTTTTTCCAGCCGATTTCCTCTTAGTGGCTAATGCTGTTAGTGAATTTTCCAACTAATTTCCTCTCATTGGTTAATGTTGTTAATGAATTGAGAGAGGTAATTGAGGAAAGGAAATGAGTAAATCACTGTTCAGCAACACTGATTTCCGTTAACACATCAGTTATGAATTTCAGGGAATTCATCTCGCCAGATTCTTGATAACATGCCATTCATTGCCCTTAGGTGATTGACCCTATTTTCTTACATGGCTCAAATAAAACTAGTATGCTGTTGTATGAATCTTTTACTGACCACACCATCCAACTATAAAAATATAACGGGACAGCTTTAAACCAAAGATCATGTTTAGAACAATGAAAAATTATTTGTTGTATCTAATACACGCCTGTATTGTGAAAAGCTTCATTTAGCAATGATGTAATAATTTTTAACTTCCAGGAAATAATCTGTGAATGGAAAGATTTTTTAAGATTTTGAGATAGTGTTTAGTCTCATGTTGGGAACACATGAATGTGATGAACATAGTGAATACTAAAGAAAACGCTTCAGACTTTCAGAATGATGGTTCAGAATTTAAAATTTTTAATCTTTTCTAATTTCTTTTTTTCAGTGTGAAAATAGCACTTTACCAAAAGATTAGCCATGAAATGGTTATTTTGCCAGTTACATTTGATTTCTTTTGTATCTGCAATGTAATGAGTTATTTTATTTCTTCTGTATTTGCAGTGTAATGAGTTTTTGTGGCAAAGTGTATTAAGCAATTTTTCATTATCTTGAAGTTCCACAAAGTGGAGAATATTTATATTCTCACATGCATTTTAGGCACTTTTGATATGTGAAAATAGATGTATTTTCTGATGCATTTGGTTAATAAATATTAATCTGAACATTTTCATGTTCTTTGCTATTTTGAATTCCATTATAGATTCATGAATAAAGTCATTACTAGAGAGATTTTGTGTTCATCTTTTTTAAATGGAATTATGGGAGAAGTTAAAAATATAAGTTGGAAACAGACATTTTTAAAGGGAGTTTTGAATGATAGTTAATGTTCTTTCATTTTCTCTGATTTGCATTCATTAAAATTTAGTCCTTAATATTGTAATACTTATGGAAGGCCTACTTCAGGAAAGAAATTGAATACTTAAGGGGGATTGGAAGAGGAGTGTGTGGAGGCCTGGAAGTAGATTTTTGAAAGAAATCTGATTTCCTACTGGTGACTCTATGGAAGCAATTCCAGTTGTATGACGATGGAAGTCTGACAGAAGGTTGATTACCAGGAGGAAAAAAAAAAACACTCTTGGAAAACCATTTTGCACTTAATAGTCTTTATGCCTTGCTAAGTGGGATTCAATATACTAATAATGCAGCTTATTTTTTACTTATTTTAACTATTTGATAAGAATGAAGTTGAAGGCATGGGTCCAGATTCTAGCATTATTACTGTCTTTAAGCCCTTCAAATAAGTATTGAATGCTTAGTGTTTTGTTGACACTAATCTGTACTGGAATATATAACACTGAAGTATTCTCAAATGTATTTTGCTTTTTAACGTGGGTTTTGGAATCAATTGCTCATCTGATTCATTGGATTCAAATTGCTTTAGAGGTTAGACATGACTTGAGGAAGGTTCAGATTGAACTGGATATATTAATAGATGACAGGTACTAATGATTTATATGAGTTTCTCTTTAAGAGAAAGGAGAGGAAAAATGCTATTCAAAAGATGAATGGAAAAGTAGAAGAAGACAGGAAGAGGTGAGAGTATGCATGTTTTACCAAGGTAGACTGTTCTTAAAAACTTTTTTCCACAGGTTTTGAGATTTTTAATTTGTAATATCTATTAAAAAACAAACATCAAATTGTTTCCTTTGTAATCTGTTTAATTTGAACAAAACATACACTTAGTGTAAGTATTATACTCTTAAAATGATGACAAATTATTATATCGAGATGGGACAGATATGCAAGACTTGGCTGCAAATTTGTTTACTACATAGTTGACACTGAAAAGAGAGACTCAATTATTTTATAATAGGCTTCCCACACCTTTAAAAAAAAAGCTGGATAAAACATTTCGGACTGATCTTAGGAGCAGAACTCAATATAAAGCAAAAATTTCAATATGGAACAAAATATGAATATTTCAAATTCAATATTGAAATGGAAAATGAATTTCCATTTCAATGGTAAGCATTTTTTAGGGTTGGCCTAATGGGCCAAGTAGCAAGTAAACTCAAAGCTTGATACTACGTATGGTAACTCATAGTATGTAGGTATGTTTTAGGACATGTAATTAAAAGAATAATGCTCAATAGATGTATATGGGTTATTATTTTGAGCCTCTAATGCATTTTTTAGTTTATATAAAATTGCAGGCCTTGAATAATGAGTTCTCCCCTGCCCCCTTATTCTTTTATTGTCTGTTTAATATTTGCTTTTTCTTTGTTGGCCAAAACAGAAATGCAAATAAGTTATTTTTGATAACTATAAGTTTATACTGGAATGATTTGGGAGGAGGTGAAGCTTCTTTATGACCACAGATACATGAAAGTGCATTATTAGTGAAAAGATTTAAAAATTATCTGTCATTAAGCATAGTTAGCATTTAATTTCACTCAACCCAGCCTGTGGGTGATAGTGTGGCTGAGCGGTCTAATTTCACTCAACTGAAAATTTTAGTCCAATCTGCTTGTTTCACATATAGGTTGTGTACTCATGTACAAATTGTATCCATGATAATATTTCTCTGAATTTTTTGAGATCTTGATCTTTGTGTCTTTTCAGAGCCATATCAACTAGGTGTGATCATTCTGTGTTCATACCAAGTGCAGCACATCAGTTTAGCTTATTATGGGACATGTAGTATTAATATTATGGCCATATTTTAATTTATGGCTTGGATTGTTGTGATTTAAGGAAAACGTTTGTAAAGATTTTTCTTTAAACTATTTGTGTTCATTACCTTGAAATATTATACTGATCTTTGCTGATAAACATATTTTATGTGTTTCTGCATTTTTTTGCTATTTAAGATTGTGCTTCAACACCAAATTATTTTACTGGGCAAGACAGATGTGTTTTTTCTGTCTACTTTTGAGAGTTTCTATTTTGTTTCCATTGAATCCCAGGATTCAAAAATCTGTATCTATAATAGAATAGCTGGGAAAATTGAAAACAGAAATATTTTTGAGTGGATTTCTTTTTAGTAGGGTAAACAACATGCCTGCAACTACAGTAATGTTAATCTTTGTGGAGCTATTGCACTTAACTTGCTTGCATCATTCAGATTCAGCATTACTTTGAGTGATCTTACGTTGTTATGTCTTTTTTCATTTTCTTTTTTTTAGGATTATAAATTCAAGCACGTGCTCATTGTGAATAAGTATATGATATGTACTTATTTTGTATGCTATATCATCAATATAGGTTTCTACAGAATGCTATTTGATTTTGTTTTTATTATAGAAAACCTTCAGACATACACAAAATTAAAATGATGTAACAACCCCCACCCTCACCCCATGTACCTGCACCCAGTTTTCGTAACTATCAGCATTTTACTGAACTTGTTTCACCCTCCACTTTTTTTCTTGGAGTATTTTAAATTCATGAAATACATACCTCTAAATACATACAGACATACAAATACATATCTTTCACAGTTAAGCAATTTACCACACCTAACAATATCACCCAATACCCAGTCCATGTTTAATACCCATTTTCAATATCACCCAATGCCTGTTTTCCAGGTTGTCTCAGAAATACCTTTTTATTGTTGTTGTTTCCTTTCAGATAAGGAGCCAAATAAGGCTTCTTCTGTTTATTTGATGTTTCTGAGGTCTCTCTTAATCGATTTAGTCCCTGTCCCCGAGCCCAGCCCCAACATTTTGTTGGCCATGCCATTTAAATGGCTGAAGAACTGGTTATTCATCCTGTAACCTTTTTTATAATCTGAATTTGGCTGATTAGTTATTTGTGATTACTTTTTAATTGCATTTCTATGCCACAGATTTCCCATAGATTGGTAGGTAGATTTGCAGAATTGATTGCTTTTTGCAAGAATAGTTCGTGAGGGTGGTGTGTACTTTCTTTTCATCACTTCACAAGCACAAAATGGCTAGCTGCTTCCCTCAGTTATATTAAGGTTAATCAGTTTAGATATTGTCAACCTGATCCATCAATTAAATTTTCTATCTTTCACTTAATAGGTTTAGCATCCACTGAATATTGATACTAGCTCTATTTATTAAGGGTTGCAAGCAGTGTTTTCCTAACCAGGTTCCTTCTGTATTAACTGAACTTTAATGAAGATGAATTCATCAACTATTTTTTTTCTGAAGTAGTTTAGGAAAAGCTGGACAGATGTTTAATTTCTTTAACCTTTATCAATTTTCAGAAAGATAAGTTTGTGTCTTACCAACCTTGAAAGGTGACCAATGAGATTTCGTTGTTGTGGTTGTGGTTGTTTTTAAACTCTCTAGGAACTCATGGTTGGTTGTATACTGGATACATTTTAATCAATTATGACTATTCTTACTTGATGTTCAAATTACTCAAATTTGGCTTGGGTGGGTAGGGGAAGGGCTCCTTCATGTTGATGCCTGTGTCATTTTTTAAAATGTAATTCAACAGTCTGATAGCTTTCACACATTCTGGCATAATATGCACCTGTTTCATTGTGTATATTTTCTTCCCAGGGCTCACATCCCCCTGATTTTAGTGGCTATAGTGCAGTGGATCTCAAAATGTTGGGCCTCAAAATTTAGTCTCTCAATAATTATCAAGGAACCCAAAGAGCTTTTGTTTGAGAGTTATATCTGTTGATATAATTCATGTCAGATTAATAACTGAGACAAATTTTATTAATGTTAATATAACAATGATAAAACTATTGCATGTCATAATTTTTTATGAAAAATATCTTTCAAAACAAAATGTAGTGAGAAATGTGATATTTACATTCTTGTGAATCACTTTTGTCTTTATAATAGGAGACAGCTGGATTCTCATCTGATTCTACAATCTGTCGGAATACATTGTTTTGGTTGAAATATTTAAGAAAATATGGC
Source organism: Homo sapiens (assembly GCF_000001405.40). Classification (NCBI taxonomy): domain Eukaryota; kingdom Metazoa; phylum Chordata; class Mammalia; order Primates; family Hominidae; genus Homo; species Homo sapiens. The sequence goes on along the minus strand of NC_000016.10, from coordinate 71,278,178 downwards.
CTCATATAGATATGAAGTTGGGAAAGGGAGGAGTATTTTAATAACCTTTAAGGTAATTATGGATTTTTTTGATGTTACATCAAAATTTGGCAGGTAATAGTTTCTTAAACATTGGTTGCAATGAAGAATCAAGCTATATTATGAATTTTTTTGACTCTTACACTAAAATCCATTGATCTGTCTTGTACTTTGAATGGATCATTTACCCATATGTGGTTTTTTTAACACCATGAATTTGTCATTTGAAAAATATTGGTTCACTGAGTTATGCAGATCATGCAAATGTTGACACATTTGATTATACATTATGCAAAAAGTTACATTTTAAAACATCACCACTGATCTCATCAAACAAATCTAAGTATTGGGAAGCTGTCAAGCTCAGAGTGATGGACACATGTTTTATAAAATTCTAATTTTTCCTTGAATGCTCAAATTTTATCATGTCAAAAAACACTGACAGTTGTTTTCCTTGAAGCGTTGCTCACTTTATTCATTTTTGAGAAAATATCTGCCAAATACTCGTCTAACTATCGTTTGCCAGTTTTTCTTTCCAGTAAAAATGGTATTTCATGAAAAATGCACCATTTGACTTTGCAACTCAGTTACACAAATGGTTTTCCTGGAGGCACTCGTTCTACTTTGGGGTGCAGCAAGAGCTTTATGTGTACACAACTTTCCATTTCTTCAATATTATTAAAGTCATGTACTCTTAAGAGCAAGACTTAATACAATTAATATTTTTTGCTACTTCATCAAGGACATTCTTAAGTAAAAATGGCTCCCTCTGACCCCCATTATGAGCATGTATGATGAAGAATACAATGCCTACTAGTATAGTTTGGTGCCCTGCCTTGATTTGTGCTAAGGCAACAGCAGTTTTGCTCACCACTGCTTTGCACCATCAGTGCAACTACTGACATTGTGAAAAGATGCATAATGTCTTAGTTTCAATGCAGGCAAACCCCAAAATTGGGGCTCAGCCCAGGAGGGTTCTTGGCTTCACACAGGAAATAATTCATGCGTGAACCAACAGAGCAAAGCCAAAGCAAGTTTATTCGAACAACAGACAGCAGCAGCAGCCCTGTGGATTGCTGGCTAGCAGTATATATGGCTATTCCTTGACTATATGCTACGTAAGGGGCAGTTTATTCATGACTTTTCTGGAAAAGAGCTGGGGAGTTCCTGGAACCAAGGATTCCTCCCCTTTTAAACCACATAAGGTAACTTCTAGGGGTTGCCATGGCATTTGTAATCTGTCAAGCCACTGGTAGGAGTGTCTTTTAGCATGCAAATTAATTATAATTAGCATATAATGAGCAATGAGAGCAACTAGAGGTTGCTGTAGTCACCATCTTGGTTTTCGCTGGTTTCTTTGCTGAGTTGGGTGCTGGGAACACAAGTCCTGCTGATCTCCTGTCTCAGTTTTACCATGAAAATAGTTTTTGATCTCACAGACTCTTGAAAAGGTCCATGGGCCACACTTTTAGAACTGTTACTCTAGTGTTTTCCCATTAGGTGCTGATTTTTTAGTTTACTATTTTTATTAAGGAGGTTTTCCTAGTTTTTGGAGTTTTTAAAAAACATAAATGTTTGTTTAAATGTTTCCATTTTTTAAATCAGTGGATATGAACATATTCTCTTTAATTCTGTTAATATAATTAATTGTTTTAATTACATTATTTCTTTGATTGCCTTGTTTAGGGACTGCTGTTAATGTATGTTGTATATTAGCACCTGTCTTCTGTATCTATTACTTTCTCTTAAATTATTTTTTATCTTTTTATTTTTGTTTGATTTTTAATTTCCTTTTTCTATTTCTGTTACTGTTTTCCATTATGTATGTTAGCTCTTATGTTTAACATTCATATGTGAAGTAATTGGTTTCTTCTTATTTCCTTACTGATGAAAGAAAAACTTCAGCTGAATTAAATTTAAAGGCATTTAATTCAGCAATAGACAATTTGTGAATTGGGCAGCCTCCTGAGCCAGAGTAGGCTTAGAGACTCCAGTGCAGCCATGTGGTGGAAGAAGATTTATAGATAGAAAAAGGAAAGTGATATACAGAAAACAGAAGTGAGGTACAGAAACAGCTGGATTGGTTACAGATTGGCATTTGCCTTATTTGAACAGGGTTCAAACAGTTGGCTACATTTGATTGGCCAAAACTCGGTGACTGGCACAAGCGTAAGCTCTGATCTGTTTATACCTCCACTTGTTATAGTTCATGATGTACAGAGAAACCTTTAGGCTGAACTTAAAATATGTAAGGTGGCAGCTTCAGGCTAAACTTGATTTAACATTACTGAGCTCTATTTTTTTTTATCTTCCTGCTGACTAATCATGTAAACTGTATTTTTCTATTTTAATTTATGTTGTTCTTTTAGAGCTTCTGTTTTCTTCTTTAATAGCACTTAAATCCATCTTGTGACTTTTTTTTTTTTTTTTTGAGATGGGGTCTCGCGCTGTCACCCAGGCTGGAGTGTGGTGGCGCGATCTCGGCTCACTGCAAGCTCCGCCTCCCGGGTTCACATCTTGTGACTTTTCTTAGTGTGCTTCCTTTGGGGTATGTTTCTCATATCATTTTCTGCCTTTTCCTTGCAATATCACTATATATATATGTTTAATTACAATCATTTTCTATGGCTCTTGTTTAAATGAGATGCATTTTCCTGAACTTTTAGGAAGTTTTAGGTTCCTGTGTGATAGTGGAAGTGGACCAAAATAGATAGCTTTCCTAGCACAGTATTTTCAGGGCTTTCTCCTTTAGTGTTACTTTAAAAGATTTTAAAATATGCCCTCTGTGTGTAGCCACCTTTATAGTGCTTTTAAAGCTATGTCTTCCCTGGTTCTCTCCCTCACCAGTATCTGAACCTTCTCTTTTCTTTTACCTCGTCTATGTCTGGCTTCTTTCACTCATTATGTTTGTGAGATTAATTTATGTTGTTTCATGTATAGGATTCCATTATATAAATATATAACTTATTTATTCTACTATTGCTTGATACTTGGGATATTTTCAGTTTGGGCTGCTATAAACATTCTTCTATATACCATTTGATGCTCATATGAATGCATTTCTGTTGGATATTGGATTAATTATCTGGGGCTGCTATAACAAAGTACCACAAACTAAGTGACTTAAACAACAGAAATTTATTATCTCACATTTTTGGTGGCCAGAACTCCAGGATGAAGATGTTAGCCAGGCCTGTCCTCACTCTGAAGGCACTAGGGAAGGATCTGTTCCAGGCTTCTCTCCTAGCTTCTGGGACAGCTTTGACTTGCAGTAGCGTAACTCCAGTTTTCACAGGGAATTTTCCCTATGTAAGTGCTTCTGGGTTCAAATTCCCCCTTTTCATAAGGACACCAGCTATCTACATTTGCAACAACTCTATTTCCAAATAAGGTCACATTCTGTGGTACTGGGGTTAGCACTTCAACATACAAATTTTTGGCAGACACAATTTAGACCATGACAGGTATATACCCAGAAGTGGAATTGCTAAATTATCAAGTGGCTAGTAGATACTACCAACAGTTTTCCACAGTAGTATACTAATCTACACTCCAAGTAGTCATGTGTCAGACTTCCAATAGGGTATAGTAATGTTTGGCACCTTATTTAGTTCAGTATAATTTCAAAATGAACAGAAGAATTGCAAGAATAGTACAAGGAACTCCCACGTCTCCTCTATCAAGATTCATCAGTTGTTTACATTTTTCCCTATTTGATTTATCATTCTGTGGGTGCATATAATTTTATTATCTGAACCATTCGAGAGTAACTTGGAGACATTTTGCCCCCTTAAATACCTAGGTATACATTTTCTAAAAACAAGGATATTCTCTTATATAACCACAGTGTAATGATCAAAGTCAGACTATTTAACATTGATGTAGTACTATTATCTAATCCATAGTCCATATTCAAATTTCAATAAGTGTCTAATTAATGTTCTTTATAGCTCCTCTGCCCCTCTGTCCCTAGTCCAGATCTGATCCATGGTCATTCATTGTATTGGTTTTTATGTCTGTTTAGTCTATTTGAATCTGGAAGAATTTCTCAGCCAATCTTTGTCTTCTTGGCCTTGGAATTTTCAAAGTGTTTAGGTCAGTTATTTTATATATTGGCCCTCAATTTGCATTTGCTTTATGTTTCCTCGTATTTTGATTCAAGTTATAGATTTTTGGCAAAACCCCATAAAACTGATAGTATTTCCTTTTCAGTGCATCATGTCAGGAGGCACAGGATGTTGGTTTTTTCCCAATGTTAGTAATGTTAACTTTGATCACTTGGTTAAGATGTTGTCTGCCAAGTTTCTCCATGACATTACTAGCCTTGATTTACTGATTCTTTTTTCTGCCATCTTCAATCTGTTAATTCCATCTAGAAAATTTTTCATCTCAGGTGTTTTAGTTTTCAGTTCTGTGATTCCCATTTGATTCTCTTTTATAGTTTCTATTTTTCTGCTGATATCCTCCATATGTTCATATCATATGATCATATTTTTCTTTAAGTCTTTTAACCTACTTATAATAGTGACTTTAAACTTGTTTTCTACTAATTCTAGCAATTGGGTCCTCTTAGGGTCAGATTTTATTGACTGGTTTTTCTCTTAACTGTGGATTACAATGTACCGTCATATGTCTAGTAATTGTTTTGGCCACCAGACATTGTGGGTGATATGTTGTGATAATTTCTGAATCTCTTGTATTACTCTGAAGAGTGTGGATTTTTGTTCTGATGGGCAGTTAACTTGGCTGGCTCAAATTCCAGACTACTCACATGTTTTGGGCAGCCCCTGAAAGTTCTGCTTAGTTTTTTCAGCCTTTCCAGCTGTTGTCATTTGCTGGCAGCCTCATAGTCTTCTCTGTGTATTTGTAGTTCAGAGGTTGGTCAAAGATTGGGTAGAAAATATAGAGAGATTTTAGAACTCCTATTTCTTTAACCTCCTTCTTATTGGGATTCCCCCCGTTTCAGCTACTATTGGAGACCTCAACTGTATTATCTGACTCAGTAAGCCCATAGGATTACAGATTTCTGCTTGCATTTTAGCCTCCCTATGGGGAACAGACTAGAGAGTATCCTTAAGCAAAAAGCCTTTGAAATACAAATATTCCTCCATCTTAGTTACCTTAGTTTAGAGGTCAACTCCCCTCTAGTTTCTGCCACCTTTTGGTCTGTCTCTCTCCAGTGCCTTCAAATAACTGTTTTCAAAAAAACATTTCATTCAGAGTTATAATTATTATCTGCTAGAGAGAGTTAAACCTATACAAGCTACTCCACTATAAATGCAGAGGTATTTTAGAACAGTATTTGTTTTTAGCTTCTCTATACTTAAATTTAATTACAGTAATGAAAGTGGTTTTATTAATGTAGTTCACACCTGGCCTAGTAGTCACGAATTAGTCACCAAAGAACCTGTGGTATTTGAACATAGTTACTAATGCCTAAGCACGTCAGTTTTAAGAATATGCATATTTCTGCTAATGTTGATTAAATCTCTTATGAAAATTGAGGTGGTACAGAAAACTTGGAGTTCATTTCAGGCTAAATAGGTCTCTGTGTGAAATAGCTGTATTATTGTATTTCTGGTTCCTAAATCAATTAGCAGAATAAGGGGCAAGTAATTATGCTTTTTAATTTCCAAGGTTCCATTAACTAGACTTACAGAGTTACACTGTACTTTGCTTACTTAAATATTATTTCTGTCCTTGTCCTATTGAAATGGCAGATAATGTTAAAGACTTTTTTTTTTTTTCTGTAAACTCTGCAATTAAGGGGGTGAATTTTGGAGACTCTGATAGTTAGCAGAGGAATTTTAACTAGGATTTCAAAGACCAGGAATGCAATAGTATACAGGTAAGTTGTTTTCTAATCTTTGTATTTTGTTTAAAATTGCTTTGACTCACAAAGAGTTCCAAATTATGTCATCTGTAACATGTATTCAAGAATGTATAATTCAAGATATGCAGGTTTTTTTCCCTCCAACTTTATTTTTTGAAAAATTTGAAACCTACAGAAAACATGCAAGAATTGTACAATGACTGTCTTACATCCTTCATCTGGATTTATCAATTTTCAATATTTGGAATTTATTGGTCAATTAGTTTTTACATAAGGATAGAGGCTTATTAATTTTGTTCCTGCAGAGAAGTGTCAATAATTGCTAAACTGCTCCCCATCACCTTTTAAGATTTGCCTGCCTAATTCCTGTTGCTTAAACCTTGTGACCTTCTTACCTTCCAGCCCACCCTCTCCCTTATCAGTTGATTGGACCAAGTTTGGTCAGCTCTCTGGAATGTAAGACCAAAAGATGATTTCAGCTGATCAGAGTCTTTTGCAATTGGAGAACTTAGAGAGAGGCAGTGAGGAGTGAGTTCTGAAGCTGTAAGTTTAGGATGTGAGAAATCCTGGATAGATCATAACATACAAATTCATTGTGTGTGTGTGTAATTTTTTTTTCATGGCTGGCTTTACTCTATCCTTAAAATTTCATCTCAAATATCATCTTCTCAGAAAGACTTTCACAGATCACCTAAGCCCTAGCCCCATTCACCTTCCCCAACCATCACCATTCTGTAACACAGAATCTGGTTTTGTTTTTCTTAGTTTGAGTCGTTTATTTGTGTACTTATTATTTCTTCTATTCCACTCTCTCTGCTTTTTATTTCATTTTCTTGCCTTTTTGCTCTAGCTAGGACTTCCACTATGATGTTGAGTAGGAGTGCTGTGAGGCAGTACTTCCTTGCCTTAGTCCTAATCTTAGGAAGAAATGGTCTTTTATAATTATGGTATTAGATGTAGGGTTTTTCAGTAAAAGTCCTTCATCCTATTAAGAAAGTTTCCTTCTATTCCTATTTTGTTGAGATTAAAAGAAAACACATGAATGGATGTTGAATTTTGTCAAATGCCTTTTCTGTAACTGTAGAGGTGACCATGTGGTTTTTCTTCTTTAGACTGTTAAGATGGTGAATTATATTGGCTGATTAAAAAACAACCTTTTTTTTGGTAGAGATGAGGGTCTCACTATGTTGTCCAGGCTGGTCTTGAACTCCTGGGCTCAAACCATCCTCCCTGTTGGCTTCCCAAAGCACTGGGATTACAAGCGTGAGGCCACTGCACCCAGCTGTATTGGCTAATTTTTGAATGTTGAATCTGCTTTGTATTCCTGGGATAAACTCCACTTGGCTTATCTCTTTCATATATTTCTGGATTTGATTTGATAAATTTCTTGGAGAATTTTGATATCTATGTTCATAATAAATATTGGTCTGCAGTTTTCTTTTCTTGTAATGTCTGGTTTTGGCATCAGAGTAATGCTGGCCTCATAAAATGCTTTGGGAAGTGTTCTCTTTTCTTCTATTTTCTGGGAAGTGTTCTCTTTTCTTCTATTTTTCTGGAAAAAATTCTGTAGAATTGATTTTTCTTTCTTAAGTGTTTGGTATAATTCTCTAGTGAAACCATCTGGGACTGGAATTTCTGTTTGTTAGAAGGTTTTTAACTACAAATTTCATTTCTTTAATCGATATACAACTGTCCTGGTTGACTTGTTAAGTGAGTTTTGGTAGTTGATATCATTCAGGGAATTGCTCCATATCATGCAAGTTTTTACATTTATGGGCATTGAGTCTTTCATACTATTCTTTTATCTTATTAATATCTGTGGCATCTGTAGTGACATCCTCTTTTTAACTCCTGAAATTCGTAATTTCAGTTTTCTCCTTCTCCTTTTTCTCCTTCCTTCCTTCCTTTTTTTCCTTCCTTCCTTCCTCCCTCCCTCCCTTTCTTTCCTTTCTTTCCGTCCCTCCCTCCCTCCCTCTTTCTTTCCTTCCTTCCTTCCTTTCTCTCTCTCTGTCTCTTTCTTTTTCCTCTTTCTTTCTCCCCCTCCCTCCCTTCCTCCTCCTCCTCTTCCTCCTCCTCCTCCTTCTCCATCTGGCTAGGGTTTTTATCAACTTTATTGATCTCTTTAAAAACACAGGTTTTGGTTTTATTTATTTTTGTGTACTTTGTCCCAATTTTATTGATTTCTGCTGTATTTTAAAATCTCCTTTCTGCTTGTTTTGGATTTTATTTGCTCTTCTTTGTCTAGTTTCTTAGGTCGAAGCTTAGGTGAGTGATTTGAGATCTTTCTTCTTTTTAAATATAAGCACTGTATGCAATGAATTTTCTTCTAAGCATGGTTTTAGCGGCATCTCATGTGTTTAGTTTTCATTTTCAAAATATTTAAAGTGGGTTTCTTGTAGACAGCATACGGTTCCTTTTTAATCTAATCTGAAAATCTTCCTTTCAATTGATGTTTTAACTGCTTGCATTTAATGTGAATACTGATATTGGATTAAAATCTGTCTTGCTACCTGTTTTCTATAAATTCTTTATATTTCATTTTTTTCTGCCTTTTTTGGGTTAAGTGAGCAGTTTTTATTATTTCATCTATTTATCTATAGTATTGACTTACTACCTATAGCTCTTAAAAAGTTTTTAGTAGTTACAATATAACACATTAATCAAAGTCTACCCTCAAGTAATATTATACTCCTATGTGTGCTATGAGGACCTTATACTCATGTTTCCAATCAGTCTGTCTCATTCTTTGTGCTATTTTTGTCTCCTATGTTACTTCTATGTATGCTACAAGGCACAATATAATTCCACTTTTTTTGCTTAAATTGTTCCTTTTCAGAGCAATTAAAACTGATAAAAGCAAAATTGTTATTTTTATTTATGCCATGTCTAGCATTATTTGTTTCTTCATCTAAATGTATGTATCTGGTATCAAATTTCTCTTTTCTGAAGAATATTCTTTAAAATTTTTATGGTTTAGTACTGATGACAGTTAATTTAATTAGTTTTTTTTTCTAAGAAAGTCTTTTTATCCTTTATTTTTGAAAGATATTTTCACCAGGTAGGGAATTCTGTATTGACACTATTTTTTCTTTTAGTCCTTTGAAAATGTTACTCTATTGTCTTCCGACTTGCATGCTTTCTAATAAGATGGGCTGTTTATTTCTCTGTGTTAATGTGTCTTTTTTACCCCTGCTGGTTTCCTTCAAGACTTTGTTTTGTGTTTTCAGAACCTGAATATGATATGTCTATCTCTGGCTTGGTATTTATCTTGGTTGTTGTTTTGGATCTGTAGTTCAATGTATGTCATTAATGTTGGAAATTCTCAGGCATTATCCCTTCTTATATTTATGCTACCTCATTTCTGTCTCTTTTTTCCTTCTGGAATTCTAGCTATACATCTGTTAGATCATTTTATATTGTCCTATAGTTTCTGGATGCTTGGTGCTGTTTTTATTTTTTACTCTTTATTCTCTTTCAGGTTGGATGATTTCAAGTTCACCAACTCTCCCCTTAGCACTGTCAAGTCTACTGATGAGCCTGTCAGTGACAGTCTTGATGTCACTTGGTCTTGATCTTTTACTGCGTTTTTCACTTTTAACAGCGTCATTAGATTTTTTTCTTACAGTTCTCATTATCTCTACTGAAATTACCCATCTGACAATGCGTGTTGTCCAGTTCTTTCACTGGACACTTCAATATATTTGTCATAGCTATTTTAAATTCCTTATCTAATAGTTCCGATATCTGTGTCATATATGAGTCTGGTTCCGTTGATTGCTTTGTCTCTTGGCATTGTGGGGCTTTTTATTTTCGTTTTTGTTTTATATACCACGTACTTTATTTACTTTTTTATTGAACACTGGACAGCACTGATTGAGGTAAATAGTTTTTATGCCTGCAAATGGGGTACATTTTTTCCTTTTCTAGATTTTTTTTTTTTGAGATGGAGTTTCACTCTTGTTGCCCAGGCTGGAGTGAAATGGCACGATCTTGGCTCACTGCAACCGTTGCCTCCTAGGTTCAAGCGATTCTTCTGCCTCAGCCTCCCTAGTAGCTGGGATTACAGGTGCCCACGACCACGCCCAGCTAATTTTTTATATATTTTTTAGTAGAGACAGGGTTTCACTATGTTGGCCAGGCTGGTCTTGAACTCCTGACCTCAGGCTATCCACCCACCTTGGCCTCCCAAAGTGCTAGGATTACAGGCGTGAGCCACCGCGCCTGGCCTCTTTTTCTAGATTTTTAGTGTGGAATGTGAATCAACCTAGACAGGCGTTGAGGTGGCTTTGGGGGTTTGTTGTTCATAGGGCTATCCTCAGTGTACCAGAGACTTCAAATTCTTCTAATAAAATGTTGTATTAGGAGCAGGGCTGGTTTACCCACTGAATAGACTTTTCTCAATGTTGGGCCTACCCTTAGCCTTACACTTTCTCCTTATGCAGTGACCCCAGAGAGTTTCTCTCCATGTCCTTGCTTCTCTCTGGGCCCTCTCAGCAGTCGTCTGCTGTTGCTGTGTGATGCTTCTTGCTCTGGTGGTGGCAGGTGAAGGAAGTGTTCCCTGTCGTTCTAACTAAGCCTCAGTGTTGAGTGGATACTGTGTCTCTGGGTCTCAGGAGTGTGACCTTTTTCATGCTTCTGTTTCTCCCCAGTGATAGTTCTGAGCCCAGCATATACTCCTGCTCCTCCCTGAGGTGTGGAGGATTTTTTTTTTTTTAACAATTTCCTTCCCAAAGCTGCAGTTGGTATTCAGGAGTGCTCTAAGGGCAATAGTGCTTGTTGCTCTTATTCCCCACTCTAGGTGAAGTTGTTGGGTTTTCTTGTATTGCTTTTGTTTTAACAGGGGAGATAGGGAAGAAGGATCTGGGCAGGTATCCACGCCCTTCCTGCAACAACTGCTTCTCCCCTCCCCTAAGCATGTCTTCTCAGCACTGCTGCCATCATTGTTTATGAGCACCCACTAGGGCCTGTAGAGAGAAGCCTGTGAGTGGTGTAAACTCCCTTTGTATCTGAGGCCATATTCTGTCACCTGCCAATACTCAGATTCCACCAGTTTCTTCACAGTTCTTCTGGGTGTTCAACTGCCCCACGTAAACAAATGCTTGCATCTGACTTTTCCTGTAGGCACTTCTCTTTACTTTGATTTTGGGCTAGTTGGTGCTTCTTCAAATAAACTAGTTGTTTCTTCAACTCTTTGATGGATCCAAGAAAAGTTGTTAACTTGAAGTTCGTTCAACTTATTTTTTTTATTAATTTTAAGGGTGGGAGAGGTATTCTTTCTAGTTCTTTTCCAGCTCCCCAGCTCCAGAGTTGAAGCCAGAAACCTGATCCTCCTTTTTACCCCTAATATCTTCTATTCATAGGGTGACTGTTCGTCCTGGTTTACACCAGTATAATTATTAACAGCACTCACTTTTCACTCAGTTTCTCTGTTTGCATGATAACTTGTATGATCACCTTTTCTTTTGGTAGTTTGTCCTTGAAAAATATTACATAATGAGGTTTCACCAGCAGCATATGTTAGGTTTGGACAGATTTAGTTATCCTGGATAAAAATCAAATATTGAAGATCATTTTGGTGATATTCAAAAGGACATGGAGAGAACAGGTGTAAGTGAAAGACATATCAGCCAAATCTAATGTGTAGACCTTGTTTGGATCCTATTTCAATCCAAAAGGATTTTTTTTTAGAGAATCAGGAGCATTTGAACTTGGGCTAGGGATTACAAGGTATTAAAGTAATGTTATTATTTTGTTAGATATTGCAATGATATTATAGTTATGTTTTTAAAATCTTATTTTTTGTTAGAGATACGTTCTAATGGATTTGGAGGTTTAATGGTGTGATAGCAGAGGTTTCTTTTTGTTTGTTTTTTTGAGACGGAGTTTCACTTTTGTTGCCCAGACTGGAGTGCAATGGCGCGATCTTGGCTCACTGCAAGCTCTGCCTCCTGGCTTCAGGCAATTCTCCTGCCTCAGCCTCCCGAGTAGCTGGGATTACAGGCATGCGCCACCACGCCTGGCTAATTTTGTATTTTTAATAGAGACGGGGTTTCTTCATTTTGGTCAGGCTGGTCTCAAAGTACCGACCTCAGGTGATCCACCCCCCTCAGCCTCCCAAAGTTTTGGGATTACAGGCGTGAGTCACCATGTCCAGCTAGAGGTTTATTTTAAAATACTCAAACACAAAAAGAAAAGTGAAGGGAGAGAGAAAGGTGGTAGGTAAAGACAAGAACAGCAAAATTTTGATAATCACTGAAGCTAGGTGATAGGTATTTGGGGATTCATTATTTTATTATCTTAATTGTTTTCTGTTTGACAATTTCCATAATAAAACTTTTTGTTTTGAGACAAAGTCTCACTCTATCGCCCTGGCTGGAGTGCAGTGGCACGATCACAGCTCACTGCAGCATTGAACTCCTGGGCTCATGCGATCCTCCTGCTTTAGCCTCCTGAGTAGCTAGGACTACAGATGTTCACTGCCATACCTGGCTAATTTTTTACATTTCGTAGTTATGGGATCTTGATATGTTGACCAGGCTGGTCTTGAACTTCTGGCCTCAAGTGATCCTCCTCCCTTGGCCTCCCAAGAAAATAAAAACTTTTAAAGAGAGACAAGGATATGATCAGGAACCTATATCTTAAAAAAAAAAATAAGATGATTATTCAACCATTTAAACTAGTAAGGTGATTTTTTTCTTGTGGCAGAGGCTAGGCAGCTGTGCCTCCAAAATTCATTTGAAAACTTTTTGGTTCAGTGATTATTCAGCAAACCAGATGATCTATGATATGGCAGGTCAAGGAGAACAGAAAGAGGTGAAATGCCATAGTTTCAATGCAGTTCAGTCCTGCAGACCCACTCTGGACCAGGATGGGGGAAGAGCCTTGCAGGTGTCTTCTTAAACCTGACTCAATTTACTGTGTATTCTGTGCAAACTTCAGAGGGAGAACACTGTGCTTTTCTTCCCTTTTATCCAGGTTCTCATTGTCGTTTTATTATCTCCTGCTCATAATATGTAGAGACAAATGCCTTGGGAAGGGTAGTAACAAGGCTGTAAATCCAGTGGAGGAAAGGACTGTTCACTGTTTTGAACAGTGAACAATATGCCTACTGCCATTACTGGCAGATAAAATACATTAAATAAATATTGTATGAAGGAATGAATGAACAAATCCATATTTGCTGCTTGCCACATAGAAGATAAATAAATACTGTCTACATTGAATTGAATTGTGAGTGACAAAATTGAAAAAATAACTTTAGAGTTTATGTTGGACCATTTAATGTCGAACCTCTTCAAAGTCTTTTGGAGATGTCCAGATGGACAAAATCAGCCAATATGATGTTCATGACCAGGCAAGGGAAGCCAAAATGAAGGGCAGCTTTATTTAAAATGAATAGAACAAGATATAGTTACATTCATGCCACTGTTCTTTTAAAATATATCCATAGAAATGATTAGTCCTTTAAAAGTCTTCATGCCACAGTTCTGCAAAGAAATCAGGAGACTTTGTAAATATCCTGTCCGCAAAAAGTTAGAATGACAAGCACCCTTAAATAAACAGGAATAATTAATCATAGGTGTGGTTGTTTTGATGAGCATGCAAGAGTGACAAGTTAATAAATAAGCAGTTCATACAGGGAAAGTGGCTAAGGAGGTGCTGTGGTTTAATTTACATCTTTGGAAGGTAGCAAAGATTTAATAATCTCCCTGCCTCATACATCAAACGAATACCCCTGAGGCAGAAAAGCAAAACGTTTTTAACTGTTAATCTGAGAAGCAATAAAATCCTGCCTCAGGTCACAAATAAATTGAGTTTCTAGTGGTCTCGATGGATCCCTAGTATGTGTGATTTATTCAGATTCTAAAGCTACTCAGGACCACTTAGAGCCTTGGGGGAGTGCCATGGGAGTTACCAATCTAATCAGAAGTTCTAGACTAAGGGCAATGACTGATCTTAGCTTACATCTACCCAATAATTTATTTTACCTTCTTGGTCAACTACAGATAGATTATGAACTACAAACATATGAATTTGAGATTCAGTTCTAAATGATTGTTTTTAGTTGGGGTTGTAACTATCTTTGTGCTTATATAGTACGTGTGTTTAAAAGATCAGAAACTGTTTTGAACTTTCTACTTTGTAAGTGTAGGATTTTCACTGACTAGAGAAACCAGGATGCCAAAAGGGAAATAACTCTCCGTGGCATCATGAGCCATTTGTGAAATCTAAATAATTTTCAGGTTTCCAAAGCAGCTTCATTTCTTAAGCCCCTAAGCTATGGGGTGTATTTCTTACTGGAAAGCAGTCCCAATCTAGACTCCCAAGAAAGGGTTCTTGGATCTTTTGCAATAAAGAGTTCTGGGGGAGTCCATAGAGTAAAGTGAAAGCAAGTTTATTAGGGAAGTAAGCAAAAGAATGGCTGCTCCATAAAAAGCGGGTTGGCATTTTTATGTTTATTTCTTGATCATATGCTAAATAAGGGGTGGATTATTCATGAGTTTTCCAAGAAAGGGGCGGGGATTCCCAGAACTGAGGATTCTTCCCATTTTAGACCATATAGGGTAACTTCCCAATGTTGCCATGGCATTTGTAAACTGTCATGGTGCTGGTGGGAGTGTCTTTTAGCATGCTGATGCATTATAATTAACATAAAATAAGCAGTGAGGATAGCCAGAGGTCACTTTTGTCCCCCTCTTGATTTTGGTGGGTTTTGGCCGGCTTCTTTACCACATCTTGTTTTATCAGTGAGGTCTTTGTGACCTGCATCTTGTGCCAATCCCCAGTCTCATCCTGTGCCTAAGAATGCCTCACCTCCTGGGAATACAGCCCAGCAGGTCTCAGCCTCATTTTACCCAGCCCCTATTCAAGATGGAGTCGCTCTGGCTTGAATGCCTCTGACATATTGATTTTATTAATTTGGAAAACTTTACCCTTATGAATATTGACATAGAAAATATTACCTTCCTTGTTTAAAGGACAGGCAAGGATGGTTTCAGAGAAAGGAGAAGGTAGTTATTTGCATTACATATATATGTGTGTATTTGTTTCTCCAATTTGCCATGAAATACTTTTATAAAGGAATTCGATTGTGAAATATGATCTCTGCTCATCTTTTTACTAACACTGCTTATAATTTCAACTGGATCATTTGTGATGCTTAATGCAGTGCTGTAGAAAATGGAAAAAATGTCCTAAGTTGTTGATATAAAAATAGATAATTCTCTTTCTTTGACCTACCTCCAGCCCTAGAGCTCTAAATCACAGCTGTAAATTAGGTTTATATTTTGTCATGTCTTCCAGGGGTGCAATGACTGACACAAAACATGGTTCAGACTATAATTAGCTCATCCATCCAACTTAGCAATAAGGAAAAGACATATCAACTCAGATTTACCTGGGCTGCTCCTTCCTGCCTCTTTCTGGGGTAGGCTGGATTCTCTTGGTCAGGAGTTTAGGTTGTGCCAGGCAGGAGAAGGCTTAGAGGAGAATCTCCTCCTCCTTCAGCAGTTCACTTAGCAAACATTCATGGAGTGCTCTGCATATCCGGCACTGCCTCAGGTCCTGGGGTGTAAGGATCACAGAATGACAGAGGCAAAGAGCACTGCGTCTGTTTCCTATGGATGCTGTAACAAATTCCCATGAACTCAGTGGCTTAAAACAACACAAATTTCTTATCTTACTGTTCTGAAGTCCGGAAATCCAAAATCAAGATGTTAGCAGGGCTGTTTCTGTTCCTTTCTGGAGGTTCTAGGGAAGAATCTGTTTCCTGGTCTTTTGCGGCTTCTTGAGACCATCTGCATTCCTTGGCTCATGGCTCCTTCATCATCCCTTCAACTTTTGCTTCTCTCTTCGCATCTCCTCTTACTCAACCTGACTTCCTGCCTCCCTCTCAGGAGGACCCCTGTGATTACATTGAGCCAAGTTGGATAATCCAGAATAAACTTCCCATCTCAAAAATCCTTAATTTAATCACATCTGCAAAGTCCAATTTTCCATATTAAGTAGCGTTCATGGGTTCCAGGAACGAGGATGTGGACATCTTTGTGGGGCCATCATTCAGCACAGATTTGGGCATTGGACTGCTCTGTCAGTCTCCAATTTAATATGACTATTATGTAAATTTCTTAACCTTCCTGCAAAATGGAATAAATAATGCCCATCTCACAGAGTTGCCTGACAATTAAATGCCTGAAAGCAATTAGCACCATGTCTGACTTGTATGACAAGTTCAATGAATGGGAAGTTCAGGAATTATTGTTCTTGTAATTCAGTGATGAAAGGGCACAGTCTCCCCTCTCAGAGGACTTCAAGTCTGGTGAAGAAGATGAACAAGTATACAAATAACTACAGCTCAGTATGAGACAGTGTGATAAGGGCTATATTTGTCTGAAGTCACAAGGGTTCTCCTCACCTGACTTCAATCAGTCTCTTAGAGATGATCAGCTAACTCTTGAGTTTTGAGGTGAAGGAAGGCAAAACAAAACATTGTCTGAAGCTATGGTTGATATAAAATGCCAGGTACTGGAAGGTTGTGTATTTTAATTTTGATGAGGTCATATTTTCTTTTCCTTTTTTCTTTTTCTTTTTTTTTTTTTAACAGAATCTTGCTCTGTCGCCCAGGCTGGAGTGCAGTGGCACAATCTCGGCTCACTGCAACCTCCACCTCCCGGGTTCAAGCAATTCTCTGCCTCAGCCTCCCCAGTAGCTGGGATTACAGGAGCCTGCCACCATGCTGGGCTAATTTTTGTATTTTTAGTAGAGACAGGGTTTCGCCATCTTGGCCAGGCTGGTCTTGAACTCCTGACCTCGTGATTCACCCGCCTCGGCCTCCCAAAGTGCTGGGATTATAGGCGTGAGCCACCGTGCCCGGCTGGTCATATTTTCTTTAAGAGAAAACGATATTCTGGTCTTGAGCTATTATTTTAACTGCCCTGGGGTTAGGGAATGTGCTATTTAACAAGTAATGGCCTTGGAGGGCTAAGACTATGTTGGGTGGTAAAAGGAAAGGCAATAATGTAAAAGAAAGTTGAAATTTCATTCTGTTCCTCTTTCCTCTTCTTTCCTCTGTACTGCTGACTTTCATACCCTCCCTCCCCAAAGGGAAGGAGTGCCAATATGATTGGAAATATTCCAGTATTCTAGTTGGGCCAAGTTTCCTAGTGACCAGAGTCCCTCTGTATGAAAAAGTCTGCACTCTGAGTGGGTGCCATTCATGTGTTTCTTCTGTAAGTTTTTGCTTTGTTTAGTTTTGTTTTGAGACAAGGTCTCCCTCCATTGCTCAGGCTGGTGTGCAGTGGTGCAATCACAGCTCATTGCAGCCTCAACCTCCAGGCTCAAGCAATCATCTCATCTCAGCCTCATGAGTAGCTGAGATTACAGGTGTGTGCCACCACTCCCAGCTAATTTTTGTATTTTTTGTAAAGATGAGGGTCTTACTGTGTTGCCCAGGCTGGTTTTGAACTCCTGGACTCAGGTGATCCTCCCATGATCTCAGCCTTCCAGAGTGCTGGGATTATAGGTATGAGCCACTGCACCCTGCCTGTCTCTCCTGTAGTAAGTACCAGGGTCCACATTCTTCCTTCTCTATAGCAGCTGGCCTGAGCACATATGCTCTCCCTGTTCTGTCTTGTTTCCTAATTTGATCCCCATCTTACTTAACCATGTAGCAGCATGTGACACAGATTGTTGTCTTGACCTCTAGAGCACCATTTTCTCCTGTTTGCCTCCTATCTTGTGTCCACTGCTTCTCAGTCATCTCTGTTGGGTCCTCATTTCCCCGACTTAACATTCAAATACCCCAAGGCTCAGTCCCAAGACATCGTCTCCCTTCTGTCTCTTATGGATTTAAATATCATCTCTATATTGATGATGTTGGCATTAATTTTCTATAGCAGCTTAAAACAACATGAATTCACCTTACAGTTTTTAGGTCAGATGTCTGACATGGGTCTCACTGGGCTGAAATCAACCTGTCAGTGGGGCTGCCTTCCTTTCTAGAGGTTCTAGGGAAGAATTTGTTTCCTTGCCTTTTTCAGCTTCCAGATGCTTCCTGCATTTCTGAGCTTGTGGCTACCTTCCTTTATTTTCAAAGCCCACAAAATCTTATCTCTTGGAGCCTTCTTTGGCCACAGCAGGAAGAGTTATCTGCTTGTAAGGACCCATTTGATTCCACTGGGCCTGCCCAGAGAATCCAGGATAATCACCCATCTCAAGGTCCATCCTTTAATCACATTGGCAAAGTCCTTTTGTTGCCGTGTAAGGAAATATATTCACAGGTTCTGAGGATTGGCCCATGAACATCTTTTGGGAGGACATTGTTCTGCCTACAACAATGGCCAAATATATGTCTCCAGACTAGACCATTCTCCTGAACTCCAGAACTGTATATTCAATCACCTACTTGGCATCTCCATTTGGCTGTTTGGTAGACATCTCTAACCTACCTTGTCCAAAACTGAGCTCTTGAGCAACCTCCCCAAAACCTGCTCTTCTCACATTCTTCACCATGTCAGTGGATGGAACCTCTGCCCTTCAAATTGCTCAGGCCAAAACTCTAAGGATTACCCTTGACTCCTCTCTTCCTTTTGCTCCTGTATCTAGTCTTTCAGCAAATCCTGTTGGCTCTACTTTTAAAAGTTATTGATAGTGTGACAACTTTTCACCTCCTTCACTGCTATTGCCCTTTCTTAGCAACCATCACCTCCCATAGACCATTACAATAGCTTTCTAATGGTGTCTTTGTGTCTGTCTTGCTCCCTTTCATTCTATACCCAACACAGCAGCCAAAGTGATCTCATTGAAAAATAAGTTGGGTAAAGTCATTCCTCTGTTCAAAAACCAGAGACAAATTTCCATGTCACTTGGAGCAAAAGTCCAAGTCCTTAAAATGGCCTACAAGGCGCTAGGTGCTTTGTGTCCCCAGCCCTCACATTCTGTCTTTGGCCTTCTCTCTTCACCTTGCACGAGCCATCCAGCCACAGCAGCTTCCTTACAATTTCACAAATATTCAAAGCACTTTCACACGTCAAGATCTTCACACAAGCTGTTTCCTCTGCCTGGAACTCTCTGCCTCTAAAAAACCACATGGCTTACTCTGTCACCTCCTCCAAGTGTTTGTTCAAATGTCGCCTTTTTAGTGGGAGCCACCCCGAAACCTTTTATTTAAAATTGTATCTCTCTTACATTGCCCTTTTATGCTTTGTTTTTCCTGCACTTTATAATTTACTTATCTATCTTGCTATGGTCTATTTCCTCCATTAGAAAGTAAACTCCACAGAGGAAGGAGTTTATTCTTTGTGTTCGCTGCATATCCTCAGTACTAAGAACAGCGCGTAGTGGATTCTCAATTAAATGGGTGCGTGAATGAGTGAATGAATTCTCTCTAGCATCAGTGAGTGGATTTTGTTTTCTCCTTCCTTCCATCAAAATAATGAAGACCTCACTTGATCACTGGGAGGCTGGGATGAACAATGCAACACTGGCCAGCTCTCGTTTTAGGATGAGAGGCTTCTGAAAATTGACCTGCTTACTACTTGTACAGGTTTTTTACTGAAGAAATAAAACAAACAAGTCAACCCACTGATCCGTCTCTCAGTGCTTGCAATGAGAAAAGTTACAAAATTTAATCACTGTCTGTCATTTCTGATTCAAGGGAGTTAATAAAAGGATTAGATTAGTCCTCCTCTACCAGCTTCTCCTTACACTAAGAAGCAGGTGGTTGTCATGCCCACAGAGTCTGACTTGGAGTAAGCTCTTTTCTGTGTGCCATTCCTCTTGGAAGGAGTCCAAAACTAGCCAGACATTTGAGGGGAAAAAAAGGAACAAATTTCAAGGGAGTTGAGAAAATGCAGTGTTCTGAATTTTTTTCTCCCTATTGCTTTGTTTACCAGGCTGACCTTGAACTTCTGGGCTCAAGCAATCCTCCCAGAGTAGCTGAGACTACAGGTGTGAGCCAACATGCCCATCTATTTTTTTAAAGAGGAATTAATTACGTTCATTTAAAAGGGAAGGAATTCTCCTCTGAATTCAAGGTCTAAAAATTGATTCCAGGTTTGGTGTAGGAAATGTAAATGATGAACCTGGAACCTTTTGTTATGTTCAGGAAGGAAGAAAACCATTGACTGCCAGAGTTGTGGTGAATGGAACAGGAACAATTACGAGAATCAAAAAGAATAATCACTGCAATTGACTGAAGCATATCAAACATAAAAATATCTGAGCTCATTATGATACGTTAGAAAACTGTCATTCTAAATTTCTATGGTACCAACTCATTACTCTGGAAATTAATGAAGGTTCAGAATCAAGAATTTATTCTGTTTTTTTCTATATGAACTCTATTCAGGGAAAAATAGCTGATGAGGCAAGTTATTCTTTGTATTTGTATTTTTATTTTTTCTTTTTCTGATTTTGAAAGTTACTGAAGATGTCAGGGTAGAGCATAAGAAACTACTTTTTTCCTCCTGGGCCATTTGAGAGTCAGTTACCAACCTGATGCCCATCACTCCTGAACACTTCAGTGTGCATTTCCTACAAACAAGGACACTCTTAGATAACCATGGTCCAATCAGTAAAATTAGGAAATTTAACACTGTTAAGCCAGTTGTTCCAATAACATCCTTTGTAGCAAAAGGATCCTTTTCTTGCAATCATGTGGTGCATTTATTTCCTAAGTTTCTTTAGTCTTTTTCATTCTGGAATAGTTTCTTAATCTCTGACTTTCATGACCTTGGCACTTTTGATGATTACAGGTCAGTTACTTTGTAGACTGTCCTTCAACTTGGATTTGTTTGATGCTTCCTTGTGATGAGATTCAGGTCGTGCAGTTTTGGAAGGAATATCACAGAACTGAAGCTGTGTTGTTCCTTTTGCATCTTATTATCCCATGAAACATTGTTTTGGTGTGTCCCATCTCTGATGAGGTTCACTTTGATCACTTGATTAAGGCAGTGCCTGTCAGCCTTCTTCACTGTGAAGTTTCTCTTCTCTTTGTAACTAACAAGTATTTTATGAGGAGATACTTTGAAAATATTTAAATATCCTGTTCCTCGTCAAACATTCATTTTATTCATTTATTTATATCAGTTGGACTCCTGGATTCTCATTTTATTCAATGAGTTGTAGATAATTTGTTACTATCATCATTGATTTTGATGCTCACATTTCTCAGATTAGAAATGTCAGCCCTCCATCAATCTGGCTTCTGTGTCCACTTGGCACACCCCATCTTTCTTTGAGTGCATGAGTGCATCCTTGCTTTCTGGCTCAGCATGTTCAGGCATATCTGGTGTTCTCTTTACTCCAACTCTTGAAACAGACATTTCTCCAAGGACTTCTGATTCCTTTTAGTAAAGAATAGTATTTAGAAACCAAGATCAGGTGTCATTACCGTTAGGGCATTATTGCTCCCAGCCCCTTTTACACTCCTAGTGGATAGAACTAGAGAAAAATATGTAAGTGTGTATGAGTGTGTGTGAGTGTGTGTGTATGTAATGCAATGAGTGAACCTTGTGTGTATTCTGGTTCAAATGAACCAGTTGTAAAAACACATTTTGAGAGAGTTGGGGGAAGTTTATATGAACTGAGAATTAGATGATATCAAGGACTTGTTAATTTTGTTATACGTGACAAAGTCATTGTAGTCATGTTAAAAAAAAAAGAAGTCCTTATCTGAGAGAGGCAGCTGACATATTTACAAGTGAACTCTACCTTCAAGTGGGGTAAGTGAGATACAGGTGGAATATAGAAAGGACTATCTAATTTATTATTCCATATCTATATATATACACACACACATACATACACACATATTGTATGTATAGATATAAAATGTGAGATTAAACTTGAGCTTATTATACGTTATATATATATATAATGTGAGATTAAACTTGAGCTTATTTTACAAGTATCTGAAGTCTCAGCGCTTTACATGCAATGTTTGAACTCATTTAAACCAAAAGCTTCCTGTTGAAAGTAAACTTGAATCACAAGCCCCATTTTATAAGACCCAGAAAGGCTTTGATATGTCTGGAGTAGAAGACTTGTCTCCTGACCTTGAGTTTAGTGCATAATATACATCTTATCTCAAAGATAGAGTTGATAATTTGTACTGTCATAATGTATTCTTGGCTTTGGTTCAGGTTATGTGACATTAAAAGATTACTTAGGACCAAATGCAAAACCTTTCATAATCCTGTCTGTGAACTGTTGCTGGTTTGAGCACAGGGGCCGATATAGACATAAGGACATCTGTCCCTCACTGGGCAGGGGAGCTGGCCTCTAGCCTCTACAGCTGTTCCCTGCTGGAGCGGCCATAGTTCAGCAGTGCTTATTAACATTTTGAGCAGCTGTGGCAGCAAGCAGTTTGGTACAAAACAATCCATCAATTAATCTCTTTGTTATTGGACAGTTCAGACGCTTGTGCCTTGGTTAATGCTGTAAAAGGGTTGAGAAGGGTGTGACTCTTGTCTGTTACAGACAGTGACCCCACAGGAAGCTCCAGAGCCCGGAGAAGAGTGACAGTGTCAGGAGGTGGCGAGACAAATAGTGTGTGGGTTGTACACAACTCGCTCAACCCTGGCTGGCTGTGGCTTTGTCTCCCACCCTAGGAAGCATATTAGAATGGCAGCAAGGAGACAGCCAACCTCAGCTCCTCTTTATAAAGAAAAGTAAATTATTGGAAAACTTTAATACTTGGAGCATTGCTAACAAACTCTTGTCAGAATATCATGGTTCAGAGGCACTGTTCTAGTGGAATACTTTTAATAAAGAAAAGAAATGAAAAACAATCTCTACACACTTCCACAGAATTGTCCAGAGGCCCGACTCTTGCCAATGCTGAAAAATCCCTTGGAAATCTTCAGCTTTGCACTTAATTACCACCTCCTTTGGCTGTCTCTCTTTTACTGCTTTTCTCTCCTTCCCCTGTGATTCCCTTCTTGTTGCCAAACACACTTTCTCTTCCAGACACCATCTGCTTTCAGAATACATTTGCACTTTTTTTTCCTACCCAAAGTGGCCCTACTCTAGGGCCTATGTTTTCCCCTTTCTGGACTGCTGCTGTTGTGTTAGCGCCTGGGTTGGTGGGAAGCACAGCTGTGGCTTGCAGAATTGAAATATAGTTGGGAACCCAACAGAGACATTGTTTTCTGGCCTGGCAGTATGATTTATGTTCCTGGTGCCCCCATCCTCTTAAGAATCTCAGGGCTCAGGGATTGGTTTGTGGTATGTCTTTAAATGTATTTTGTTTGTTACACAAATTCAAAGAATTCCTAAGCATATAAAGGAGGAAGTGAAAGTAATTCTCTGCAACACCAGTCACTTTCCCCAGAGGTAAGTGACACGCATAGAGACCCTAGTGACTGTTCTCCAGTGTCATGCATGGCCTTCGGTCTTTTTGGTATGCATGTATCAAAATGTGTAATATAAATACATAGAAATGGGATCATGCCATATATACACCTGCAACTTGCTTATTATTACTTTAAATAAATATCCTGGGCATCTTTTCATGTCAGTATACGTACATTTTCTCATTACATTTAACAGCTGGTATTCCACAGTGTGCATATATATGGCTTATTTACTCAGTCCATTGCTGATACATATTGTTTCCAATTTCTCATTATTATTACCAATGTCTAGCACATTTATCTTTATACATGTACAACTGTATCTGTAGGAGAGTTGGAATGGCTGCGTCGAAGGGTATGGTATAGGAATTTTAAACATTGGTAGATAATGTCCTAAACTTTATATCTAATCACTAAAGCATTTTCTCCCTGAAATTATCAGAAATTATATGGGATAAGTGATAACTGAAGTGTAAAGTGTAAGGTATTTTACAAAGTATTTTTGTTCAATTTATTTAACACTGACAGGTATTCTGTAAGGGAGTGTTATGGACTGAATGTTTGTGTCCCACTCACCCCCCAAATTAATAGGTTGAGATGGTGGTATTAGGAGTGGTATTAGGAGGAGGGTCCTTTGGAAGGTGATTAAGTTATGAGAGTGGAGCCTTATAAATGGGATTAATGCCCTTGTGAAAGAAACCTCAGAGAGTTCCCTCACCCCAGTGAGAAGATGGACATCTATGAACCAAGAAGTGGGCCCCCACCAGACACCAAACCTGCTGTAACTTTGGTCTTGGACTTCCCAACCTCCATGACTATGAAAAATAGATGTTTGTTGTGTAAGCTGCGCAGTCCATGGTATTTTGTTATAGCTGTCCGAACGAGCAGTCATTGAGGGAGGCAATGTTATCTCCAATTTACAGGTGAAGAAATTGAAGCTCACTGAGATTAAGTGATTTTCCCAAAATAACATAGCCCAGAGCCCAGAAGCAGCAGAGCTGAGCTAAGCTCCAGGCCCTCTTCTCCATTTTTTCTTTTTTTTCTTTTTTTTTTCTTTTTGAGGCAGAGTCTCACTCTGTTGCCCAGGCTGGAGCACAGTGGCTCAATCTCTGCTTACTGCAGCCTCCACCTCCTGGGTTCAAGCAATTCTTATGCCTCAGTCTCCTGAGTAGTTGGGATTACAGGCACACGCTACCACGCCTGGCTAATTTATACATATATATGTGTGTATATATATATGTGTATATATTTATGTGTATATACACATATATATACATATACACACACACGCACATATATATACATATGTATATATATATACACATATATACATATGTATATATATACACATATATACATATGTATATATACATATATACATATGTATATATACATATGTATATATACATATATACATATATACACATATATACATATATACATATATATACATATGTATATATATACACATATATATACATGTATATATCTATATGTATATATATATCTATATATATATATATATATATATTTTTTTTTTTTTTTTTTTTTTTTGGTAGAGATGGGGCTTTGTCATGTTGGCCAGGCTGGTCTTGAATTCCTGACCTCAAGTGATCTGCCTGCCTTGGCCTCCCAAAGCGCTGGGATTACAGGCATAACCACCGTGTCTGGCCCTCCAGGCCCTCTTCTGTCTCCAAACCTGAGATTCCTTGTCCTGTACCTACTGCCTCCCCATGAACGTGCACTGAGCCTTCTGCTGTGATGGATCCATTGAACGTAGGTAGAGAGGCTATGGAGGGACTATTGGCCAGCAAACTTCATCCTAGGTAGCACAGCCATGGCCATACAGACATTTCTCTCTCTGCTGTCACTTCCTTAGTGATCTCATCTGGTCATAGCTTTGAATACCACTGATATATCAGTGACTCCCAAACTTCTATTTTCAGCTTAGGACTCTCTCCTTAACATATCCTATGCTGAACTTTTGATCTTTCATCCTCAACCTGCTCTACCTATAGCCTTCACCATCTCAGTGGGTTACTTAATTCTTCAGGCCTGAATCCTTGATTCCTTTCAATCATATACCTCATTGATAGGGAATACGCCCAAGCCCATACTGCCAGGTGTGAACTGAAATCCAGGCATGTCTTTCTGTAAAGCACACCTAGGTTATACTGCCTTATTCTAACCCCTTATTCTAACTGAAAATAGAATTCTGACCCAATCCCTGAAATGTGTCCTCTAATTTGGGAGTCAATGGGCTGAGTGAATGTTTAGTGATGAGATCACATTCTTAATAAATTTATTTCTACTGGTTTCTAGGACTACAAAAATCCAGAGTCTGAGTTAAACATATTGAAGACATAATTTAATTGTAGCTGATCTCAGTGGACCCAGTATCTTGAAAGCACACAAATCTTCCCTAGATCAGTTCTTCCACATTGCATGCAAATGAGGTAGGGGAAGAATGGCAGAGGGAGAAAAATGGAAGGGAGGTAATGAGTCTGGGAAAGGAGCCTCTTGCAATTTTTTACTTTTTTTATTTTTTGAGACAGAGTCTTGCTCTATCGCCCAGGATGGAGTGCAGTTGCCCAATCTTGACTCACTGCAACCTCCACCTCTCAGGTTCAAGTGATTCTCGTGCTTCAGCCTCCTGAGTAGCTGGGATTACAGGTGCGTACCACCAGGCCGGCTAATTTTGTATTTTTAGCAGGGACAGGATTTCGCCATGTTGGCCAGGCTGGTCTTGAACTCCTGACCCCAAATGATCTGCCTGCCTCGGCCTCCCAAAGTCCTGGCAATACAGGCGTGAACTATTGTGCCTGGCCTGCCTCTTGCTATTTATTCTTTCTCTCTCAAAAGAATCAAGGTCAGAAGGAATGTCTTTCCATGGAAAGGCTGCTGAGTTGGGGGGTTTGGACAGGAGCCGGCAAAGCCATGGCTCCTTCTCAATGCACAAAGGAAAGAAAACTCTTAAGTAAACTGTGGTGAAACTGAAATTCTGGACCAGGAGGGGGATTTCACTTGTCATGACGCACTTAGCATCTGAGCATATACTTTTGGTATTTGTGTTTCTGTATATATGTTCGTGTGTCGAACGTTGTCAAACCCAGAAACCAAAAGTTGAACAGTCTAGGTGCCATTTTAATTATAATTCAGTTATCAACTGGACGTCCTTGGTCCTAAGAAATTTAGATAAAACTCAAACCTTCAATTGTACATTCTGGCTAAAATCTGCCTGGGACAGAGGGGTTTCCTGAGTTGTGAGACTCTCAAGGCTAACACTGGAAAAATCCTGGACAAACTGTGACAAGTTGGTCACCCTGAGCTTATCTGAAGCCAGAGCCCTCACCACTATTTTCGCTCATTCTGAACAGCTTAATTTTTTTCTGCCCCCTTCTTTGTGGCTCCCATATTCAGGCTTTCTTAAATTCTACCTCTGGGGGACCTGCATGCAAAGCTGAATTCCTTCATGGTTTTTGCAAAGGATTCACTCTCACTCTGCATTTAACGAAGTAAGCAGCTTTCTAGGAGACTTAAGGGGGTCGCAGATTCCACTGAACAGCCTTTAATCATCCATTCCATTTCTCACTATTCCTCTTTTTCTTTCTCCTCCCTTCAATCTTTGTTGCAATCAGGAAATTTGTTCTCTATCTTATCTGGAGTATTCCTGCCCCGCAAGGTCCCTGGTAGCAGGGGTCCTCACGTTTTATTTCATGAGGAGATTATACCAAGAAGTCTTCCCAACAAAGTTGGGTCTCACTAAAAGGAATTCTTAACCCAGTGACTGAGATAATAAAATCATGTTTATTACATAAGATAATGAAGACTATTTTATATACACATGGATATAAATTTTTGACCTAGTTTGGGAATTATTAAGCTGGCTTCCTTTTCTCCCTTTCACAAAGATTGTGTAAGATGTAACTCCACCCCCAATTACACAATGCTGGTTATTTTCTTTTCTCATGGAGTTTACCAGTGGGAGCTAAACTGAGGGTACAGCTTAACCTGTCTTCTTGTTTTGGGGACAAGGAATTTTCCTCAGAGGTCCATGGTTTGATGCATTAACAAACCCCTCAGGATACTGGCTCTGCAAGGGGAATTGTGTGTGCATCCTAAAAATCAAGTGATGCATCTTTCCTAACAGAAGGCATTAAAGATTCAAGTCAGACTTGGATAAGAGGCCCTAATAATGAGAAAGTTGTCAAAGCCATTCATCAGGAAGAAGCTAGAGGGAGTGGGGCCAGATAGATGAGATTCCAGGAGGTTTCTGGGGGAGGATCCTTTCTGCTTCTCTTGGAGGTGACACATCTGTGAAGCGGGGGAACCTGTTTGGGGTGCCGGTCAGAAGTTTCACCTGGCTTTCGCTTCCTATTATTCAGCATGTCTGCACTCTGGGAGAGGCGATGTGTGTTATTTACAGAGAAATAAACCAGGAGAAGAGGGAGGCATAGGGAAACGCACACATGGATGATAATGGTAGGCCAAGAAAGTTTAACATTTGAAAACCTTCCCCAAGTCTCTGCCCATGTCCCCATTTGAAAAAGCTGAGTTTCACTGATCAGAGAACAACAGTACTAATGATAATAGCTAACATTTGTTGAATGCTAACTGTGTGCCAACACTGTGTTTAGTCCACACATGAAAAGATGTTCAACTTGATTGGTCACCAGGGAAATGTGAATTGCAACCACAATATGATAGCTCTACAGATGCACTAGAATGGCTAAAATGAAAACATCAGAAAAATACTAAGTGTTGGTAAAGATGTGGAGCAACTGAATTCTCATACACTGCTAGTTTGGATTTAAATGGGAACAACCACTTTGGAAAACTTGCTGGCAGTATCCACTAAAGCTGATACCTCTGATCCAGAAATTGTAAATGTATGTTCACCAAAAGATGAGTACAAGAATTTTCATAGCACCACTCTATTTGTAATAGCTCCAAACTGGAGACAGTCCCAATCTTCATCAACAGTAGAATGGATAAATAAATCATAGTCTATTTGTAACATGAACTATTACATAGCAATGAGAATGAATGAACTCTAACTACACGTGACACTATGGATGAGTCTCACTCCTTATAGTAACCCTATGAAGCAGTTCCTATGATTACTCCCATTTTACTGATAAGGGAAGCTGCTTACTTCATTAAATGCATAGTGAGAGTGAATATTTTGCAGAAATCCATAAAGGAATTAAGCTTTGCATGCAGGTCCCCCAGAGGTAGAAATAGGAAGGCCTGACTATAGGAGCTACAAAAGAGGGCACAGAAAAAATTAAGCTGTTTGGAATGAGCAAAAACGGTAGTGAGGGCTCTGGGTTCCTCATTTGTAAACTGGGAAGTGCAGTAGCTAGGATTCAAACCCTGGCTATTGAGCTCCAACCCTTCACCAGGATGCACCACTGCCCCCTAGGCCTCTACTCATACAAGCAGCCTGTGTTTGGTATGTGTGTGGGGGGTAGAAGTAGTGCAGGCTGACTTTGCAAAAGGCATCTATCAGCTAACTTTGACTACCATGTGTTAGGCTTTGTATATTAACATTACTTAGAGCATAAGGTTTAATCCTCACAACAGCCCTTTGCAGTGGGTTCTGTCAACATGCCCATTTCTACAAAAGGGAAAACAGATGCAGAGAGGTAAAGTCAGTCATCTGAGGTTGTATGACCTTAGCTACCTCTCTGCATCTAGTGTGTGATAGAGCCAGGATTCAAAGTAAGCCTTCCCCATCCCGCTACCTGGCTCTTCGCAGCACCAATAGGACAGCAAAGCCATGGGGCCACAGTGCCAACAGGAACCATCGTACCAGATCACAGGGCTTGAGTTCCTCGAGCTGTCCCTTGACAACAACAATGGAGATTTGAGGCTAAACCCTTGAGGTTTCATGAGGCCACCTGGCTTCTGAGCAAACTCTCTGCCATAGGTTTTCTTCACTGTTTTCAAGAGAAGAGGAAACGGGCATGTCCATGGCGCTGTCTATGTCTTCTTGGAAACAAAAAAGACTGTTAATCAGTCCTCTCTACAGCTTCTCAGCTTCAAAATTGGAAGCTATGTCGAAGTGCTCCTGGAAAAGCTGCTTTCTAGCAGTTCTGCCTGCTAGAAAGGGCCCCTTCTAGCAGGCAGAACAGAGAGGACTTGTACTGGAGAGAAAAAGTTACCTAGCATATGGTGGGCATGTGCGTGGAATTCCCCAGTGAGCTCTGGAATGGGCACGGGCCTGTACCTTGGGGCTCTCGAATAAGAAGCCTGGGCCCTACCAACGTCTGGCTTCTGCTGCTCAAGAAACAGATGCTAGGCCTTCCTGCATTGCCAAGAGCAGAGGCCTTTGGGGACTCAAGTTTGTTTGGCTTGAATGTGTTGGTGGAGAAATGAGAAGGTAGGAGTGAGGGCATCTTTTAACATTATCCCATGATTGTAGAGCTTCATCCTCTCCAGCCTTAATTATGACAGTAGCCTCCTACCTGGTCTCCCTGATTTCAGCCCTTCTTCTCCCTAACAGACCTTTCTCACAGCTCCCAGGTTGTGAATCCCTTGCCGGATGCTCCAGCTGCCACTTACCCAAGCACATGATGCTGTTGAATGTCGTTGTGTTTTGCAAATGTTGAATCATCTGCCTACAGTACCTTTCCCACTCAACGTGGCAAGAACCTACTTATTTTTGGAGGCCCAGTTCACAAGCTTTTTCTTTGGTGTTGCCTTCTCTCACCACCCTCCTGGGTAGAGTTCATTGTTCCTGTCTTAGCACTTCCAAAACACTCTTTTTCTTTTTAACACAGAACATCCTGGCTCTAGCAATGTACTGTAATTATTCGCCATCCTGTCTGTAGAGTAGACTGTGAGCTCCTTATGGGCAGCAGACATGGCGCATTCACACATTTATCCTCATATCCCTAATATCTAACAGTACCCAGCTTGCCCAGGAGGTGAGTGTTTGCTGGATGAAATCCAAAGGCCCAGCAATCACACGCCCACCCAGCCACTCACCCCCTCCCCCTGCCACGCACACAGGGTGCAGTGGCTCATGCCTGTCTGTAATCCCAACACTTTGGGAGGCTAAGGCAGGAAGATTGCTTGAGCCCCAGGGTTTGAGACCAGCCTGGGCAACATAGTGAGACCTCATCTACACACACACACACACACACACACACACACATACACACAGAGAACAAACAAGCAAACAAACTCAAAGGCACAGTTTTGAAGTATGAATTCATAGTACCTTTGCAGCTCCAACTCGGCCATTGAAAAAAACATGTCCTTCTCAGGCTGGCTTTCCCCTCCACAGTCACATGACTACGTCACTCATACATGCCCCTTCTGGCCATTTCAACATCAGTACAAGAAACTGTAGCTTTTACGCAAGGCAACGAGTTGCTTTCGGCCATCTCAGCTTTCTCATCCAGGTAGGTGGTCGTTATCAGTGATGTGGTCTAATCTGTAATGGAGTAATTGCACATGGGGAACAAGAGCTTATTTAATCGGTGTCCCCCAACTCCCATGATGGGTTACTGATATCAAAAGGTGTTTTTTGTTTGTTTGTTTGTTTTTAGATGGAGTCTTGCTCTGTACCCCAGGCTGGAGTGCAGAGGCGCGATCTTGGCTCACTGCAACCTCCGCCTCCTGGGTTCAAGCAATTCTCTGCCTCAGCCTCCCGAATAGCTGGGATTACAGGCGCATACCACCATGCCCAGCTAATTTTTGTATTTTTAGTAGAGACAGGGTTTCACCATCTTGGCCAGGCTGGTCTTGAACTCCTGACCTCGTGATCCACCCACTTCGGCCTCCCAAAGTGCTGGGATTACAGGCATGAGCCACCACGCCCGGCCACAAAAGTTTTTAAAATGGCTGGGAATGGGGGCTCACATGTATAATCCCAGCAGTCTGGGAGGACAAGGCAGGAGGACCAGTTGAGGCCAACCCGGGAAACACAGTGAGACCACATCGCCACAGAAAAATGTTAAAATTATTCAGACGTGGTGGCATGCACCTGTAGTCCCAGCAACTCAGGAGGCCGAGGCGGGAGGATGACTTGTCCCTGGGAGATCAAGGCTGCAGTGAGCTGTGATGGTGCCACTGCACTCCAGCCTGGGCAACAGAGCAAGACTTTGTCCCCAAAAAGAAAAAAATATCAACTAACCAAACAAACAAAACTTTAGTAAGCAAGCCTCCCACCCCTCTTTATAAGGGGGTTTTTACAGAGTTCTCATAGGTTCTCCCCAAACCCCACTCTCCAGTTTCTCCTAGTATTAACATTTTACATTACTATGATACATTTGTTGCAATTAATGAACCAATACTGATGCATTATTATTAATTAAAGTTTACAATGTATTCAGATTTCCTTAGTTTTTACTTAATATCTGACCTTCTCTATTCAAGGATCCCCTCCAGGGTCCCACATTGCATTCAGCCATCCTGTCCCCTTTGGCTCCTCTCTCATCTGACAGTTTCTCAGACTTTTCTTGCTGACCTTGACAATTTTAAGGGGTTCTGGTCAAGGGTATTATAGGGTGCCCCTCTATTGGACTGTTTCTGTTGTTTTTCACATAATTAAACTGGGGTTATGGGTTTGGGGGAGGAAGATCATAGAGGTAAAGTAGTATTGTCATCCCATCATATCAAAGGAGTAAGTAAATTGTTTAAAAAGTGAGAGTATGATCGTTTTTCCCTCTTCCTCAAACCTGTGTTTCCTCCTATAGTTGCTGTTTCTATTAATGGCCTCATCACACACACAGTCATGAAGGCTAGAAATTGCATCTACTCTTTCTTCTCCATCCTCCATCCACCTAGTCAATTTCTAAGAAGCCATTGCCCCAGAGCTTCCATATTCCCCCCTTCTCTTATCCATACTGCCTCTGGTTAACCCCGTATTATTTTTTCCATAAATGATTACCATAGCCCCAACTGGTTTGCCAGGTTCCACTTCCCTACCTCTCCATTTTATTCTTCTTAGTAGTTTCAACTTACTAGTGGTTTAATACCAACTCCATCTTCATAAATCTTAGAATGGTTTTCTGTCACATACAGAATAATGTTCCAACTTCTCAGTATGGAATTCAACCTCTTCAGATGCTAGCTCCAGATGACTTTGTGGTAAACACTAGTTCCCTTAATCTATAATTAATGGGCTATAGGCATTTAATTAGCTGAAAAAGAAGTTGGCATTTTCTTAAATTGTTTTCTCCAGAAGAGTTAATGAAACTATGTGTATATTTGTGTGTGTGCATACATGCACATGCGTGTACAATGTGTAGACCTCACTGGGGATGCATATCTCTCTCCAGGTACCCATGGCCCAAAGGGTGGTGAACACACCCTGCCCACTTGCTGCATCGTTTGTATCAAGTTTAGAAAAGCTGAGAAGATGGTAAGGAGAAAATATACTTGCCCAGAAGTGTGTGTGTGGATGTTCAACAAGATCCCAACTCATTTTTTCTTTTTTAGTGGCTTAAAACAAGAGCACCTTTTATCTCCTGGTTGCTGTGGGTCAGGAATCCCCTGCACAGCGCGGCTGGTTCCCCTGGCTGAGGGCCATTCACAAGATCCTTCATTGAGGTATTGACTTCTCCATTCATTTTTGCACTTCAATCACAAACACTTCTTAAAATTAATTGGCCAAACCTCAGCTTCTTGAAACTTATATAATGCAGAGAGCCTCTGTCACATTCTGGGAATGGCATTTAAATGCAAATTGAATTCCTTCTTTCATGGGATAGCCAGTTGTCTATGTCACAGGATGTAAAAATAATTCATCATGCTTGATTGTGTAATACGGCTGTCCTATATTATACTTTAATGACAAAATTAATTGGCTTTCAGATTCCATCTGTCGCTATTCACATAAATCCACAATCTTCGTTATTAAAATTTAAAAGTGCATGAGGAATTTGTGAAATTCTCATAGGCAGCCTGCTGGAGAACGTGGGAACAGTCTAGACCAGGGACCCCTTTTGTTATACGCTACCCAACAATAGATGAAGAGAAGGGCTGACCCAGGTGGGGAAACCAGAGTGGAGAGAATAGGAGCCATGGGTCCAAGAGCACTCATAGGCAAGAGCTTGGATCAGTTACTGGATTAATTAATCAGGAAGATGAATGCTGTCTTTACATATTTATGAAGACTGAGCTCTTACCAGCTCAATGAAGCTGTGCTATGGGAAAAGGCAGAGACTGTGCAGAAATAGTCACCACTGATTTGGAAACTGTTTCATTTCCTGAGCTAATAACCAAACTCATTCCTCAGAGAGGAACAAAAACTGTTATTCTGGGGTGGGAAAACATCTATGGATCATCTGATACAAGCAGCAGCTGTAACCAAACCACTGGTATTGTCACCCTCTTTGGGAGTCCCATTTATTCATGGTAGAGAAGGTTTCAGTCTTCCATGGCTCTTGATAACTCTGGCAGTTACAGTTGCCAGTAGCGTAAGTTAAGACTGTTTATTAAGGGTTTTGTGGCAGGGTGCAGACATTGATATAGACCAAATTGGTCAGAAAGACGAAGAACACACAGAAAAACATGGCCTGTATTCCACTTTATGTGGATTTAGGTTTGTGTCCTCATCTTTACCTCGGCTCTCAAGAGGTATGCATGAGCATGGGTGTGCGTGCGCGTGCACACACACACACACACATCAGCCACTGTGTTCTTCCACTAGACTTCAATTTTGCCCTCATTAATGGAACCACTAAGAATATTTTGAAATGCTTTTTTTTTCTTTCTTTCTTTCTTTTTTTTTTTGCTGTTTTATTTGCGGCATGACTACTTTTCTTAGTGCAGATAGGCAATATTTAACAAACAGTCTGCAACATTGCTATTATTCTGTTTTAATTTTTGTTTCTCCTTTTTTTTGGTTCTATTCCTGTATGGGGGAGTTCTTTTTCTTTTTTTTTTTAAATCGTAACATAATTTTAGATTTTGCCTTGTTCATTCCCCACCAAAAGTCAGTCCTTCAGTTTTCAAAGTCATCATCATCTCTGGAGGGTCAAGAGCTAGGACTAAATCAGATCACGGTCATCACTGGCTGCCATTAACCCCTCTGATATATCCATCTGCTTTTCTAATGAGGCCAGAGGCCTGACGACTCATCAAAGCCTCAGGCTTGGTCTTAATGGGAGGATAAGGGTAATGGGGTGCTTTTAAGTTTGACTTTCTTGTTTCCTCCTAATATCCATCCCAGTCCATTTATGAAAGATCACTGACTCCGTGTCAGCCAATTTCTGGCCCCCACATGATTGTCACCACATCTGGATAATGAATCTGCAGACAGCCATGCATCCCTCTGTCGGCACAGGGCAAGATTGCCAGGTGGGAACTTTGTAATTTATAAAATGCCTTCATGTCCATGACCTCCCTCGAACTTACAAACATTTTGGAATGGGAAAGGCAGGTATGATTAGACTTATTTCATAGACTTCAGAACTAATATTCAGAGAGGACAAGTGATGTGCCTGAAACGACTTGGTTAGTAACTAGCAGAGCAGGACTTGAAGGTCTAGGACTCCTTCCATTACAACATGGCTTTTGGGGCAGGGCCTATCTCTTAATAATCTTTGTATTCTCAGTGCCTTTTACAGCATCTGGACCCAGAAATATTCAAATAACACTGGCTGGATGAATAAATGAATGAAAGATTCCTCTGATAACCCAGGATTTCCCCTTGAGGTACCTACAGAAATCTTAAACTTTTCAAAATGTGCTTTCATAAACCATAAAGGCCCACAGAAAAGAAATTATGTATTGTGATTCTTCTTCCTTTTCCTCTAGGCTGAAGACGGACCAGAACCCACAGTGTGCCTGTTTGTGCAGGAGTGAGTGCAATCTCCCAGAACAGAACACTCCCACACTTGCTGTTGCCTTTGCCCATCAGTGCGGCCTGGTCCCTTTAATTCAGTTGTGGAGAGTGACTCAGGAAATGAATCTTTCTCTAGAGTGCTTTGCTCATCTTTTCATCTCAGTTCTTGATGACCCTTTCCCTAGTGACTTTTCTTAACTATTTCTCTTTTCTGTTAATGAGGGAAGACCAAGTGTCTTGGGACTCCCATTGGGTTCCACTTAAAAGACAGGCCTGGTGCTCAGCCTCGTGTGGGACAGGGCTGTGTCCAATAAGTTATAAGCAGCTCCACTAATCAGGCTGTTAGAGTCCTCCTGTGGCCTCGAGGCTTTCCTGGGCGTGAAGTGTTATTTAAAGATAAGAAAATGTGGAGTAGGCTGGCCTTTGGACCTGTGGACTGCAAATGCCATTCTGTCTTCCCCTACTAAATAATGCTGGGATTTGGTCAAGTCCTTGATCCTGTTTCTCCACCTTTAAACTGGAACTAACCTCACTTGCCCTGCATTACTTCCCAAAGTGAGTTGTAAGGATGACCTACTTTATGATGACAGCTATAAATGGGATGGAAATAAGGATGAATTTCTCAGGAAGTGTGGCCAAGGTGCTATTATAGAGACTGTCCCCCTTCAGATCTAGTCTAGCTGGATAATACATAACTGAGGATTTTCCTCTCTGTGCCCACACAGGTATGTGGCATATCTGATATGGCCTTGAATGCCCAGTATCTGGGGATGTTTGCTCACATGAATGAAGGAACGAGTTCTCGCATCTTCCTCTCTATTTCTGTAACAGGGATACCGTAATTATCAGAGGAATATTCTTACATAGGCTCAAACATTTCCTTCTTCTCGTCTAGGTCATCTTGTCTGGGCATTTCACAAATCCTTCCTCAGTTTTCCAGAAAAAGAAAAGTGAAGCAGATATGTCTCAACCACTTCCCTCTAGACTCAAAGCAGTAGCCCATCACTCATTTCCCCTTTGTGCAGTGCTTAATGTTTTTTGTTTGCTTGTTTGTTTTTGCTTTCCAGACTTTTGTTCTTGTCTGTAAGATTAAATTTTATCTGAAATTGTCATCTTCACCATGGGTGAGCCCTGATGAGCTGCTTACAGATATGTCACACTCTCCCTGCAAATCTGAAAGCCTCACCCCTTCTTTCCTCTGTGCTGGTGAGCTCTAACTTGTTCACCATCAGTCCTCAGTGCCTGGTATGGAGAAAGTGCTCGCTGAATAGCACTGAAGATGTCAAGTAAATAAATGGAGGGGGCTGAGGGCTTTCAGTGGCCTCACAGTAGTTGGCACAATCTGCTCTAAAACTAAAATCAAATATAATATTTGATGAATCAGTCAGAGAACATTTTGGAAGTGAATCACAATTTTACTGGTGGCCACCTCAATGGCCACTTCAAGTTCAACCTCCCCTGAAGTCTTCCTGATAACTCCAGCCAACCATGGTCTTTCCTTTCTTAACCACTCTTGTGTTTACTGATTTTTATTTTTTATTTTTTTGAGACAGGGTCTTGTTCTGTCGCCCAGGCTGGAATGCAGTGATGCAGTCTTGGCTCACTGCAACCTCTGCCTCCCAGATTCAAACAATTCTCGCACCTCAGCTTCCCAAGAAGCTGGGATTACAGGCATGCACAATTACACTTGGTTAATTTTTGTATTTTTTGTAGAGACAGGGTTTCGCCATGTTGGCCAGGCTGGTCTTGAACCCCTGGCCTCAAGCAATCCACCCGCCTCAGCCTCCCAAAGTGCTGGGATTACAGACAAGAGTCACTGCGCCTGGCCTATTGAATGTTTTTGTGGGTTATCACAATGTTATTCATTCTGCAATATATTGTCTATTAATATTTGCATGTCTGTGTGCCTCCTCTCCCCTTGATTATAAATTCTATCCAGGGGCTAATTCAGATTTTGGAGGGTTTGAAGCTTATATAATTCTGGGGGGAAAAAAGATAGTGCATCTCTAATTGTATGTACTACAGTATCAAGTATTTTCCTAACAGAAAACAACTTTGCCTTTGCCTGGGTGTTGGAAAGATCAAATCCTCTTGCTGCATTTGTACACATCTGATCCTTGATTGGAAGAATTTTTGACAGCCTAGCTTCTAGTTCCACTCTCTTTTAACCTTAGGTCTTCTCAGCCAGGTGCTTCCAGTTCCAGAACCCTATGGCACAGTCACAGCATGAATCAATCCAGGATCCTGGATGTTCGTGTCTACTGCTCTTTACATTTTGTCCCAGGGCCACATCAGACACAGTAAGTGTCTGGTGTCTCCTTTTGACAAGTGTTTCTCTCTGGCTGTCCTCTTGACTGTTAATCTCTGGCAGTATACTCTTGTTGGCAGTCCTTAGATTTGCATTTTTAGGAAGTCCAAAGTGGAATAAAATCTGCTTTTAAACTTTCTTCCAACCAGACATAGTCCATATTGACTAATAGGACATAAAGTAAGATATATTTTCCCTCTGTAAGCAAGAGACTGGGTAATTAAACATGGTACCCATAGCTCCTGTTCCTAGGCCCTTGTGGGAGTATTATAATTAGTCTTTTCATTGTTGAACTTGAGTCTGATGTTCTAGCAGGATAAGTCCAGTTCTACGGATTGAATGAACATAAATCATTGATAGCAGAGGGGTGGGTGTGGAAGGATGGAGTGCAACAAAGAACAGACGGTGTTGGGAGAAACTGGAGGTTGTGTTATCTTGATTAAGAGATTAGATGTGAGTCGGACAGACCTAAGTCCTGCCTCTTAAAACCTAGGTGATTTGAGGTAAGTCATGTATGCTTTCTGAGCCTTAGTTCTTCATTTGTGAAATGAAGAGAATAACCCCATGAGGTTGTGAGGATTCATGAGCATAAAGCTCTTAGCACAGACCCATCTAGTAAGCACTTCAGAAGTGTTGGATATCATTTCTTTACTTCTAACATTTCTCTCTCTTCTAGGTCTGTCTAGATATCTAGATAGCTGATGTCTTTGGTTGTGTTCACCTTCTCCCAGAATTCAACCTCTTTAGCTGTTTTCTAAAGACAACTCTTTTTGACCTCTGGGCCAGAGCTTAGTCATTTTCTGCTCCTACTTGCCTAAAAGAAGTGTCTTGTGCCTAAAAGAAGTGTCTTGTGCCTAATAACCCCTCCCATTCATTTAGCAGTCTGTCGTTTACAAAGTCTTCAAAACGCCCCATGGGGGATTGTGTCACCTTGCGCCCACTGGCCTCTGCCTTCCTGTCCTCGCTCCTCAAGCTCCTGCTCAGCAAGGAGGCTCTATGCTGGGGGCTCCTGGTCTGTGAGGCTCCCCCTTGCTGACCCTTAACTCCTCATTCAGACCTTACCACTGGGGTTACTTCAGAGAGGCCTTGAGCTTCCACCCCACAGTCACTCTGCATCATAGCACCTTATTTTACTATTTCACTGCATTTTTCACTCTCTGATATTTGACTTATTATCCAACTTCTCACCTTAGAATATAAGCTTTGTGAGGACAGCAATTTTGCCTACTTTGTCTCCTCAGGATGTGCGTTATCAGCGGGGGCAATAGCACCCTCAAAGGGGCAAAAGTTGGTTCTTGGGGGCCAAAAACATCCTCCTCTTTTTTAAAAAATGTTTTTAAAATTTTTGGCTGGCTGCAGTGGCTCACACCTGTAATCCCAGCACTTTGAAAGGCCAAGGCAGGTGGATCACTTTGAGCTCAGGAGTTCGAGGCCAGCCTGGGCAACATGGCAAAACCCCGTCTCTACAAAAAATGCAAAAATTAGCCAAGGGTGTTGGCATGCTTCTGTGGTCCCAGCTACTCGGGAGGCTGAGGCTAGAGAATCGCTTGAACCCAGGAGGCAGAGATTGCAGTGAGCCAAGATCATGCCACTGCACTCCAGCCTGGGCAACAGAGTGAGACTCTGTCTGAAAAAAATTTAATTATTATGGCTCCATAATAGTTGTATATATTACTTTTTCATGTATAAAGCACAAATACAGCACACAAATAGGTATATAGTGTATACATGGTATCAACATTTGGGACATAATGAGGACAAAAATATTTTAAAAGTCTCCTTAGGATAATGAAAAGAAAATGATTGAGTACTCTGTTGAGTCCTGAGCATATAGTAGATTCATCAATAACATCTTTTAATGATTAAACATACCCTTTAATAGCTGCAAAAACTGAAGTTCAGAGAGGTGAAGTAGCTAGCCTCAGGGCATAAGGTTAACCGACAGTAGAACTGACTCTCCAACTTCTGTTTCCCCTGAGTCTCGTGTTTTTTATTCTAAGCTACCCAGTAAATGTTCCATACGTGCTTTTTGAATTGACTTGAACATATTAGATGTTCCCACAAGAGGAAGCAAAGAAAAAGTGTATTTTCTAAGTGACACAGCAAATGATCTCAGGAAGTCATTCTCTTCAGAAGAGTCCAGCTAATCTTCTTTCTCAGGGGGCATTAATGATGGGTTATACATGGCTTACCCTTAAAATGGGAGTCAGTTTCATCTCCTACTCTCAATAAAATAAGGAAGAAAAGGTGAGTAATGTTTTTAGTGTCTTAGTAATTGTTTCACAAAATCTCTGGGCCAAAAGAAAGAACTAACAGTTCCATTTATGAAGTAGTCAGGTAGAAATAGCTTAGTAAGAATTTATATACAAACAATTTAGTGCCTGTTGGACACTGCACAGTCTCATGCCTTGGAATTTGATCAGACACCATCACTCTCATTTCTTGTTCCACATTGATTTTTTAGGGGTACTTGCCTTTCATCACAGCCATTGCTAGAAACCTAGCTTTGAAGAGATTTGATGTCATTGGAAGAAATATAATAACCTAATTTTGAAACTGTGAACTACCTCAAGTTAGTAGTTTGTATGGTGTCTGACAAATGTTGCTGTGATTCCCTTGAAAATCAAAAACATCCTGAGACACTCCTTTGAGTTCACTGTACACCCTCAGGTGCCCAGTGCAGTTTGAAAACTGGCAGGGGAGCAAGGCAAGGTACAATGCTGGTGCGAGGTAGAGCAGTGGCAGAGGAGTTAAAAAGAAGGGAAATTTTGAAAAATATTTACAAGTGAAAAGTTGGAGGCAGGGAGAACTGGTCCAAAAATCCTGAATGAACAGGATATGGAGATGGAGGAAAGAAGTTTGGGAAATGGAGTTTGGACCTGGGTGACTGGCCAACTCCAATGTAGTAGGTAGCTCTTAGCTCCATCTCCACTTTCTCGAGAATGACACCCATCCTCCACATAGGACTGGGCCCTGGCAGTCATATTAATCTCATGAGACTCATCTCTCTGGCAGAAGATAATTGGACCAAGGGATCTGTTGCATTTGAGTCAGCCTAAACCAATCAGATTCTCTCCTAAGAATCTGCAGTTAAGACTTGTTTGAGTTTTCTATGGTTGCTTCAGGAAATGACCACAGACTGAGTGGTTCAAACAACAGAAATTTATTCTCTGATAGTTCTGGAGGCCAGAAGTCCATACTTTAGGTGTCAGCATGGCCGTACTCCCTCTGGAAGCTCTAGGGGAAAGCCCTCCTGAGATAGAAGGCCAGACTCAACTCTGGAGGCAGGACTCCACTCTGGGGGTGGTGCTTGGACACCAGAAAAAAATGGAAGACTAGCTAAAACAGGGACACAGAAGCAACTTTCCATAAGACATGCCCATCAGTGTGCCATGTCAGTTTACCCTTGCCATGGCAACACCTGTAAGTTACTGCCCCTTTCCATGGCAACAAACCAATGATCTGAAGTTACCACCCTTTTTCTAGAAATTTTTGCATAACCTGGCCCTTAATTTGCATATAATTTACAGTGGGTATAACTATGACTGCAGAACTGCCCTGGAGCTGCTACTCTGGCCACACTGCCTATGGGGTAGTCCTGCTCTGCAAGGAGCAGTACCTTTGCTGAACACTGCTACTTCAGTGAAAGTTGCTGTCTAACACCACTTCCTTACCCTTGAATTCTTTCCTGGGTGAAGCCAAGAACCCTCCTGGGCTAAGCCCCAGTTTTGGGCTTGCCTGCCCTGCGTCACTTCCTTGCCTCTTCCAGCTTCTTCTGGCTGTTGGTGTTCCTTGGCTTCTGTGGCTGCACTGCTCCAATCTCTGACTCTGTGATCACAATGCTTCGTCCTTATTATGTTTTTGTCTTCTCCTATTCTGTCTCTTACAAAGTCATTGGATTTAGGGCCCACAAAGTAAGTAATTCAGAGTGACCTCATCTCAAGATCCTTATCTTAATTACATCTGCAAAGACCCATTTTCTGAATAAAGGAACATTCAGTCTTGGTATCAGGCTGTAGACATCTTTCTTGGGGCCACTGTTCAATCCACTATACTTAGAGATGCATGTGAGAAGACAGATATGTGGGGGACTGGGATGACTATTTCGCAAGATTTAGGTAGAGAAGTAGAGAAACACAGGTCTAAGGTGAAGGAGAAAAGTGATGTGGAGAGAGAAGCAAGAATAAAGGGACATATGAGAGCAAAGAGAGACCAAGAGACAGGCTCTGCTTTGTTTCTGTTTAACTTTCTAGTTCTTAGTATGAGTCTCTCAGGAAGCCCAGCCATTTTCAGGTTCCACAATTTACTTGAATTTTTCAGCAAATTTTTCTATTTGCTGGTTTGAGTGGGTTTCTGTAATTTATAACAACTTGACTAAGACAAAATAGAACAGCTGGACGAGTAGGGAAGTTGGTAAACCTTCAGTCTTCTTAAGACTGTAATTAATGCCACACAAACATTAACAGAAAATTCTGATAGTGGCTACTCACAAAAAGAGGATGAGCAAATTTTTTTTTTTGTTTT
Organism: Homo sapiens; assembly: GCF_000001405.40. Lineage (NCBI taxonomy): Eukaryota > Metazoa > Chordata > Mammalia > Primates > Hominidae > Homo > Homo sapiens. Next base: position 71,236,338 of record NC_000016.10, on the reverse strand, counting down.
ACACAAAACAGAAGTTGTTTCTAGACATAATATTGCCAGAAATCATATCACATGAGAAGCTGCTGAAGATGCTTAGGAAGTTTACCCAAAAAAACAAAGGGCTGTGATGGATAGTTTTTGAACTTGAAAGACCATCCTATATAAGAATAATTAGATGTTTTATTGGGAGTCACATTCTGAGTTAATTTAGGAAGAAGTTTCTAAAAATTTTAGTGGTTCAACAATGGAGCAGCCTGGTGCTTGATCTTAGATTTGAGAAAGTGTAAGAAGTAAGCATCCTAAAAAAAGACCAGGAGGCCCTTGAGTTCAGGGGCTGTGTCTTGTTCATCTTGGTATTCTCAGTACCTAACACAGGGTCTAGTGCTTAGCAGGTTCTCTTTCAATGCTTGCTTAATAAATAAAAGAATTAAGAGCAGAAGTTTTAACAGAAGTTGAGTGACTATTTGGGGTGATGTCAAAGAGATAGAAGACTGGACTGAAGAATAATGATTATTAATAATAATGACAGCTTTCATTTATTAAGACTTTGGTTTGTGTTATCTTATTGATTGATTGAGGCAGGGTCTGGCTGTGTTGCCCAGGCTGGAGTGCAGTGGCGTGATCTTGGCTCACTGAAACTTCTACCGCCTGGGCTCAAGCAATCCTTCCACCTAAGCCTCCCAAGTAGCTGGGACTATAGGTATGCACCACCACACCCGGCTAATCTTTGTATTTTTTTGTAGAGATGGAGTTTTGCCATGTTTCCCAGGCTGGTCTTGAACCCCTGAGCTCAAGCCATCTGCCCGCCTCAGCCTCCCAAAGTGCTAGGATTACAGGTGTGAGCCACCATGCCCAGCCGTTATCATCTTATTTAATCTTCAAGAACCGTATATGGTAGTTGCCCCTGTTTTGCAGAAGTGGGAACTGCAACACAGGGAGGTTAAGTAGCAAACTCTACACAGGCAGTAAGTGGCAGAATTTGAGTTATCTCCTAATAGTCAGAAAAATTACTGCACATGTATTGAACAATTACTATGTTCTAAGAGTTTTATACACGTTGATCTCTAAGGTGTTTTACAATGATGAGTCTATGATTTCTTGATATCTGCCACCCATGTTCTTGCCCAGGACCGTCCTCTGCCTGGGTAAGTCAGAGGCTTGGGGCCCTCAGCATAACCAGCTTCCTTTACCATTCTGAAGTCTGAAGTAGTTCAGTTTTCACTGCTCATTGACTCAATTATCTGCTCACACCTTAGAAAAGACAAAGCACTGGCCTCATCTCTCCAACTCAATCCAAGTATGTTGTTCCTTAGGAGTCAGACATCTCTCATTAAGAATGGAGAAGTCTTCATCCTTTCAGTTAGCCTCTTTAATTTAGGGGAAATGTAAGTTAACAACAAAAAAAGATTTTCAAATCTGATTTACTTTCTAATAGTATAATTAACCTTCAGTGGGCTATCCATTTCTAGCTGAGTGGCTTTTTTGTTTTTGTGTTGCTTTTCCTGGGAAGGCTGCATGCCTGTCTGCCTGTCTATTGGCACTAAGAACATACCAGCCTTCTATCATTGGGGAGTTGCTGTGAACAGCCTCAGAGGAGCAGCCCCATAGCTGCTGGCCACTGGTTTTTGCAGCCTCAGCACCCCTAACCCCTTGGGGATGGGAGATTAAACACTGGTCTTAGGTCTGAGGTGCAGGTGCTATGTGACTTTAGATAATCCATATTCCTCCCTGAAATAATATGCACTTTAATATTTAACTTTATACATATTCTACTGTTCTGTATACTTCAAGATGAATACATGTTTCTGTCTTTATTTATAGCCTATTTTGTATTTTTAGGAAGCCCTTGAGCCAAACAAGCATGACTTGTGGGTGGCAGTCATAAAGCAACTTAATAATTGTCTTCTAGTCTCTCTTTAAATTTCCTCTGTGTGGCCAATTATTTCCCTGCCTGTGGGTAAACTCAGTTAGATGCTGAGACTTTTATGGACCTTTGTAGGTGTTAAAACACAGCCTCAATACAATTGCTCAAATGTTCTGTCTAAGGTGATAATCAAAACTGTTAAAAAGTTGCAGCTTCTCTCCTATTTTATTTTAGGCCTGCTGCAGACAAGAGACCTACAGTTGGAGAATGGAAGCATAGCCACCTTCTTCTCTCCTTTTTGTTGCCTTTTTGTGGGTTCATTGACATCTCTACACCTGTACCCTCAGCTGGAGAACTCTTTCCTGGCCTCTCTGGCATTGGGGCACGGGTGGAGGAGAGGAAAGGACAATAAGAAAGTTTTTACTTGTCTGATACTGCTGTGATTAAGCTGATACATCCTCTGGTGGGGCATTTTCAAGAGTCTTTCAAGATAACTTACCCTCGTTGCTGGAAATCCATATCCTGCAGTTCTCTTACTGGGACATCTTTCTTTTGGCTGGTTCTTTCCTTTTTCTTGACCCCTGGGTAACTAGCGATACCCTCAGTATGTTAGTCAGTTTGTGCTGGTGTAACAAAATACCCAAGACTGGGTGATTTATAAAGAACAGAAATTTATTTTTCATGGTTCTGGAGGCTGGGAAGTCCAAGATCAAGGCAACAACAGGTTTGTTGTTTGGTGAGTGGGCAGTCTCTGCTTCCAAGATGGCACCTTGAATGCTGCATCCTCTAGAGGGGAGGAACACTGTGTCTTCACATGGCAGAAGGCAGAAGAGTAAGAGGCATGAACTCCCTCCATCAAGCCCTTTTATAAGGTCATTAATCCCATACATGCGGGAGGAGCCCTCATGACCTAATCACCTCTTTAAGGCTTCACCTGTTAATAGTATCACATTGGCCATTGAATTTCAACACATGAATTTGGAGGGGACACTTTCAAACCATAGCACTCAGTTTTCCTTTTCTGAAACCTCTATCTAAGAGATGGAAAGGGTCTAAAATGACCCTGTACAATCTCTCTTGAATGAACTTCATCTCCTTCATAGAAAGCACTCACACATCTTTTATCTGTAAATCCTAGGGGAAGAAGGAGGGTTGTTCCTAACCAAGCAGTTCTTCTTTGCACTGCTGACTGCTGACTAGTGAGCATATCTCTTGCCCTTTTTAGCATTTCCAGGTAGGATTCAGACACAAGCCCACTGTGCCCTCTGAACTGTAGATGCCACATATTAAACACCCAGTGGCTTCCTCAAAGCCCTTTTCTTTTGACTGGAGATTTGGAGGTGGGACTCACAGCTCAGCTCTTTTTGAAGAAATCCTTCATGAAGATCTTCTTTAGAAATCCTCTTAAATCCCCCACTCCTGGCCCCTCCCCCCCTTTTTTTTGAGACGGTGTTTCGCTCTTGTCACCCAGGATGGAGTGCAATGGCGTGATCTTGGCTCACTGCAACCTCCGCCTCCTGGATTCAAGCTATTCTCCTGCCTCATCCTCCCAAGTAGCTGAAGTAGCTGGGATTACAGGCACCCCCCCCCCCCCCCCGCCGCCACCATGCCCAGCTAATTTTTTATATTTTTAGTAGAAATGGGGTTTCATCATGTTGGCCAGGCTGGTCTTGAACTCCTGACCTTAGGTGATCCACCCGCCTCAGCCTCCCAAAGTGTTCGGATTACAGGCGTGAGCCACTGCACCCGGCCTTCTCCTGACTCTTTTATACACTCAGTGTGCGGAAGATTTAAGAGTTGCCTAACTTGTTTTACTTCTAAATTCTTCATCTATGTTCTTTATTTGAAATTTGCTATTTATCATGCCTCTACCAAAATGTCTATTTTAACATCTGTAATGAGATTTCACTTGTTTATTCAAATAGCATTAAGCTCCCACTAGACCAGCACAGTCCACTAGCAATATAATACAAGGTGCATATGTAATTTAACACTTTCTAGCAGCCAGATTTAAAAAAAGAAAAAAACAGGTGAAATGAGTTTTAATAATATATCTTATTTAACATAATATATCTGAAGCATTATCATTTCAATATGAAATCAATTTAAAAATACTAATGAGATATTCTACATTCTTGTTTTACACTAGGTCTTTGAAATTTGGAGTCTACACTTACTCCACATTCCATTTAGGACCAGCTACACATTCAGTGGTCGATAGCCATAAATGATGAGAGGCAACTGTAGTGGAGCAGTAGTACAGCAGTAGACTGTAAGTTCTGTAGGCAAAGTTGGTGTCTGTCTTGTTCATTGTTATAAACAACAGTGTTTGGCATAGAGTAGGCATTCAATATTGTGAAATTGAACTAAATATAATTGAAAGAATGAAGACATTACCAAGGGAATCCTTCAATGTTTCCCCACAGCACTTACAGTCTAAATCATTCAATTCTGCACGCAATTAGTTGGCCCACATAGTTTGTAATTAAATTATTCCACAAGCATTTAAGGTTCACAAAGGAGGAAGCATCTTCATCTTGTTATCTGTTGTATCTCCCAGTCAACCACAGTTCCTAGTATTGTGATGTGTAGATTCATGCAATCAACAAATATTTATTTAGTGTCCACGCCAGGCCAGTTACTATTTTAGGTGCTGGGGATACTATAAGGGGGACACAGTCTCTGTTCTCATGGAGCTCACAGACAATAAAAAGTTACAAGAGCTTTGAAGGAAATAAATAAGGTGACATGAGAGAGTGTGATGGAGGACAGAGCAAGGAAGTACGGAGGAGAAGGAGACAGTATTGTGAAGAGCCAGGGAAGGGCAATCTGAGTGTGTCTTTTTGAGGCAGCCACATTGACTTTTCATTTTCTCGAATTCTCCAAACTCATTTCTGCCTGTAACTTTCTATTCCTTTTTCTTGTGCTGCCCACCCTCTCCCTTGCTCTTCTATAGCTGGTATCTTCCCATGTCTCAGCTCAAACGCAACTGTCTCCTCAAAGACACCCTCCCTAACCACCTGTCTACTGGGCTCATCACCCTTGACACTTCCTATCACATCCTGACATTTTGTTTAGTACCACAACCTGAAATGATCTTGTTTATGCTTCTATGAAATTGCCTTGACAATTGCTATCTTTCAATGCTGAGAAAAGTGTCCCTATGACAAATATATGACCCACAATTAGTGATCAATAGATATTTATTAAATGAATGAATGACTGAAGGTCAAGAGTTAAAGCATTTGGGAGATGTCTCAAGTCATGGTTTGAATAAATGTAAATGAAGTCTAGGAAGAACCACACTCTATTTGTCTGGTTTCTCTGAGAAGGAAGATGGGGTTAATGGATGTGGGATTTATACTCTTGCGCCGTCTCGGGCATGGGGCAACCTGAGTTTTGGTTCCAGCTCCTTTGAGAATCTACAGCTATGGACCATCTGACCGGGTAAATGGCCACAAACTTTTGCTTATAACTTAAGGGGGTTCGTGGACCTCCTGAAGAGGTCAAAGGACCACAGGTTAAAAATTCCTGTAGAGATAAGAGATTTCCACAGCAACACTGGGAGGCAGGAGGCAGGTGTTCAATGAGATAATGCACGAAGCATCTTTAAAGAACTAGGCCTGGCGAAGTGTGGCTTTGGGGAGAGGTGGTGTCCGAAGAATCCTTGGAAACCAAATTCTTTTGCACCTAGCAGCTGGGGCGGTGGTTGCTATTGACGCTTGCCTCCTCCAATCATCGCGCGGCTTGCTAGGCTGTGCGGCTCCGTGGTTACCGTGGCAACGGACGGCAACAGCTCGGGCGGCGCATGGAGAGTGCGGGCGGCTTCAAGCTGGGTATGGAGCCCCTCAGCGGCGGCGGGGTCTGTGAGTTGGACGCGGGGTCTTGGCGGGGAATGGAGGTAGAATAAACGTGGGACCCGGAGTGCACCAAGGTCAGAGGTCCTCGCAGAGATTGTGGGGTCAAAGTGTGAGGGACATGGGGGCTAACCGGGGCGTCCCCTCTTTTCGTCCTCGTCCTCGCCCTGCGTCCCAGGCGTTCTCCAGACTTTCCAGACCCCTCCCCTCCTCAGCCTTCCCTAGCCACTTCTCACTCCCATGAAAGTTACGGGACCTCGGATTTTTGTTCTTGGGATTCCCCTGCCAGACAGGTAGCCTGAAGGGCAGAAGGCCTGAGGTGCTGCCTCGCTTCCAACTTGGAATTAGCCCCAGGCCTTGGACGAATCATTTCCCGTCTTACCGGGGAAAATGGTAAAATTCACCTCTTTTAGGTGTACAGTTCCAAGAGTTTTGAAAATATAAAGTTCTGTACTGTATTAATCTGTTATCATTCTGCTAATAAAGACATATCTGAGGCTAATTACAAAGAAAAGAGGTTTAATTGACTCACAGTTCCACTTGGCTGGGGAGGCCTCACAATCATGGTGGAAGGCAAAGGAGGAGCAAAGTCGTGTCTTATATGGCGGCAGGCAAGAGAGCATGTGCAGGGGAACCTCCCCTTTATAAAACCATCAAATCTCGTCAGACTCAGTCACTATCATGAGAACAACCCAGGAAAACCCACCCCCATGATTAAGTTACCCACCATGGGGTCCCTCCCATGACACGTGGGGATTATGGGAGTTATAATTCAAGATGATATTTGGGTGGGGACACAGCCAAACCATATCATGTACTTACTGCAATAAGTATGTAGAATGATTCCATTAGCTCAGAAAGTATCTCTTGTACCTCATTGTAGTCAATGCCCCTTCCCCACTTCCAGCCCATAGCAACTAATGAAATGATCTGTTTTCTGATTCTGCATTATCCAGAATGTCACATAAATGAAATTATAACATACATAGCACTTTTTGTCTGGCTTGTTATACTTAGCATATTGCTTTTGAGATTTAACCATGTTGTTGTATGTAACAGTAGCTCATTTCTTTTCATTGCTGCGTACTATTCTATTGAATGGATGTACCATCAGCTGATGGACATTAGGATTGCTTCCAGTATTTGGTAATTATTAATAAGTAAAACTGTTATAAATATTCCCATACAGGTATTTGTATGGACATATGTTATTATTTTGATAAATACCTGGGAGTAGGATTGATAGGTTATATGGTAAGTATTAATTTTACAAGAAACTGCCAAATTGCAACCTTGTTAGCAGGTGATCTTTTTTTTATATGTATATATTTTTATTCTCCTTTAAGTTCTAGGGTATATGTGCACAACGTGCAGGTTTGTTACATATGTATACATGTGCCATATTGGTGTGCTGCACCCATTAACTAGTCATTTACATTAGGTATATCTCCAAATGCTATCCCTCCCCCCTC